>NC_000004.12:153466835-153769865 GCF_000001405.40 Homo sapiens | reverse complement strand
AAAACAGTTTAGCAGTTCTTCAAAATCTTAAATGTAGAGTTACCATATGAACCAACGGCTGCACTTGTAGAGATATACTCAAGAGAATTAAAAACATATATTCACAAAACATTTGTATATGTATTTTCATAGCATCATTATTCATAATAACCAAAATGTGAAAAAAACTCAAAAGTCTATCAATTGATGAGTGGATAGAATGTAGTATATCTATATAATGAAATATTATTCAATTATAAAAAGGAATGAAGTACTGATACATACTACAACATGGATGAACCTTGAAATAATTATGCTATGAAGCCAAGCACAAAGACTTCTTGTATGATGCTATTTATACATAACGTTTATTACAAACCATAGAGACAGAAAGTAGACTCGTGGTTGCCAGGGGATAGAAGAAGGGGGAAATGGGGAGTGACTGCTAATGAATATAAGGTTTCTTTTTTGGGTGATAAAAATGTTCTGGAATTAGATAGTGGTGATAGTCATTTTGTGAATATACTAAAAAAACATAGAATCAAACTGTTTTAAAAAGGCTGAATCATAAAGTATATAAATTATACCTCAAGCCTGTTTTTTTTTTCAAAGGCAGATGTTCCAAGATCACAGAGTTAGAGTATATTATAATTAAGACTTGAGGCCAAATGTGTTTGATCCTAAATCCCACTGTCTTAACTACCAACTATATTCCTGGACCTCCTTCCTTTCTCACATTATAGACTTCCTAGGAAATGTTATTCACTCCTGGAAAGTTTGCCACTGTCGAAAACTAAATCTCTAATCTCTAACCTTTCTCCTGACTTCAGTTTGTCTTATGTGGACAACTATGTCTGTGTAGCCTGGAGGTGTCTCAAAATCAATACACATTAAACCAAACTTAACTTCACTTTCCACAACCTTTTCTCCCTTTTCTGGATAGTCTTATCAGTAGTTAATTCCTTGTTGGCTGGGGCAACCTTTCCAGTGCTCAGCCATTCAAAAAGCAAAGATAATCAGCCCACCCTAAGTTCAGTAAATGATCAAGTTTTTCACGCTTAGGCTACCAGCTCTGACCATGTTATTTGGCGATTCTTCACACAAACGATGTACTACTAAGAATTTTTCAATTTCATTTCATTGCTAATAATGCCTTAATATACTTACAGTACAGACACATATTAACCAAGCGGAAAAGATAGAGACCCTCTCTCCAAAATAGTCCAGAGAGCAAGTAGGAGAGGCAGGGCTCTGATTCAAGTCTTGTAGTGAGTGTGTGGACCCAGACACTGTCCTTCTCCCACATTTATCACAGGCTAAAGCTTCCTTTGAGTTGTTCACTTAAAGTCATCACCAAAACCATGGCCACTTTAAAGGATATCTGTAAGATCGTCAGAAAAATCTTACACTAGTAAAGCCTAACTATTCCTTAGATTACCTACTAACCATCACATCCAGAATGGTTTCTAAAATTTTCCTTCTTTCAAAGCCCCATAGAATATTTTTACTACAAAAATTAAACATTTTAAGCAATTTTATCTCAACATATTAAATTTTTAAAATACTCAAATTTAGGCCGGTGGCAGTAGCTCACGCCTGTAGTCCCAGCACTTTGGGAGGCCGAGGTGGGTGGATCACCTGAGGTCAGGAGTTTGAGACCAGCTTGGCCAACATGGTGAAACCTGGTCTCTACTAAAAATACAAAAATTAGCTGGGCGTGGTGGCAGGTGCCTGTAATCCCAGGTACTCAGGAGGCTGAGGCTGGAGAATTGCTTGAACCCGGGAGGAGGAGGTTGCAGTGAGCAGAGATCGTGCCACAGCACTTCAGCCTGGGTGACAGAATGAGATCCCGTCTCAAAAAAAAAAAAAAAAAGAAAAGAAAAGAAAAAGAAAAATACTCCTATTTAGATAACATGCAGAGCACAAAATTTTTGTTTATAACCACTTAGTAACTTGGAATATTTGAAATCCTTTCCACAGAAAAGGCAAAACCAACAACAAAAAAACCCCAAAACACTGATATTCTATTTCTGATACTCCCAAATAATGTAAATATGTGTTTTACTTCCCTGTGTGCACTATTCCAGCTATTCTGCAAAGTGCTAGGATTACTGCATTTATAGGATAAATTTAAAAAGCAACTGTATCGCCAACACTAACTTGTGCCACATATTTTTAGCAGTTACATGGCTAAATACCAAGATTTCTGTTCATTCAATACAAGGCTAAGAGAACAGGTAGAATGGAGCAGACCCAGGCCTCATCCTTCGCACTGCTTGCCTTCTCCCATCCACATCTTGGCATCTCTAAGTGATGGCAAAAATATATCCCATTTTGAGTAATAAATAAGAAGTAGTAGATGCTTATAAGAATATATTATAAAATACGAGTATTATAAGAATATATTTATATATAAAAGTATAAACTCATTATAAAATAAGGAGTATACACTCTGCAGTGCATGGAATAATGTTAAGAGCACATTTTTTAAAAATGTTATAGGTTTTTGGGGAACAGGTGGTATTTGGTTTCCACGAGTAAATTCTTCAGTGGTGATTTGTGAAATTACGGTGCACCCATCACCCAAGCAGAGTATACTCTGAACCCAATTTGTATCCTTTTATCCTTCAACCCCTTCCCACCCTCTCCCCTTGAGTCCCCAAAGTCCACTGTATCATTCTTATGCCTTTTCATCCTCATAGCTTAGCTCCCACTTATAAGTGAGAACATACGATGTTTGGTTTTCCATTCCTGAGTTAATTTACTTAGAATAAGTCTCCAGTCCCATCCAGGTTGCTGCAAGTGCCATTGATTCATTCCTTTTTATGGCTAAGTAGTATTCCATCGTGTACGTATATACCACAGTTTCTTTATCCACCCATTGATTGACAGGCATTTGGGCTGGTTCCATATTTTTGCAATTGCGAATTGAAAAAAACATTTTACATCTCTTATCTTATTTAAAGTCTGTATCCTGCGCCAAGTTCTCAATGGTCCTGTAATGGGTAGATAAGGAAAGGCTGTGGCCACACTGACAACGACCACCTCTCCTTCCTGGAGGAACCTCTGCAGGTGATGGGCTAAAGAAAGCCACCTGTCCTCACTCTCCCTGCATAAGCCAGTGAGGGGCGTGGGGGCAGGATCGCCCATTTGATTCGGCTCCAGGCCAGGCATTTACTAGCTGTAGTGGTGCAATGAAGATGATTGAGAGATGGTCTCTGCTCTCCATGCATTTGCAGTGGGTGGCTGACAAAGACATACTTACAAGCACCTTTAAAACAAAGCAGTCTGGAATAGAGGCTGATGCAAAAAGCTGGGAGCAAAGGGCTGAGAGATGTATTGCCGCTGGGGCCTGGGACAGCCTGGGGAGGGTACAGGGGAGGGGTGGGACCTCGGCAGATTTAAATGAGGAAACGAAAGGGCTTCACAAGCATAGGGGATGGCCCAGAAGTCCTTATTCATCTTTATTTGTAAAATGATATAATAATAACCTACCTGGTACCGAGTGGAAGGTTCTAATCATGAGTTGTCCTGGTTCTTGGTGCGTTGAACAAAGAATTGAACAGCACCCGCGAGCAAGCAATGAAAGCCTAGATTTACTGAAGCGGAAGGCAATAGGAGCGAAAGTACACTCCACAGAACGGGAGAAGCCCCAGCAAGTGGCTCAACAGTCCCGGTAGCAAAGCCTTCTGGGGTTTCAGTACTCTCTAGAGGTCTCTCATTGGTTACACCATACGTAAATGAAGGGCTAGCTCACCGCCAATTAGAGGCCAAAGTGAAATGGGCTGCAGCCAATCCACGAATGCTATGATTGGCACCCTATGCAAATGAAAGTCCTAGAATGGACCACTCATAGGCCAGAGTGCAGGTTTGGCCCGTAGCCAATCAGATGCTGGCATGGACTGGTGCCTTATGCAAATAAAGGTCCTAGAATGGACCAACAGTAGGTCAGAGTGCAGGTTCTTCCTTTTAATTTAGTTCCAGGAAATTTGCGTGAATTGGCCTTATGTTCCCTGCCTTCAGACCCTATTCTCCCTCCTCAATAGTGTTGTTTTAGGATTAAATATATGTAAAGCACCTGGCACTATTCAGGAGTATAAAATATTTTAGCTATTGTCATGCGTAGAAAGCAAAGTAAGAAGTCAGGCCAGAAGTGCGCACTGGAGGGTAAAAATAACTGTGTGCTCTTGGTGCTTCTATAACTGATTGTTTCAAGCCCCTAGGGAAGACAAATATCTAAAGTAAAGAGAAAATAAGAATATTAGTACTTTTCTTTCACCAGAATGTGACTTTTTGGGACAGAGGTGCACGTGATCTTGCACCTCTGGCAATTAATCTGAAGTATGGGAATTATGAGGGCAAGTTCTTGGTCTTAACTAGAAATGAAAAAAAAAAACACAGGACACGGTATCAGGACAAGGTTTCCTGGGGGCACCTCCAGTGAAGCAATGGGCCTCCCCACACAACCTAGGGGTTAGGCCACTGGAACAGCAGTGGTTGCTGCTACACATTCTTAGATAAAGCAATTCATCTCTTTTGACTTAAATGTCTTCATCTGTAAACTGTGGATGGTGATACCTATCACTGGGAGTCCTTTTGAGGATTAAATGATATCAGACATGTATCACACTTAGCCAGTGCCTTGGCACACTGTTGGTGTTTGATAAATATTAACTCTTTTTATAGCTAGGACAGTGGAGACTAGCTTGCCTGGGACGGGCTGTTTGGCTTCTAACTTAGTAAAGAAGAAACTTCTTAGAGGAGGCACTGGGGAAAGGAAGACAAGCAGAAAGAAGGAGAAGGAGCCCCATCAAGGATTTAAATGTGGTTTTCCCTCCTGCTGAGAGGGCCCCTGGACTCAATAAACTGGAATGACCCTAGCTGAACTTCCAGGCTTGAAAGTATAGTTGTCTTTTAAAAGGAGTTCTTCTTTTCCAAGATCAATTGTTCAACAGAACTGAAAAGCTTGCCTTCAGAAGAGGCTGACTCCTAAAACCTGCAGGGTAAACCATTAAAAGAAAGAATGTGCCATTACTCAATAAGGAGCAGGGAGCACCATGCATACACTGTCTGAATGCTGCAACTCTGCTGCCTCTTCTATTCGAAATTAACCAGAAATCCGAGAACCTGAAAGCTGAGTCCTAGCTAACATTATTTAAATGAACTGGCTGTTACACGAACCTTAAACCACATGTCATTTGGTTGTGGGGCTGCCATGGGCCAAGAGACATTAATACTGATGGTTCCCAGCTCACAAATGAACTGTGTTCGTGTGTTTGGAAGGCTGTGGTTTGAAAGGCAGAATGCACTTTCCCATAGAAGCAATTTTATAAATGGCAATTAGGGCTACAAGCCAGCTCACAAAAAGCCATGTAACCATAATATAGCTAAACACCATACATTTTAGCCCAACAGAGTGGAAATCAATAGTGTTACAATACTAATAATTAAAGGATGAGATAAAAAAGTACTAGTGCTTAGGCAAAAACAGATTTAATTAAAGGAAGATGAAAATGTCTATCCAGTTAGGCAGAGGGACCAAGGAAAACTGGGACTGTTAAGTCAGGAACCCCGACAGTTGGGAATCAGACCAACTTGCAGGATTTCTGTCAATTCTAAGGAACTAGTGTCTGCATGTGAAGACCAACCTAGCACCCAGAAAGGAGTTTGGGGAGGGGGTGGAATGGAGGGTTAGGACGACTGAAAAGAAGTTAGCCTAGTCATTCCTATGCAGCTATTTCATCAGCCAAGATGGGACCTGGCTTCAGCGTTCCTCCCCTCTTGGGTGATTATTCCTATTTATAACAAAGCCAACCCTGGCCCCAAGAACCACTGGAGTCCAGAAAGTTTGGTGTCTTTTTCATACTGATTTCTGAGATCAGACAAGCTCTTGGATATTCACACAGCCTGGATGGATTTTTACCTCCCTGCCCTGCCCTCATGTAGATGAACCTGCTCTTGCTATCCCCTTCACAGAGGAGAAGTTCTGCCAGTTGCATGGAGTCTCCCTCTGCCATCCTATTCCACATGTGACCAGCACTGCACCTGGCTGGAGACATTCTGAATCATTTATTCTAGCTTAATGCTAGGGATCAAATACACATTTTATCTGGGAATATGAAAAAGACATGAGATATCTGTATATGGTATATGAAATATGAAAAGATGAGAAATGAGGAAAGGAGTAAATTGAAAATGGAAGTTACTTGAAAAAGATCATTTGTAAAGCAATACAATGGCATTCTGCAAGATCTAACCATTAGGTGGCACCACTGGCCCAAGGAAGTTTGGTGGCCCCAAGAAAGTGGAGGAGAAATGGGGAAAATTGCTGAGTGGTCTAGGGTAGGAAGGCTGGAGGGAGCCACTGCGGAACAAGTAACTGAACATATACAAGCATTCCTGTGAAGTGTGTACTCTGAATTAATCCACATATTAATAAATTCAATCATTAATTCCCTTAAAATTATTTTTAAAGTCTCATAATTTTATTTATACAAATTGATTTATATCCCTTGCCCATTTCTATTGATCTACGCTTTTTAAAAATTAATCTCTAGCAGTTCTACTTATTCTGAGTACTAGTCCTTTGTCAATGAGTTATATACAAATATATTCTGGTTCATGGCTTGCCTCTTTTTTAACCGCAAGTTTCTGTTGTACAGAAATTTTTCATTTTAATACAGGCAAACTTTTTTCTTTGCCATTTGTTCTTTGTGAGTCTTGTTTAATATATCTTTTCTTATCTTGAGACCATAAAAACATTCTTTTAGATAAACTATTGCTTTCTAACCACCAGTTTTGTGCTGGTATGGTATAATTTTTTTTTCTTATGGATAAACCAGTTACTAAATAATCTATTTTTTTCTGCTGATTTGCTACTCCTCTCATGAAACTAGTTTTCCATAAATGTATGTGCCCATTCTGTTCCTTGAGTCTGTTGATTCCTGCACCAAATATGACAATCAACTGACTAGTGATTCTTGACCCCACCTTGTTTCTCAAACACATTTACCACATTAGCTAATTTCTTCCATTACATCATTACAACCACCTCAGGACTCTACATTGCGGGACATGAAGAAGGATGCACAGACTACAGATAAAATGCTGAAGAGATTAGTGTTAAGCAGCAGAATACAGTTCATCTATTCCAGGACAGAAGACAGAGTCAGCCGCCAACCATTTGATTTGGAAAACAAAATTTCAAATTAATTAACCTTGTTTCAGTGAACTACTCCAGAGAGCATTGCCTAACTGACTGGGAAATTAAATATTCATTCTGAATATCTGCAATTTGATCATAGAAGAAACCAGGTATAAGAGGAGGATAGATTAGAGCAAAGCCATCGTTACTGATGGGGAAGAAATGCACTTTTTGAGTTTTATTCTGATATGATTGCTGAGCTGAAGCCAGAAGGAAGATGATACCTTTGTGCATACATGGGTCTCCAGTGAAGTATGTGGGTCTTTTTGGTGCCAATCAATCAGGAGAGAGAGTTTCAAATCTGGGACCTGAGACTTATATAACAATAACAGGTCAGAATTTTATAGAAAGGGAACATCTATCTCCATATGGACTATTTTCATTTTATTATTTTGCTGCCTTGGGAGAATCTAGATGAATGTGAGGATATCCTGGGCTGGAGAGAAAAAATGGCTCTTGCCACATGAAGGCAGGCCACAAGATAGGTAGAGAAGTAACATGTCCAAATGAACCCACTATTTTTGTGTCCCCAAATCTGCTGCTCTTTCAATGTTCCCATTCTCAGCAATGGCAGCACTGTCTGCCCAAATGCTAGACTGCCCAAGCCACATGCCTGGGCACCATCCTTGGAGATGAGTCAAGTACAGTAGATTCTATTACCTAGATCTCCCATCCCCAAACACATCTCTCCATCTCCCCTCCACTCTGTCCCCGCACACACTCTCACCACCAAGGCCACTGTCATCCTTAGAGCTGAAACTACAGCAATAGCTTTCTGGCTGGTCTCTCTGTCTTGAGTCATAGTCATAGCCCTCTTCCCCACTCTTGAAGCCAAAAGGCAAGTCTGGTAATGTCATTTTCTTGCTTAAAACTCGGTAATGGCTTCTCATTCTCCTGAGGCTACAGTCCAAACTGTTTAATATGATTTATGTGGATCTGGCCCTTGCTGACCTTCGCAGCTACTTCCTTGAGAGATTAAGAACCCAGACCATGAAGTCAGTTTTGTCTGGGTTCAAATTCCCACTGCCCCACCTATTAGCTTCAAAACTTGAACAAACTTCTGGACCTCTCTGTGCTTCAGTGTTCTCCCGTGTAAAACACGGACGGTCACAATGCCCACCTCACAGGATTGTCAGGAAGACTGAATGAGCTAACACAGGTAGAGTGCTCAGGACGGCACCTGGCACACGGTAAGCATTCTATCAATGTTAACCATGATTTTTATTTCTCCAATTCATTATGCCTTCTCCAGCATTCCGGCCCTTGCATCCACTGTTCTCTCCATCTCAGACACTCTTTCCAACACACTCTGATCATGCTACAAGGTAGTCTTCAGATGTAGGTAACAGCCCCAGCGGCACCTGAAAACTTGTTCAAAAGACAAATGCTCAGGCTCCACCCTAGACCTACTATATTAAAAACTCTAGGGCTCAACTCCAGCAATCTGAAGATTTTTGTTTTGTTTTTTGATAGAGTCTCGCTCTGTTGTCCAGGCAGAAGTGCAGTGGTTCCATCACGGCTTACTGCAGCCTGAACCTCCCGGGCTCCGGCGATCCTCCAGCCTCAACCTCCTGAGTAGCTGGGGCTACAGGTGTACCACGCCCAGCTCACTTTTGTATATTTTATAGAGATGGGGCTTCACCATGTTGCCTAGGCTGGTCTCAAACTCCTAGGTTCAAGCAATCCGCCCGCCCTGTCCTCCCAAAGTGCTGGGATTAAAGGCATCAGCCACTGTGCTTGGCCAGCACTCTGAGTTTTAACAAACTCAGCATTCCTCCATAGGATTCTGATGCCCAGTTAAGGCTGGAAAACCAAGGCACCATCCGTGATAAATTGTACTTAGATGCTTATTTTTCTCTATCCCCTGTTAGGCTCTACGTTCCACAATGGCAGAGAAATGTCCATCTTGGTCTGTTCACCTCCTTTGTAGGTGTTGACAAATACGAGCCATCACAAACTGGAAAGGGGTAAGCTGTATTTCGTAGGACACATCATCTAATTCTGTGCTCCTCTTTTCTGTTTCCCCAAATCAACACCCAGGTATTTCTAAAGGCTTGCCTAAACGTTCCAGCTTGTTCTCAACCTTGAAGCCAGGCTTAGGCCTAAGTTGTAAAGGCGGGAGGGGAGACCCTGGAGGTAGAGGGGCAAAGGCAAGATGCTTGCGTCGCAGGGGCCCTGCATGGCCTGGAGCAGCATAGGGGCCAAGATGGTCTGCGCTCTCCCTAGATTGGAGTTTCTCTCCTTCATCATCTTTGGAGGAAGCACAGATAACTGAGGAAAGTCTGTATCTGCACAGCCACCCGAACTCCTGCCTCCTAATAAACACCTCTGAGGGAGAGGAAACTCTCTCTCTCTCTTCTCTTCCTCCCCAGCACCCCTCGCCCCCCCACCGCCATTTCTCACTCCTCTACTCCCCTCTCTCTCCCTACCCACCTCTGACCCCTCCTCCAGTCCTGCCGCCCGGTAACAAAACCGGGGTTCCCGCCACACGCACCCGGTAGGGCTCAAGACGCTTTATCGGCGACAATGGCTGGCTGAATGGGAGGCCTGAGGTTCTGAAGGAACCGGGGTGCTGGCGACCGGGACCTCGAGGCCGCTGCTGGGGAGGACGCTGGCCAGCGTGCAGGGGGCGGAGGCGGGGCGTGCCGGGAGGCTCCCATCTCCCGCCCCGCACAACCCGGGCAGGGCCGCCGCTCCGCCGCCGCCGCAGATCCGGCTCTCACCCTCGGCTCCCGAGGCCCCGCGGCGCCTCCTTCTGCGGACTCTGCGGGACCCTCCCCGGCAGGCGCTGTGCCCTGGAGAAGGCACAGTGGCTCAGGCATGGCCGCGGGGACGGCGGCGCGGAAGGCAGCGCCGGTGCTGGAGGCCCCCCCGCAGCAGGAGCAGGTACTGGCGCGGGGGCGCGGGCGTGGGGGACGCCAGGCCGGGGTCCCGGGGCTCACGCTGGTGCCGGGCAGGCTGCACAGACTGGTCTCCAAGACCCCGGGCCCCACCGGGGAGAACCGGCCCTGGAAAGACGTGGGGACGGACGCATGACCTTCTGGAAGATGCCACCGTGCGGGGTGCCAGTCCCTCCTCCACTCCCTCCCTCCCCACTTCTGTGCCCTCCCCGCTACCTTCCTTTCCTCCTTCTGATCCTCTTCCTTCGCTCCATCCCTCTTCTCGCATCCTCGCACTTTCTCTTCCAGGCTCACCCCTTCCACTCCCGCCCTCCTTTGTGACCGCCTGTGCCCTCCTCCCTCCTCGGCGGAAGCCCCCAGAGCCCAGGGTCAAGGTCGTAAGCTGCGAGAGAGGGGAAGGGGTGTACTGCAGGCTTTTGGCTAGACCGCCCTGGTTCTCAAACTCGAGTGTCATCAGAATCACTCGGAGGGCCTGTTACCACGCAGACTGCTGGTCTGTGCCCAGGGTTTCTGATTCAAGATGTGTACCCTGATCGTCAGCTTGTCTTGCCTGGTGCTCAACCTAGCCCATTTCTGCTTCTGCTGGCGTCAATTGCAAACCCAATCTTAATTTATTCTTCGTTCATAGGACAATTCTTCTTAGGCTACATCCAGGTACCAGGAGGATTTGGGGGTGGAGGAGGGTAGGTCTTACCTGGAGGAACCCAAATCCCATCCGTAAAACGAGGACAAAAATAACTCTTAAGGGCAAAGATAACTCTTAAACAACAACAAAAATCACTCACAGAGCGGGTAGGAAGAGATTAATGTCCCAAAATAGGTTCAGGCAAAGAACTGTAGGATTTCTGAGAAGGGCTTGCTCCTGACTAACCCCCTTCTCCTCCAACCCGTGAGGGCGTGGCATTCGAGCTGGGTGTTGGGGAATGGACAGGATCTGACCTCATGGGCCAGAGAATTCTAGATGGAGGGAACAACAGTACCAAATGGCTTGGAGATTTTTTTTTTTTTAATATTGGGATGGATGGCCATGGGACAAGGCAGAGAGAGGGGACTGTCCACTCTGACTGCCAGAAACCTAGGGGTCAGGAATGCTTATAGCAAAAAATAAGGGTGGGCTAGGCTGTGGAGGGGCTTGTGTACCACAAAATGGGGAAACTTAAAATGAAACTCCATGACTTTCTTGCTGGTTTCAAACCCAGATTATCGAAAGGGAGGTTCTGAATTGATGAATGCATGCCAGGAGTGTCAGAGGATCTAGTACTGGTGGATTTGCTGCTGATCTTTGCTCTTCCTTAAGGCTGGCATCACTGCCTAGTCTGCTGCCCTCAGGAGGTATGGCCTCTCTGTTGAGGCTGCCCTAGGAGGGACTCACAGCTTTTCCCTTAATCCCATATGGCAAGACAGTGTGGTCCAGGAACCAGCAGCCAAGGCATTACCTGGGAGCCTGTTAAAAATGCAGTCTCAGTTCCCACGCCAGACCCACTGAATTGAAATCCGCATTTTAACCAGATCCCAGGGTGATTCATTTGCACATCAAAGTTCAAGAAGTGCTGGTTTCTTGACTTTACTAGAGCTAGGGATAAGAAAGTGAAAACAGAGATAGTTACTGACCAGCCTATTATCTGATAGCTTCCCTTTGGTTTGAACCTCACCCTATTTTATTTTCCTTCATCACCCTTATCACTACCTGAAGTATGTCTATGTGTGTATTTGATTGTCTAAGAACCTCCTTCAGCATGAAAGCTCCAGCAGAAAAGCCATGTGGTCTGCCTTGCTCGCTCCTGTATTTCCAGGACCTAGAACAGTCTCAGCAAACGGCAGGGCCTCAATAAATATTTATTGAATGAATAAATGAACAGTAACGTACAATCTTATGATGTAAGACCCTAACTCCAGCATACCTTACTGGACAAACACCATCTCCCTATTCCCCATCCTCCACCTCCCCAGCTACAACCCCTGGGGTCTTTTGAGCCTGCAACTGGTTAGGTATGTTTGAAACTCCTAAAATTTGGAGTGTGAGAGCAGAGACCATGGGTTTAGGAGTTCCCTCTTCTGCTTGTCTAAGGCTTGCTTTCCAGGCTCGGATTTCTCCTGAGAGCTGAGAGGACCCACCACTTCCCCAAAACTGCTCTCTGCCTGGGGGCAGGCCATACACAGCCCCTCCTCTCCACCCACAGGCATGCAGCCTTGCCTTGTGACATGAATTCCTTACCAATGAATACAGCCCTCTAAACCTAACATTCCTACCTGGCACTCACATGTGGTCCAGGGTCATCACTAGTTTCTGAGTTCATTGTTCTGGCTTTGCTACTTGGTTTAGAAAGATTTTTCTAACAGGTGGGTTTTGTGAGGGAAGAGTTGAAAGTGACAAAATCAGTTTGGAGGCAGCAGTTCAGGTGAGAGATAATGAAAGCCAATCGGGGTGGCAGTCTCCAAACACATTGAGTGTGCCATGCACCAGACATGAGGATTCAGTGGGGGGATGAGGCCAGCGCTGGCCACCTACAGATTCAGGTAAGTAAATAAGTCATCAACAATGCAGTCTGGTAACAATGTTCAAGGTCAGTATATATCCTGGTAGGGGCCTCACCGAAAGGGTGTCCTGGAGTAAGTGGGATCCAAGGGTGAGCAGAAATGAGGCAACCCAGCATGGAGGCTGGGAGTGGAGGGAGAGCATTCAGGGACAGGAAAGCTCTGCTTGGCTGGAGCAGAGGGTGTGCAGGGGCAGTGGAGAGAGGGGAGGCTGAAATGGGATACAAGGCCTTGTGAGCCATGTTGGATTTCAGGCAGGAAGACAATAGGATCAGTCTACCTTTAATGGGAACACTCTTACTGTTTGAAGAGGGAAGAGAGCGAAGGCAAGGGCCTCAGAGGAGGGGGACACCCTGCATGCTGGCCTCCATCTCATCTTCCCCTAGCCACCCTATCTAAAGAGTGACAGCCCTTGCCCTCTGCTGGTAATTCTTTATCACACATTTTATTTTCTTCATATAATTTACTTCATTAGGCAGTTGTTTTGTTTGCTTGTTTATTGTGCATCATTTCCTCTAGAACACAAGGTCCTATTCATGAGAACAGACACCTTGTTTGTCTTTCTAACCCTTGAATGCCAGCTCTTAACCCAGTGGCTGGCACATGGGAGGCACCACTCCATATTTGCTGAATGAATGACAAAATGAATGGCATAGAAGCCATAGGGGTGGAGAGAAGGGGGCATGTTTGTGAGGCATTTATAGGTAGGGTCAACAGGAGAGTAGTGGGTTGGAGGTACAGGGTTGGTTAGGGGCAAGGATGATGCCCCAGGCTTTTCTGCTTTGAGCAATTGGATAGATAGGACAGGATGCTATTAACTGAGATGGGGGATGGAGGACACTGAAGTGGGAGCAGCTTGGGGGGAAACAAGTATGTTCACTTTAGGGCAGGTTAATTCACATATCTGAGAGAGAGAGTCCCAAGTGGGGCTATGTAGGAGGCATTCAGAAGCATCTGGAGCTCACACAAATTTAGCTAGCCAAAAGAAAGATATAAGAGATTGATAGAAATGTGGTGCTGGAACAGGGATAAAAAGGACATGGCTACTGATCAGACAAGGAAAGGGATAAAAAAGAGGACAGAGGCAAGCTTACTTTTGTATTGTTCTTTTCAGTGACATATGTTCATGTAGAATACACTTAATGTAAAGAAGTATAAAAAAGAAAGTAAATGCCCAGGATGTATCACCACCCATGGAGCATTCCTGTTAATGTCTTGGGAGCCACTCTTCTGGGCTTTTTTATTACAGATGTCTCTTTATGTAACTATACATTTACATAAATAGGCTCAGATTATACACAACTGCTTTGAAGCATGCTTTTTCTGTTCAGAATATGTCATGAAAATATTTCTATGTCAGTAAATATGAATCTGTGTTATCATTTTGTAGATCTTACAGATTCTTTTATGTAGATATATAAAAATATGGGTCTTTTTCATCCATCGGGCTGGGTACTTGGTGAGCATTTCATTTTTAAAACAGGTATCTTTCAGTCCTTGGAAATTTTCTTGTGTAATTTCTTTTAAACTTCCTGCCATCTGTTATCTTCTTCTCTGGTTCTAGAACTCATTTTTTTTGCGGGGGTGGGGGATGTGAGGAGATTTCCTAGCCCAATTCACTAATATTCTTATATTTTCTCTTCTGTTTTCCATGTCTTTGAGGTTTTTTTTTTAAATTCTTTCTGAGTTCTTCAATTTATCTTCGATTCTTCATTTGAGTTTTTATTTCTGTCTTCCTGTTTTTAATTTCTAAGAGCTTTTGGTTGTTTTTCTATATTCTTTAAAGCAGTGTTCTTGTCATTATGGGTGCAGAACTCTTTCCTGTCTCAAACGTCTTGTGATCTTTGACTGTTCACTTGTGTCTGAGGTGAGACAGTACAGCACTGTTAAGCTCTTGCTAGCAGGGAAAGCCTGTTGACAGGCAGGCTTCAGTGGAGGGTGACCTGGCTGGGCCTTTTTGTAGGGAGAACAAGGACTGTCCATCTATAGGTCTTTTCTCTTGGCTTAAATTGATTCATTCCCTGTGTAAGGGGCATGTCTGGCTGCCAGCCAAGTGGGCAAGCCCATGTCTAACATGCCTAGGCCAAGAGCACAAATGGAGGCCCTCGTGCCACGTGTCTAAGTATCATCAACTGATCTGCTCTTACAGCCCTGCCTGCAGGTCCACTTGTGGCCCGTGTAGCCACATTCTCCCTACCTGCAGTGCTGGCTGCAGGCTTGAGTGGTAGCAAGGATCTGCTGGGACAGGGAAGATGGAAGTTTCAATGTACCTGTACTAGTTTCCTAGGTCCTCCATAACAACAAAAAAATGTATTATCTCACAGTTCTGGAGGCCAGGAGTTCAAAATCTAGGTGTCAACAGGGTCATGCTCCCTCCAAAGACTCTAGGGGAGACTTCTTACTTGCCCCTTCCAGTCTCTGGTGACTCCAGGTGTTCCTGGCTTGTGGCTGCATCCCTCTGGTTCCTGCTTCTGTCTTCACACGGCCATCTACTCTGCCTTGCTATTCTGTGTCTGTGTCTCTGGATGTCAAATCTTCCGCTCCTTTCTCTTGCAAGGACACTAGGCATTGGATTTAGGACCTGCCCCAAATCCAGATGGTCTTATTCTGAGGTCCTCAATTACATCTGCAAATACCCTATTGCCAGATAAGATCACATTCACAGGTACTGGGGGTTAGGACTCAAACATATCTTTTGGGAGGACACAATTCAACTCACTACGGTGCCTAAACCAGGGATGTGGACTGACCCCACTGACTCCCAAGGAAGCTGTGGTAGATAGGATCTCCCACCACACATCTCACTTTTCAGACTCGGGATTTCCAAGCAGTTCCAAGCTGCTCCCAGACTACCTCACTGCAGTTAATTGAGGAGCCTGGTCAGCCAAGATCCCACTTAGATGGTTTGGGATGGCCAAATTTCAAAACTTTATCTCCAGTTTCCCAGAGCACAGGCTATTCTTTTTCTTCTCCCCAACCTGCCAGTCCCCTGGGGTGTCAGCCCTACATCATCTCTCTCCAATCAAGGTCTACTCACTCAATCAGTTACCAGACTTTCATAATTTTTTTTTTTTTTTTGAGACGGAGTCTTGCTCTGTCACCCAGGCTGGAGTGCAGTGGCGCGATCTCAGCTCACTGCAAGTTCCACCTCCCGGGTTCACACCATTCTCCTACCGCATCCTCCTGAGTAGCTGGGACTACAGGCGCCTACAACCACGCCAGGCTAATTTTTTGTATTTTTAGTAGAGACGGGATTTCACCATGTTAGCCAGGATGGTCTCTATCTCCTGACCTCGTGATACGCCCGCCTCGGCCTCCCAAAGTGCTGGGATTACAGGTGTGAGCCACCACGCCCAGCCTCAAAATATTTTCTTAAGAGACAGAAAAGACACCAGGCACAGTGGCTCACGCCTGTAATCCCAGCACTTTGAGAGGTCGAGGTGGGCGGATCACCTGAGGTCAGGAGTTGGAGACCAGCCTGGCCAACATGGCGAAACCCCGTCTCTACTAAAAATAGAAAAATTTAGCTGGGCATGGTGGCGAGTGCCTGTAGTCCCAGCTACTCAAGAGGCTAAGGCAGGAGAATCGCTTGAACCCGGGAGGCAGAGGTTGCAGTGAGCTGAGATCGCACCATTGCACTCTAGCCTGGGCGACAAAAGCAAGACTCCACCTCGGGAAAAAAAAAAAGAGAGAGAGAGAGAGAGAAAAGATAAAAACACAGTTATTTTGTGTTTCAGGGTTTGAGATGTCCAGGGTCCTCTAAAGCAAGGCAGGGCCCCTGCAGCCGGATCTAGAGGTGATGCTGCCAGGGAGGATGGTGCTAGGGCTCTCTAGACTCAGATGAGGGCTGCCAGTGTCCTCTACTCTCCCTCCACATGCCTGGTGCCTCTTGGCCTGTGCCTCCGGTTTAGCCACTAGTATTCTGCTAGTGTGGGGGCCACCAAACCTTAAACTGACTTTCAGTGAACCTTCTGTTACTAACCCCGGTTGCATCCCCCACTTCTAGACGCCCTAGGAGCCCGCAATCCACAGCCCTCCTGAGGGTCTTAGCACACACATTCTGCTCTGCACTGCCCGCATGCTGGTGGGCTTCGGTGTCTTTTGCCCTGTGGTGTCCCAGTGTCCCTTTCCGCTGGCCCATCTGCTGGTCAGTTTCAGAATTGGCTGCTCTGGACTCCTCTCTCATTCTCCTTGGACTTGGAGGTTTATGTCCTTTTGCTATTGTTCTAGTGGTGTTTGGGGAGGGAGAGGAGGTAAGTGCACTTTTTTTATTTACCGTGTTTCAATAGAAGTCCTCATTTTTACTTTTTTTTTAAACACAGTTATTACTAGTGAGTTTGAACACCTTTCCATAAATTTATTTGTCATTTGTATATCTCAATTCGTGAATTTCTCATTCATGTACTTTGCCCTTTTGGACTGTCTCTTTTTGATTAAATTATAAAAACCCTTTTTACATATGCTTATTAGTTTTTTGCCCCTCACATATGTTATGCTTTCCCCAGTTCAATTTGTCTTTCAAATATTGAGGACTATAATGTATTTTATTTTAAATGTCCTCAAAATCTGTCATTTTTTAACTTTATAATTTCTGGGCTCTACATTATACTTAAAAATGCCTTTTCCACTGCAGAATTATAAACATGTTTACCCATGTTTTCTTCTAGTACTTTTAAGGTTTTCTTTCTCACATTTAAGAGAGAACAAGGCTTTGGATGAAATAGAAAAGTATAAGTTTAGGCAATATTTGCACAATGCCAGGACCTTTCTGGGTGATGCCAGGAAAGAAGTGGGTGGCACAGGGGGTAATACTGGCAACTTCTCCATGGCTCCCTGCCCCCAGGTGATCCCACCAGGTGGGTCCCTAATATTCAAATGGAGGTCACAACATCTGGGCTCAAGTGTTGAGTTCCAGGAGTGAAGCAAGCCTCAGGTAGTCAAGGTGCATGAGTCTCCTCCTTTGTTCCACAGGTCCCTTTCTGCTAACTTCTGCTTTGGGGGCAAAAACATTGGTTGTCTATGCTCTTCTGTGCTCTCCACCAAAGTTACACGATTACGTCTTTCCAATGATTGGCCTTAAAGGTTTCAAATGACCAAATGTAGTGGGTTAGCAATAATCTAGAAAAGGTAGTCCATGGGTGGACTCTGCAGGTCATCCAAAAAGCATGGTTCTGGAGACGATGTCTGTGCTTTCCAGCTCAATTTGTAAGGGCACAAGCCCAGATTACTCCCTTCCCTGGGGTCAGTAATGATGCCTTCTTAACAAGAGAGTACAAGAATGCTCCAAATCAACGGAGCCTCTGCTCAGCTCTGTCTCTGAAACTTTGAACTTGGAAATGATATTTACTCACTGACATTGGAGATATTTACTCACTGCAATCATTTAAGATACCAGCAAAACAGATGGTTTTTAGGGATGCTCAGACTCACACTTCATATCCTAGAAGCCAGAGTAGCATGGCCTATTGGGAGACCACTCTCTGTAACTTTGACTGATTTGCCAAAACAAAACCACAGAAATGGAGCCTCATCTGATTCTCTGATCCAGGAACAGGATCAAATATTTATTAATAGTGACCTGATTACTCTTTTTTTGTTTGTGTTGTTTTAGTTCTGTAAGCAAATTATTTTACTAGGACTTTTATCCCAAATTATTCAAATACTATGTGACATTGTTATTTTTCATGGTCTGGGTTTCCCATATATTGCTTTCACAGAAAAACCAAGAAAATAAGGACATTTTTTGATAAGGGCCCTTTTTATGTTTTTCAGCTCTCTCATACAAAGCTTTCTGCAGAAGACACATGGAAGTAAGTAATTAGTATTTTTTAAGAGTTGTTTTGCTAAAAATTAGATTTTTATCTTAACAGTTGAGAAAATGAATGAAGTCATCATTTTATTTGTAAATTTTCCAGGATAGAGAAGATGGGGTAGGATACACAAATACTACAGACCAAAATGCATGGATTTCATCTGTTTTCTACAGCATGATCTGTAGAAAAAGATCATGCAGTCCCACAAAGGTGGATTAATATATCCTTCAAAATATGGCTGTGTCAAGTTACTATTTATTTTAGGCACAAGATACACTGGTTTTGTTCCTATACCATTGCCCCTGTGTTCTGGTGCATACTGTAGGGCCATTGGGCCCTGTGAGCACCACATGAAGTGAAATAAGAATGAAAAGCTCCTCCTTTTTTGTATTACAGGAGTCAATTTTGGATATATTCCTACTCAAAAAGGAAAATACTTACTACATTTGTACACCAATATATACTTTTCAAAGTACTTCAACATAGGCTAACCAATTTGAGATGCATTTTTATTATAGATTAATCTCATATAACAGATTAATAGATTAATCTCATAAAGCATATTTTATTTTATATCTATGCAAATCCTATTTTAGACTGATGATGAAGTCACTCTTTTATCTATATGCCGTAAGTTCAAAGTCTGTTAATTATATAGAATATTAAACAGCTATTTTAGATTTGGAGCTGTATAAACCACAACTAAGCACTTGTATTCTTTTCATTTTTCTTCCCATATCTTCAGGGGAACAAGTTTGTTTTTTTGCTTGTTTGTTTAAATGAGCTTCTAGAAATCATTCCTGTCTCCTGAGCTCAGCTTCCAATAGAGAGACTAAGAGCCACGTAATTTTATTCAAGTTGCTTACCTGATATGGATTTCATCTTCGTCATTTGATAAATGAGGGAGATTCATTCCATCTATGGTAACTTCCAGCACTGACATTCTGAGAATCCCTCTCAAAGAAACTGAACTTGAGCAGTATTTACTGGGCTCTGTGGGCTGATTTCTACACCTTTTCCAGCAGGGGGCACCCTTGGGATTTGGATGAGACCCTTTTCTGAGGCATTCACTGCTCTTTGGAGTAGCTGTAGAAATGCTGGCAGAGGGAGAGAACCCAACCCACATACCCATCAAGTGCCTTTAAAAGGTCACTATCTCACGGCACAGACTGTTACCCTGTGGTGTTTTCTGGGTGGTACATTAGCTAACTGCATATTGTAACTAGACGTAAGTGGAAACTTAAGAGATTTTGTGACTGATGGTGCCACACTAGGGATGAAAGATAATGATAACCAGTATTTAGAAAGTAACTGACAGCATTCATGATTTTTCCCCATGTTCACTCATCTTGACCCTGGGCCTCTTTCTCTTCTGCTAGGCTTGTGGTTCTCAATCTTGGCTGCCCCTTAAAATCACATGGGATGCCTGAAAAATTCCTGATGTCACATCCCATTCTGCAAATCTGTATTAATTTGCTAGGAATACCATAACAAAATACCACAGAATAGGTGGCTTAAAAATCAGAAATTTATTTTCTCACAGTTCTGGAGGCTGAAAGTCCAAGATTAAGGTGCTGGCAGGTTTTGGTTGGCATGTTGAAGTACAGGGGATTAGGACATCAGTGTATGAATTTTGAGAGGGTGAAATTCAGCCCCCAACACCCAGAAATGGTCATCTAATTGATCTGGATATGGGGGGTTAAGATTTTTTTAAAGCTTCCCAGTGTTTCCTAACTTACAGACAAGGTCAAGAACGACTGCTCTAGGTTTTCATCGAGGCTACCCCAGAACGTTAAAAGAGATGACAAACTATTTTGTTGATTTTCTCTACAATTGTGCAAAACTAAGCATCCAGCTAAAATGGGAACATTCAGCCATCATGGGAATGTCTGTGCATGTCTAAGATAATACTTAAGCCTATTCTTTCTCTCTATTATAGTCCTGTAACAATTTATACAACTCATTCAGAAGCTTTCCATTGCCCCCTGGATAATATTCTCTCCTCTGGCATAAGCACCATCTGCAGGGTTTCCTTTTACTTGAAATAGTAGCAAATGATTTAAAATTACCAACGTTTGACTGTTTTTGACTTTCAAAAATTGAAGTTTCATATGATGCAGCTCAATAATAATTATTCCTTATATAGACACAAATAAAATAACATGTGCTTTATAGTCTTACAACAACCTTGTCAGTTACAGAAGGATGGTTATTTGAAATTTGCAAATGAGGAAACTGAGGCTCAGAGAGGATAAATGACTTCCCCAAGGTTGTGAGGCAATGAAGTGGCAGATCAGGGACTGGACCCCAGGTCTTCCTGGGGCTCATTACTTTTTTTAGCCCCATCACTTAACTTAAAAGACAAGGCTGAGGCCAACCACATGGGAAAGCAAAGGAACTGGTTTTGCTAAGAAAGTCAGGCTCCTCCTCCCAGCTGCTCCTTCTCCAGATCTAGGGAAAGGGAAGAAACCAAGAAAAACTTAGAAAAACTTTACAATCAAAGCTTACCAACCCTTATATTTGAAATCCCCTGTTGCTTTTTGTAAGCCAAACCTGTTTTTTGTTTTTTTGTTTTTTGTTTTTTGTTTTTTTTGCTAAATGCGCAAGGTTGAGGGCTTTTTCAGATGACCTCATTTTGCTGGTTCCAGCCTGCAGCAGGAGAGGATGTACAAGATGCACCGGGGCCACGATTCCATGCACGTGGAAATGATCTTGATCTTCCTCTGCGTTCTGGTCATTGCCCAGATAGTGCTGGTTCAGTGGAGACAGAGGCATGGCCGATCCTACAATGTGAGTCATCCCCGTGGCTGCTGGGAGCCTGCTCCAGCTTGTATCAGCTTGACTGTTTTTTTCCAGGACATGTTCTCCCTTGGTTAGCACTTTGAAGGAACTGCCTTGGTTTAAGTCAGTGGTTCTCAACCAAGTGCAATTTCACTCCCAGGAGACATTTGGCAATGTCTGGAAACATTTTTGACTGTCAAGACTTGTGGGGGGTGAAAAGGGGGAGGGGAGTTGCAACTGGCACCTGGTGGATAGAGGCCAGGGATGCTGGTAAACATCCTCCAATGCAGAACAGCTCCCCACAACAAAAATTATCTGGCCTAAAATGTCAATGGTGCCAAGACTGAAAAACCCTGGTTTAAGTAAACCAGTTTTCCCTTCATGCATGAACAACTTCTGCCAACAGTCCAGGAAAAGGAGGATTAGAATAGCCAAAAGAAATGGTTTAGGGTGTCTGCTATGGTTTGAATGTATCCCCCAAAGTTCTTGTGTTGGAGATTTAATCCCCAATGCAACAGTGCTGGGAGGTGGGGCCTAATAAGAGGCGATTTGGCCATAAGGGCTCTGCCCTTGTGAATGGATTAATGCCATTAATTATTGTGGGAGTGGGTTTATTATAAAAACATGAATGTGGACCCATTTTCTCTCTCATTCTCTCTTGCCCTCTCACCTTCTGCCATGAGATGACACAGCAAGAAGGCCCTTGCAAGATGCAAATCCCTCTGTCTTGTACTTTCTAGCCTCCAGACCATGAGGCAATACATTGCTGTTTATTATTTATTACCCAGTCTGTGGTATTCTGTTATAACAGCAGAAAACAGACTAAGAAAGAAAATTGATACGAAGAAGTGGGTCTGTTACTATAACAAATGCCTGAAAATGGGGAAGCAGCTTTGGAACTGTGTAATTGGGCAGAGGCTGGAAGAGTTTGAAGGAACAGGCTAGAAATAGCTGGTCTTGCTGTAATGGAGTATTAAAGGCAAGTCTGGTGAGGGCTCAGAAGAAGAAAAGAACTATAGAGAAAGGCTGAAACTTTTTAGCGATCACTTAAGTGGTCATGGTCAGAATGTTGGTAGAAATATGAACAATAGAAGCCATTATCCTGAGGTCTTAGACAGAAAATGAGGAACAAGGTATCGGAAGCTGGAGTAACGGCCATCCTCATTATAAAGTCACAAAGAACTTGGCTTAACTGTGTCCATGCTGGAGGGCTTTATGGAAGGCAGAGTTAAGAGCAATGAACCAGGATATCTGGTGAAAGAAATTTCTAAGCAATATATTGAAGGACCTGCATGGCTTCTTTTAACTGCATATAGTAAAATGAAAGAAGAGATAAATGATTTAAAGATGGAATTTATAAGTAAAAGAGAAACAATATAAAATTTGGAAAACTCACAGCCTGGCTACGTAAAGAATAAAAAGACTTGCAGTACAGCCAAGTGACCCTTTGATAAAGGGGATTAACACAGCTAGAAGGAAGCCAGGTGCAAGTAATCAAGACAACAGGAAAATGACCCTGAAGGCATTGCAGTGACCTTCAAGGATGCCCCTCCCATCACAAGCCCAGAGCTCTAGGAGAGTAGAATGGTTTGGGGTGACTCCCCATTGTACCCTACACAGGACCAGTGAGCAGGGCCACCTCAGGACTCTGCTCCTTGAATTCCAGCATCGTTCTCCTTGGCTGCTTCAGCTGTGGCTCCAGGGAGCCCAGGTGCAGCTCAACCTGTGGCTCTGGAAGGTACAAGCTATAAACGTTGGTGGTGCTAATTCTGTAGGCACATGCTGTGAGGCCATGGCAGCCTCCACTTAGATTTCAAAGGATGTTGCAGACAACCAGAGGGCCTAAGCAAAAACTTGTCTTGGGGCAGAGCTGCCACAGAGAGTGCCTAGGAGGACAACGCCAAGCAGAAGTGTGGAGTCACAGCCATAGCAGAGAGTCCTCACTAGGCCTAGGGGAGCCCTTCGGGGTGGGGATGCCCCCAAGTCCCAGAACTACACAACTACCAGCATGCAACTCCAGCCTAGGAGAGCTATGGGCATGCAGCATGCAACTCCAGCCTCGGAGAGCTATGGGCATGCAGCATGCAACTCCAGCCTAGGAGAGCTATGGGCATGCAGCATGCAACTCCAGCCTAGGAGAGCTATGGGCATGCAGCATGCAACTCCAGCCTAGGAGAGCTATGGGCATGCAGCATGCAACTCCAGCCTAGGAGAGCTACGGACATGAGATTCTAACCTGTGAGAGTTGTGTGGGCTAAGCCTAGCAAAGCCATGGGGGGGCAAGGCTGTTCCTGAGGCCTCAAGGTTCCAAACCCTACCTCACTATGCCCAGAAAGTAGGACATGGAGTCAAAGAAGAGTATCCTCAAGTCTTAGGATTTAGTATTGTTTACCTTGTTAAGTTTTAGACTGGCTTGGGGCCTGCTACTCCTTTCTTCTTGCCTATTTCTCCCTTTTGGAATGGGAATATCTATCCTCTGCCTGACCTGTCATTGTATTTTGGAAGAAGAGAACTTGTTAATTTCACAGGCTCACAGCTAGAGGGAATTTGCCTCAGGATGAATTGTGCCTTGAGTCTCATCCATACCTGATTTAGATGAGACACTGGACTTTTACCAGAACAAGTTAAGACCTAGGGGCAATTGGGATGAAATGAATATATTTTATGTGTGAGAAAAACATGAATTTGGAGCCAGAGCAGAATGCTGTGGTTTGAGAGTGTTCCCCAAAGTTCATGTGTTGGAAACATAATACTCAATGCAACAGTGTTGGGAGGTGGGGCCTAATGAGAAGCAATTAGGTCATGAGGGCTCTGCCTTCATGAATGGACTAATGCCTTTATTGCAGGAGTAGGTTCCTTATAAAAGGATGAGTTTCTCTCTCTCATTTTCTCTGGCCCTCTTGTCTTATGCCATGAAATGATGCAGCAAGATGGCCCTCACCAGATGCCAGCCATTCAATCTTGGACTTCTGAGCCTCCAGAACTGTGAGAAATAAATTTCTTTTCATTGTAAATTACCCAAACTGTCATATTCTAGTATAGCAGCACAAAATGGACTAAGACACTGTCTAATGTTGTTTCATTAGTAGTAAACTATCTTGGCATTAATGGTTTGCATATCCATGGAAATGTGTTCATGCACACACTGCACTGACTTCAGCAACATGGAGCAAGATTTCGTTTTCACAGACCAATCTCATTCAAGCATGTTCACCACCAGAGCCAGAGAGTCATACTGTGGGCCTTGTTGGGCCTGAGACCTTGCCATCACAATGTTTAGAGTAGTATTTCTCAATGGTTAGAGCAGGGTGCATCAGAATCATCTAGAGAGCTTGTTAAATCAAGTTCCCGGGTCCTGTCCATAGAGTTTCCGATTCAATAGGGACCCAAGAATTTGCATGTCTAACAAGTTCCCTCATGGTGCTGGTAATGTTGAAGCTGCCGGTCCTGGAACCACACTTTAAAATCCTCTGGTTTAGATTCAAATATGGACTAAATGGAGAAGTGTTGCAAAGGGAAAAGGTCCTCAGTTAACACTACATGGTTCTGGGTCTTGGAATGGCCATTATAGAGCCTGAGGGACTCAACTTGCCTGCAACATATGAAGTGTTGACTTAGACCAATATATTATTTTACTATTACCTGTCATAGAATTTATTTCCTATATAGTACAGGGTCTAAAGGAATTCTTTTGAGTTCTGTATTATATTTAAGTTTAGGCAATTTTGAACATTTTCTTTAGAAAGGGGAATCTCATTTTATTGTTATAAAGCAAATGTATCCATTTTCTGCCATGTCACCGTTGTCTTATCAATTATAATAAACACTCTTTATATTGCACTTGGATAATGTCTTTAAGTGAATGAAACTAGAATCAAACCTCACTAGTTCTTCACTCATATCAAAGAAAAGTTCTTTAAACATATCTTAACTATGGTTTCCTTATCTGCAAAATGAAAGTATCTAAGATAAAATTTCTAGAGTCCTCATGTAGGAAGAAACCTGGATTCATAAGGAATCAGTTCATAGCCTTATGCATTCTTTCTTTAAAATTAATCATTATCTCTAAATTGATGTAGAAAAAAATGTTCTTTTTCCATAGTAATACAGGTGTGGATTTTGCATAGGAAGCCCCCGACCTTGAAAGGAAACAATGCTCCAGGAGCCCTTGACTCGCACTGTGTCGCACCACTCCTGCAACATTTTCATTTGATGATTTTTTTTTTTCTTTGAGATGGAGTTTTGCTCTTGTTGCCCAGGCTGAAGTGCAATGGCGCGATCTCGGCTCACTGCAACCTCCACCTCCCGGGTTCAAGTGATTCTCCAGCCTCAGCCTCCCGAGTAGCTGAGATTACAGGCGCCCACCACCACACCCGGCTAATTTTGTATTTTTTAGTAGAGATGGGGTTTCACCATGTTGGCCAGGCTGGTCTGAAACTCCTAACCTCAGGTGATCCACCCGCCTTGGCCTCCCAAAGTGCTGGGATTACAGGTATGAGCCACTGCGCCTGGCCAGATTTGATGATTTTTGAGGTGGCATATGCACAAAGACCATCCTTGTCCTATATTTGAAGCAGCTGCTCTTGTGTCAGGTCTTGGAGGGTGTGTGTCACTGCACCAGTAAGTGTAAGTGTGGCACTTACACACTGGCTCTACCTGGCCAAAGACAGACCTGCCTATGCCTCAGAATCCCCTTTAAGGACTTGTGGCCATTTGAAGGGTCTGACCTTAGATGACTCAGGCTACACTGGACTAGGTGGACACCCTGGACCCTGACCTCTGTTAGTTAGCTGGAGTCATCTGAGTTGTTTCCTGTTGCTAACTGCACAAGCTGTGCTACCTGCAGTGCCTCTCCAGGGACTTGCTTTTGACTGCCACCTCCCCCTGACTCCTTTAGTCACCCCACTTTTGCTCTCTAAGTTTGCTATGTCTATGTCCCTCTGTCACACAGCTCCTATGTTTTATGGCTACCCAGTGGGGCTCTGTAGTCCTAAGGATCACCTTGGAGGTGACCAGGCGCCTGTTATCCTGCCTCTCATGATGATAATGATCATGGTGATCCTGTCTAGCACTTTGACAAAGCCAGGAGCCTGCATAAAGTTGCCCCCACCATAGTCAAGGACAGATTCAGGTCTCATGGTGCCTTGAGACTCTGCTGGGTTAGCTCATAGACTTTGTTGGTCTCTGGAATATATTCTACTTCTTTGCACATCAATCCATCTAATTATTGGTATTGCCCCAAAGGAACAGGTTGAGTAGCCCCATCCCCCTGCATGTCTCTATTGAGGGGCTACTCAATCTGTGGCTCAAGATGAGAGGCCAGGCTTTCCCATGCTGCAGCCTTGACTTTGCCCCATGCTTTGCATTCCTTCTTGGGGATTCACCTCCAGAGTGGTCATCAGAGCACAGCCATTTCAGCCACTCTTGGTGATGTCTGCAACCATTTGAGCTTGAAATTGTTCCTAGAGTACCACTAGCTTATTCTAACACTGGTTTCCAGCTTTCTTATACTTGGGTGAACAATATCAAAAAAAACTACGGCCTGATACACTACTGAATTTAAAGTCTTTGGGATGGAATTTGACAGACATGTGTCCATAAATGCTGACCTAAATTGCCCTATCATCCAGAGAGAAGCTAGCTTTTAATTGTTGTTCTTGGCATGTATAAGACTAGCTATTGAGAGCTTTGAACATGTTTATAAGATTCACAACATTGCTGGCTCTTTTCTACAAGGGGCTACATAGTGAAATTTATCTCCATGACTTGATATTGTAACCTCTATCAATATTAGGAACATATTAATATATATTATAATTACTATAATACTCATAATAATTATACATAAAATTACTATATATAAATTACTATTATTATTACAGCTATGATAAGTGCTTTCTGTACATTACCTCAGGTACCTTGAGAGGTAATTATTTTTTATCCCCTTTGTGAAATATAGTTCAGAGAAATTAAAAACCTTGGCCAAGGGCATATAACTAATTAGTTGCAGAGAGGCTAGAATCCAACCTCACTAGTTATTTGCTCTCATATCAAGAACAAGCTCATTAAATATCTCTGAATTTCTAGTACAGTGGCTGATCCATAGTAAGTGTTCAGTACTATTAGTTGACTCCGAAAGCATCCAATAGATACTGTTTGTTTATAACGTTTGTGCAAACGTAATCATATGCTGTAAAAGCAGTTTGCTAATAAAAGAATCCTTTTCTGGACACTTTTGTAAAGCTAGAGAGAATGCTCAACCATTGATTTACATCCTCTATGAGGAGATAATGAATTGTTTTTTTTCAAAGCAGTACATCTGCTTATACTGCCTTGCCACCCCCTTCTATTCTGCCTGAATTTTTTTTTTTTTTTTTTTTTGGAACAGAAGCTCACTCTGTCACCCAGGTGGAGTGCAGTGGCATGATCTCGGCTCACTGCAACCTCTGCCTCCCAGGTTCAAGAGATTCTCCTGCCTCAGCCTCCTGAGTAGCTGGGATTACAGGTGCCTGACACTGCTCCTAGCTAATTTTTTTATTTTAGTAGAGACGGGGTTTCACTATGTTGGCCAGGCTGGTTTCAAACTCCTGACCTCAGGTGATCCGCCTGCCTCGGCTGGCCTCCCAAGGTGCTGGGATTACAGGCGTGAGCCACCATGCCCAGCTATTCAGTCTCATGCTTTTTCTGAGGACATTTTCCTGGGCTGATTTTGTGAGATATAGTAGGTTGGTGCAAAAGTGATTGTGGTTTTTCCCATTACTTTTAATAGCAAAAACAGCAATTACTTTTGCACCAACCGAATGTGGCAGGATGGTGAAAGGAAAGAGTACTGGCTTAGAAGTGGGAAGATTCTATCTACTCATTTAACCACAAGGAGCCTTTGTTTCCTAATATTTAAAATGATGAAATTTTAAAAAATAGGAAGGACTTCTGGTTTCAGCTCCAACATATAAAAAGCTTGGAAGTCAGCACTTTTATCTTACAACAAGAAAAAAACGGACCAAACTGATTATCAATGGCTTTTCTTGGACCTGTCAGAGAATTGAGGTCACAGGGAAAACCACCACCTCAAAATCTAGAGAGACAGATGAATGCAGGAAATCACAGCTGAGATCTCCTTCCTGAAAGCAGAAGCGACAATGCCATATCAAATGTAGTAACTCTGAAGGATTGCTGGAAGCAGTGCATAGAGTAGTGTGAGAGTGAGAAACTCCTGGGAGCCACAGTCAGGGACCCCACATTTTGTTTAGGTTTTACCTCCAGCTACCCCACCGGGGTCTGACAATGAAAACCCAAGAAGTGCTCTCATGCTTCCAGCAGGGGAGGGGAAAAGTGACCACTCTGAAGCAGATCCAGAATGTTCTCCATAATAAGACCTACCACAGCAAGGGAAAAGATTGATCAGAGCCTCATCCAATATGAGGGGAGAGAAATAACCCAACTCCAGCTCCCTCTAGCCTTCCTGTGTCACCTAAGGGGAAACAAAATAGTTGAGAAACACTTGTAAAGGCCACCCCAGGTACACAGGCCTAAAAGAGACTTAACCATATGATAACAGAATGCTCCCACTATCCTTACGCCCTGCCACCACATCAACAGGTGTCCAGCGTAATAGCCAAAAGTTAGAGCTGAAAGAGCTGCAAGGCTTAGACTCTATATAAGAAGGAATGTTTAGGGAAACCCAAAGACAACAGCAGAGACAGAAACAAGGACACTAGTGGAAATTGAAGGCTTTGACACCTACAACTACAGCAAACATTAAACACAGCCCAACTCCTAGCCAAATTAATACAAAACCTCACACTAAAGGCCTGTTTATCTCAGCTTCTATTACTCAATACATCATGTCTGCTTTTCAACCAAATATTACAAGTCATGCTAGAAGGAGGAAAAAAACACAGTCTGAAGAGACAAAGAACCAGACTCAGATATGGGAGAGATTTTGGAATTATCAGACCAGGAATTTAAAATAATTATGATTAAAAAGTCAAACTCACAGAAGTAGAGTAGAATGGTGGCTACCAGAGGCCATAGAGGGGTGGGTAGATGGGGAAAGAGGAGATATTGGTAAACAAGTACAAAGTTTCAGTTAGATATGAGGAATAAATTCTGGTATTCTATTGCACAGCATGGTGACTGTAGTTAACATAAACGTATTGAATGTCCCAAAATAGCTAAGAGAGGATTTTTAAATGTTCTCACTGCAAAAAAATGATAAATATTTGAGGTGATAGATATGCTAATTAGCCTGATTTGATCATTTCACAATGTATACATGTACAGAAACATCACATTGTACTTCATAAATATATACAATTATTATTTTTCAATTAAAAATAAAATAAAACTTAAAATAATTATGGCTAATATGCTTAGATCTCTAATGGAAAAAGTAGACAACATCCAAGTATAGATGGGTAATGTAATCAGAGAAGTGGAAACTTACAAAGAACCTTTTAAAATGCTAAAAATAAAACAAAAAAAAAATGGTACCAGAAAGGAAGAATGTCTTGAATGGCCTCATCAATAGATTGGACAAAGCTGAGGAAGGAATTAGTGAGCTTGAAGATAATGTCAGTAGAAACTTCCCAAAATGAGATGCAAAGAGAAAAAAAGAGTGAAAAGAAAATAGAACAGGATATCTAAACTATGGAACATTTTCAAAAAATATAACATACACATACTGGAATACCAAAAGGAGAAGAAAGAGATAATGGAACTGAAAAAATATTTGAAATAATAATGACCAATAATTTTTCAAGATTAAGGAGACACCAAACCACAAATCCAAGAAACTCAGAGAACACCAAGTAGGGTAAATACCAAGAAATCTATACCTGGGTATGTCAAATTCACACTACGGAAAGCCAAAGATGAAGGAAAACCTTAAAAGCAGCCAGAGAGGGGAAAAACAAACTATGCAAACAAGAAGAAAGTGAAGTAAAATATTTAAAGTATTGAAAGAAAAAATCCCAGCAGTCTAGGATTCTATATCCAGAGAAATTCACTTCAAAGTGAAAGAGAAATAAAGACTTTATCAGGCAAACAAAAAATGAGGAATTCATTACCAGTAGTTCTGACCTGTAAGAAGTGTTTTTTAAAAGTTCTTCAGAAAGAAGTAAAGTGATTTAGGCCAGAAACTCAGATAATCTACATAAAGAAAGAAAGAATGTCAGAGAAAGAATAAATAGAGATAAAATAAAACTTTTTCTTTCTTTCTTTCTTTTATTTTTTATTTTGAGACAGAGTCTCGCTCTGTCGCTGGAGTACAATGGTGTGATCTCGGCTCACTGTACCCGTCGCCTCCTGGGTTCAAGCAATTCTCCTGCCTCAGCCTCCCGAGTAGCTGGGATTACAGGTGCCTGCCCCAACACCCAGCTAATTTTTGTATTTTTAGTAGAGACGAGGTTTCACCATGTTGGTCAGGCTGGTCTCAAACTCCTGACCTCATGATCCGCCCACCTCAGTCTCCCAAAGTGCTGGGATTACTGGCATGAGCCACCTCACCCGGCCCTATTTCTTTTTCTTAATTCCTCTAATAGATTAATTGTTCAAAGTAAACATAGGAACAGTGTATTGGGTGATTATGTTATATGGATAACTGAAATGAATGATAGCAGTATTATAAGAAATGGGAGGGAGGAATTGGGATTTCTGTTATAAGGTACCTATAATACCAACAAAGCTGTAAGTGTTATTTGAGAACGGACTTGGATTAGTTATGGATGTATTTTGCAACTCTGGAGAAACCACTAGAAATAATTGTAAAGGAGTATAATTGATATACTAATAGAGGAGAGAAAATGGAATCTCATAAAATACCCAGTTAAAACCAGAGAAGGCAGAGAGAGAGGGAGAAAGATGCAAGGAACAAGTGCAACAAATAGAAAATAGTTACATACATGGTAGATATTAATCCAACTATATCAATAATCACTTCAAATGTGAATGGTCTAAATATAAAAATTAAAATACAAAGATTTTCAGAGTGGATTAATTTACAAAAACAAGATGCAATTATATGTTGTTACAGATATATCAACAGTAAAGATTTGGAAAAAGATATTCCATACTAACACTAATCAAAAGAAAGCTGGACCAGCTATATTAATTTCAGACAAAGTGGACTTCAGAACAAGGAAAATTATCAGGGATAAGAAAGGGCATTTGGCTTGGCACAGTGGCTCATGCCTGTAATTCCAGCACTTTGAGAGCCCAAGGTAGGAGGACTGCTTGAGCCAAGAGCTCGAGACCAGCTTGGGCAACAAAGTGACACCTTATCTCTACCAAAAAAAAAAAAAAATTAGCCAGATGTAGCGGCAGGCACCTGTAGTTCCAGCTACTTGGAGGCTGAGGAGGGAGGATCGCTTGAGCCTAGGAGTTCAAAACCAGCTTGGGTAACATGATGAAACCCCATCTCTATAAATAATTTAAAAATTAGCCAGGCATAGTGGCATGCTCCTGTAGTCCCAGCTACTCCAGAGGCTGAGATGGGAAAATGGCTTGAGCCCAGGAGGTCAATGCTGCAATGAGCCATGATCTCTCCACTGCACTCCAGCCTGGGCAGCGGAGTGAGACTCTGCCTCAAAAAAAGAAAGAAAGAAAGGGCATTACATAATGATAAAGGGGTCAGTTATTCAAGAAGAAATTCTTAATATGTATGCATCTAACAAAAGAGCATCAAAATATGTGAGACAAAAACTGATAGAACTGCAAAGAGAAATCAACAAATTGACCATTATAGTTAAAGATTTTAATACATCTTTTAGTAGTTGATGGATCAAGCAGGCATAAAATTAGTAAGGACATAATTGACTGAACAGTTCCATTCATCAGCTTGCTCTAAATGATATTTATAGAATACTTCATCCAACAACAACAGAGTATATATTCTTCTTGACATCACATGGAACATTCACCAAAATACACCACATTCTGAGCCATAAAACACTCCAAAATAAATTTAAAAGAATAGAAATTATACAATCTATGCTCTCAAACCACAATGAATTAAACTAGAAATTAATAACAGAAAGCATGGAAAATTCCAAAATATTTTCAGATTAAATAACATAATACTAAATAACACATGGGTCAAAGAAGAAACTCCAGAGAAATTTTAAAATAATTTAAATGAAAATGAAAATGCAACTTATCAAAATTTCTGGGATGCAGCAAAAGCAGTGCTTAGAGGAAAATTTATACCATTGAATGCATATATTAGAAAAGAAGAAAAGTCTAAAATCAATAATCTAAAAATCCACCTGAGGAAACTAGAAAAGGAAGAGTAATTTATGCCTACAACAAACAGAAAATAAATAATATAAATTTTGGCAAAAATTGATGAAATTAAAAATAGGAAATCAGTAGAGGAAACACAATGAAACCAAAAGCTGGTTCTTTGAAAAGATCAATAAATCTGATAAACCTCTAGCCAGACTAACCAAGAAAAAAAAAAGAGAAAACACAAATTACTAATATTATAAAAGAAAATTGGGCTAGGCTTAGTGACTCACACCTGTCATCCCAGCACTTGGGAGGCTGAGGTGGGAGGATCACTTGAGGCCAAGTGTTCAAGACCAGCCTGGGCAACATAATGAGACCCCATCTCTACAAAAAATTTGAAAATTAGCCAGGCATCATGGCACGTGCCTGTAGTCCTAGCTACTCAGGAGGCTGAGGCAGGAGGATTGCTTAAGCCCAGGAGTTGGAGGTACAGTGAGCTATGGTTGTGCCACTGCATTCCAGCCTGGGTCACAGAGAGAGGCCCTGTCTCCCTGAAAAAAGAGAAAAGAAAATGAGATCATCATTACTAATCCCATGGACATAAAAAGAAAAGGCTACAAACAATTCTGTGCACACAAATTTGGATAAATTAGATGAGGTGGGCTAATTCTTTGAAAGACACAAACTATACCAAAACTCGCACAAGGAGAAATAGATGAACTGAATAGGCCTATATCAATTTAAAATTTCAATCAATAATTAATAACCTTCCAAAAAAGAAAGCACCAAGCCCAGGTTGTTTCACTGGTAAATTCTACCAAACATTTAAAGAAGAAATGATACCAGTTCTCTACAATCTCTCCCAGAAAATAGAAACAGAGGGAGTACTTGCAAATTCATTCATTGAGGCCAGCATTACCCTCATAAAAAAACCAGAAAGACAAAGTTGGAGGACTGACACTGCCCAATTTCAAGACTTACCATATGAAGACATTACAAGGAAAGGAAACTGTAGACCAAAATCTCTCAAAAACATAAATCCAAAAATCTTCATCAAAATATTAGCAGAGCAAATCCAACAATGTATAAAATGAATTATACACCACAATCAAGTGAGATTTATTCCAGATATGAAAGGCTGACTCAACAATTAAAAATCAATTTATGTAAATAATCACATCAAGAGGCTAAAGAAGAAAGTCCTGTGATCATATCAATAGATGTAGCAGAAGCATTTGGCAAGGTCTAGCATGCATTCATGTAAAACTCTCAGCAAACTAGGAATAAAAGGGAATTTCCCAACTTGATAAAGAGTGCCTACAGAAAGCCTACAACTGACATACTTAATGGTGAGAAACTGGATGATTTCCCTCTAAGATAAGGAAGAAGGAAAGAATGTCCTGTCTCACCACTCCTATTCAACATTGTGCAGGAAGTCCTTGCTAGTGCAGCAAGATAGGAAATAAAAGGTATGCAGATTAGAAAGAAAAATTAAAACCATCTTACATGATTGTCTATATGGAAAATCTCAAAGAATCAACATAAACTCATGGAAATAATAAGTGATTATAGCAAGGTTGGAAGATACAAAGTAAATATACAAAAGTCAATTGTTACCAGTAATGAACCATTAGAATTTGAAATTAAAACACAATACCATTTACAGTTGCACCAAAAAAAATAAATACTTAGTCATAAATCTATCAAAATATGTACAGGATCTATACAGAGAAAGGAGATATAAATTAATGGAAAGATTATTCCATATTCATAGATTGGAAGATTCAGTATCAATATGTCCAGTCTTCCTGACTTGATCTATAGATCTATAGATTAAACACAATCTCAACTAAAATCTCAGCAAGGTACTTTGTGTATGTCAACAAACTGATTCTACAGTTCATGTGGAAAAGCAAAGGACCCACAATAGACAACACAACACTGAAAGACAAAGTTGGAGGACTGACACTGCCCAATTTCAAGACTTACTGTAAAGCTACAGTAATAAATATAGCATGGTACTGGTGAAAGAATAGACACATAAGTCAATGGAACAGAATAGAGAGCCCACAAATAGACCCCCAAACAAATACAGTCACTGATCCATGACAAAGGACAAAGGCAATTCAATAGAGAAAGATAGTCTTTCCAACAAATGGTTGTGGAACAACTGGATTTTCACATGCCAAAAAAAAAAAAATAGACACAGACACAGAACATACAATACACCTTTTAGAAAAATTAATTCGAAATGAATCTTGGGCCTAAATGAAAAATGCAAAACTGTAAGACTTTGAGAAGATAACATAGGAAAAAAATATAGGTTTACTTGTATTTGATGATGGGTTTTTAGATATGGTACCAAAAGCATGATCCATGAGAGAAAATATAAATAAGATAGATTTTATTGAAATTAAAAACTGCTATGGAAAAGATACTGTTAAGAGAATGAGGCCAGGCATGGTGGCTCAAGCCTGTAATCCCTGCACTTTGGGAGGCCGAGGTGGGCAGATCACTAGGTCAGGAGATCGAGACCATCCTGGCTAACACGATGAAACCCCGTCTCTACTAAAAAATACAAAAAATTAGCTGGGTGTGGTGGCGGGTGCCTGTAGTCCCAGGTACTCGGGAGGCTGAGGCAGGAGAATGGCGTGAACCCAGGAGGAGGAGCTTGCAGTGAGCCGAGATCACGCCACTGCGCTCCAGCCTGGGCGACAGAGCGGGACAACATCTCAAAAAAAAAAAAAAAAAAAAAAAAAAAAGAATAAAAAAACAAGCCAGACTTGGAGAAAATATTTGCAAACACATATATCTGATAAAGGACTTGTATCCAAAATATACTTAAAACTCAACCACGAGAAAACAACTCATTAAAAATGGCAAAAGATCTGGATTAACTTATGTAATTAATTACACATGTAATTAATTAATTCCTACTAAGGAAAACTTACAGATGGCAAATATGCATATGAAAAGGAGCTCATCATCTCATCGTGTCATTAGAGAATTAAGGCAATAATAAGATAACACTACACACCTATTAGAATAGCTAAAATTCAAAAAACTGACAATACCAAATACTGATGACAATGTGGAGTAGCAGGAACTCTCGTTGTTGGGAATGCAAATAATGGTAAAGCTATTTTTGAAGGCTGTTTGGCAGTCTCCCACAAAGCTAAACATAGGCTTACTATATAATCACTCTACCGGGTATTTACCCAGTTAAATTGAAAACCTACATTCACACAAAAACCTGCATGCAAATATTTACAGCACCTTTATTCATAATTGCCCAAAACTGGTAGCAACCAAGATATCCTTTAAAAGCTGGATAAATAAACTGTGGTACATTCATGCAATGGAATACTATTCAATAATAAAAAGAAATAAGCTATTGTGTCATGAAAAAACATGGATGAACTTTGGTGAAACAAGTCATAGTGAAACAAACCAATGTGAAAAAGCTACATACTGTATGGTTTCAATTATATGACATTCTGAAAACCACAAAACTATAGAGACAGCAAAACAATCAGTGGTTTGAGGGGAAGAGAGGAAAATAAATAGGTCAGGAATTCTGGAGTAGTAAAATTAATTTGTGTAATATTGTATTTGTGGGTACAATATATTATGCATTTGTCAAATGTCATAGAGCTGTACAGCACAAAAACCGGACTTCAAAATAGGAACATTTTTAAGAATCATTTAGGAGGTTGGGGGATTCCAGGGAGAAATGCAGACTGTGCAAGGGGATCTAACTGCATTAAAAATATGGAAAACAACCTCACTGAAGGGTAGAGAGGGGAAAAGTATCGCCCCCTCTTTAAGTAACTTTGGAAATGAGCAGAGTCTGTAAGATGAAGGCAATAGGAACTGCAAAAAAGTACTGTATTCCACTTGATAAAATTGTTCCCCGTGGGGATACAAATTAACAATTATCATACTGCTGTGTATGTACACAGGAATTGAACAATTAAGTAAATAGCAGCTAGTGGGAGCCAGGTTACTTACTGTTGGAATGCGAGTTTACAGAAAAGCAAGGGATGGAAGTTAGAAAAAAAGTAGGAAGTGCACTTATAGTAATATGTGTAAAAGCTTTGTATACTGCATGTATTATTATTTATGCATATTATTTTTACCCTGAAGGTATTATTCATTATAAAGGATTATTATTTTCACATTCTTTTATGCATAATTCAGATCATGTACTTAAAGAGGACACAGACTAATTCAAAAAGCTCAGAATATTTTCAGATACAACTTTTTAACAAGTATGCCCGTCTTCTGAGGTGGTCTTTTAAATTTGTCTAGATAGATTATGTTCTGCGGTCTGTAGGAGCTGTGTACATCAGAGCAGCTTATTATAAATACCTAAAGCAAAAGAAATGGTTTATTTAGAAAATAAAGTATAGAAATATAATGTTAACTGCTCCTGTGTGATGTCAAAAGTGGAAAGAAGGTGGGAAATTCTTATTTCATGTGGGATACTACTAAATACCTGGATGTTTTCAAGTAGTCGCATTTTTAGCACAGCATAGTCCAAGCATCCGGGTATTTGAATTTTTCCCTTTCCAGCTGGTAATCTTGATATGTTATAGATGTAGGCAAAGCCTCAAAGTTAAATCATTTCCAAATGCTTTGAACAGCATTTAACTAGAAATAAAATTTCATTCAACATCACCCTCTCCACCTTCTTTTATGTGCAGTTACTTTCCGTATCTGCAGCAAGTAGACAGAAGAGTGCCAAAAAAGAATCCTTCTCTGACTTCACAAATCAGTAGAAGGCCTGATGACTACATGCCCAGAACTTGGGTTTCAGACACACTATTAACTTGCCTCAATACAGTGCAAATAATTTTCCAGATTGAAGCATTGCTCTATTTAAATCAACCTTCCTGCCTATTAATAGCTGTGAAATACTAGAAAATATTACTGGGCCAATAAAGCATTGTGTCTGCTCAAATCTTTTTAAAATGAGGCAAGACACAAATACATACATACTTAAATACATATGTATATAACATTGCAGAACCTCCTTTAAAAGTTTAAATAACAAAATCAGCCATCTAGATTGATGTGGAGATTAAAAAAAGTGAACCAACTGAATTTCTAAGGAACCTTTGTATGCCAATATTCCATTTCCATATTTTCTTCTTCTTCTTTGTTTTTTGTTTTTTGTTTTTGTTTTTTTTTTTTGAGACAGAGTCTTGCTCTGTTACCCAGGCTGTAGTACAGTGGCAGGATGTCGGCTCACTGCAACCTCCGCTTCCCAGGTTCAAACAACTCTCACGCTTCAGCCACCCAAGTAGCTGGGATTCCAGGCGTGTGCCACCTCGCCCAGCTAATTTTTGTATTTTTAGTAGAGATGGGGTTTCACCATGTTGCCCAGGCTGGTCTCAAACTTCTGGCCTCAAGGGATCCACCCATCTCGGCCTCCCAAAGTCCTCAGATTACAGGCATGAGTCACCACGTGCCAACCCATACTTTCTTCCTACTTGCTTTATATTCACACTCTCCTTCATTGTCTTTTACTAATAGCAGCATTGTTTCCTGGGTATTTTTTTATGATAATTTTCTGCTTACCTCTGAGCACACCACTGCCCTCCCTCCACCATCCCACCACCCTCCACACACAAATGATTGCAGATAGTTTGGGATTTGCAGTGCAGAGGAAATGAACACACATAATTTATTTATTTTTTTCTTTTTTTCCTTGTTTCCTTCCTTCCTTCCTTCCTTCCTCCCTCCCTCCCTCTCTCTCTTTCTTTCTCTTTCCTTCTTTCTTTTAATATTGCATGGCCCATTCATCATTCTGTACAATTAGCCAAATGAAAGGTATCTTTGTTTTAGCTTGATCTGTAATTCTTTTCAGATTCATTATGTGCATGGCAACACAAAGAAACCATGGTACTTTTGGGCAGCATCTGATTCATCAGGAAATTCCTCCTGCTATGATATGTGGTTGGGGAGAACGTGAGTGATGTGATCCAGATGCATGAGCCACCCGTTGCCAGTAGTGCAGATGTGTTTTATACACACATGCCCAGATGGTGACCCCTGTGGCATTATTAATGAGTTCCAGATGCCAGGCTTCCTTCTTTGCATGTATGTGCCTCGATTTCATATATTTCATGTGTTTATTTATGAGGGACAGCATTCCTACATTTCATATATGGCAGTTACTATTTAAAATGAGAAATTTTAACTGCTCTGGAAATTGATAAAGAATCTTTTAAATTGATATGAAATGTGTCTCTCATTTCAAAATGACTAGCCATGCAATCACTGAATTCACAGAGCAAATTACTGAACTTTCCCTTCATATATTGAGAAAATATGGTGCTGAGTTACATTTTAAAGATAGTTAAGAAATAAAATATTTGCACACATAATACATTCTAATGATTTTTTGCTTTCTTTTCCTTTTTGATCTCCAAAGCCTATTTTTAAAAGTACAATGTCTGTACATTGAACATTGTTACTCACTATTAATTAAATCTAGGCATCAAGAGAAATTTGACATCTTCTAGAAATTGTTCATACTTATGGATTTACAGGAAGAGAACTGGTTTTATTAAAATATAGTCCAGCTGTGGCTCCAAACTATCATGGATTGTAACTCCATGGATTAGAAGAAATTGATTAGTCTTATATTTTGGCTTAGATCTAAAGTATAAAATATAAGAGCATAGTAGTTCCACTGAATTAAAATGAACCAACTCAAGTTTTTATTTTAAAAAACTCCAGTATTTTATGGGGAAATAAAAAAATGAAACAAATTCTTAAAATAGAAAGAGGAAAAATGCAAACGACAGATGATCAGACTTTGAAAGATGAAGTTCATGTCCATTTCCTTCTTTACTACCAGAAGTAATGATCTTTTAAGTCAGCAAATGTATAATTTATGATAAAGAACTATCTCCAAAATCAGCTACAGAAAATAAATGACCAATATGCTGATAAGATTTTTGTTAAGGTGCTACCCACTTTTTTTTTTTTAAGACAGGGTCTAACTCTGTCACCCGGTGCAGTGTCATGATCTCAACTCACTGCAGCCTTGACCTCAAGGGCTCAGGTGGTCCTCCCACCTCAGCCTTCTGAGTAGCTGGGACTACAGGCACATACCACCACGTCTGGCTAATTTTTGTAGAGACAGGGTTTGGCCATGTTGCCCAGGCTGGTCTCAAGCTCCTGAGCTCAAGAAATTCATCCACCCCCGCCTCCCAAACTGCTGGGATTACAGGCATGAGCCACCACACCAGGCCATGGTGCTGCATACTTTTACTGTCAATAGCAGAGGGTCAAAGTTGCTGAATGCTTAAGTAAGCACATCTTGAGTCTTGGTTACTTAGCATATGGTTTCGGGTCCTCTTGAAAACTATTCTACTTCCTTAAGTAAAGCTTGTTTTTCCTATTTGTGTATGTGTATTTATCTCAATTACATAAAGGTGCTAACTCATTCATTTTCCACACCCACAAAGTAGGATGGAAATTTAAAGCAGTTATCTGATAAATGGAGGCAAGATTAGTGGATTTTTTTCCCTGAAAGTATTCCTTGAAGTTAAAAAACAAAAATTGAAGTTATAGGATTTGTTCCCGAACTCCTCAGATACTCACCTCAGACTTGCTCCGTGTGTGTTTTTGTTTAAGTGCATATCTATGATAACAACTCTAGGGTTCTCTGAAAGAAGATTCAGAGCAATTCTAAGAAGACTTCAGATCATTTATGAGGATGGAGCAATCAAAGGAGAATGGTGAGCCTGGGAAATGTCTTCTTATCTGACATTGAAAGAAGAATGGCTGTGGTCTTGCCTTTCTCATTTCTATCTTGAAGTCCTGTCCAAGAGCTTTGGTTATTGACCTTAGACTATTATCACCAAGACCTGTTTAAAGGATCCAACAATATATCCATAGACTCTTTTGTTCTAAGCCTCCCTTTTCTATTGCAAAGATTGAGAAGGTAAAGAAAACAAATGGCAGCAGCCTTTTTAATACTCAGGATGATGAATATGCGATAAGCAAGCTCTAACCACTCTTCCCACATTGCTGGCAGACTTCATTAACTGATTATAAGACTCTACCACTGAACCAGGATCCAGGCTCAGAATCCTCAACAGAGCGCTGCAGGCTACCACTAAAAATTAGTTAACGTACACCCTTGAGACAAAACCCTCTTTGCCGTTCCCCTTATGTTCATTCTGAGCAAATAATAGGTGTTTAGTCTGAATGCGAGAAAACATAAAAGACCAAAGGATATTGCTATTGATTAAAGCTGTCTGCTTTTCCCAAGAGGGGTGACTAGCTGGTACTAGGCCTGCTTCGAGGAGTAGGAGTATAGCTATGGTAACCATATCACATCAGTGACCCACAGACAGTCAGTTCACTCTGCCCTGCTCCCTGACCTATGGGAATGGGACCAGATTAAAGGACCCTCTGAAGGCTACTTGGACTCAGGTCAATGGCACAGATCACAAAAGGTTTATGCACCAAACGAACAGGAAACCTTGCAGAGTGCCCTGGGACTGCAGGCAGAAGACATCCCAGGGGCTTCTCTGAAACTCTGACCTCCACTTCCTCCTTTGACATTGCTGTCACTTTCGTATGGATACATGACAGTAACAAAGCCCCTGGGCTCTGTGTAGTGCAGTATGGTTTTCAGAGTGCTTTCCATTCCTGATCTCGTTTGATCCCCGCCTCAGTGAGTGCAGGGAAGCAGTGCAAGCATCTGTACCCCCAATTATACAACTAAAGTGAGGCTCCCTTGTCCAAAATCACATCTCTATGGAGGCCCCAAAGGCCTTTAATCTAAAATTGTCAGATGAAAGGAAGTGACAGAGGGCGGGTATTTTGGATTGTTTCCCATTGGAATTTTCAGATAATTGTGCCCATACTCCCCATAGCCTGGCCTGTCTAGGGAAGCTTACAGTTTGATGGTGAACCAGTTGCATGGTACAGACATGATGGTGAAGGTGGTTCTCCCAGCAATGCTTCAGACTCATTTAATAGTGGAGATGCCATTCAGGCACTTGGTCATTGAAAGATACTTCCTGTTCATTTCTCTGACAGCTGGTGACCTTGTTGCAGATGTGGGTTGTCCCCTTATATTTCACGATAAAATTATACTGGTGGCGGTTTCTGTCTATGTGGGGGATGTTCTCCGTTATTACCAGTTACATCCTCTTCAGAGCTACCCGAAAACCCCTCTCAGGAAGGACACCACGGTATGTATTCCATACATTCCTTCCCCAGGAGCCCCTTTATTTTAAATATTACAAAGCATATTTTATTGCCATTTTCCTGGGTTGGGGAGTGGGGGGGTTACATTTCTTTTACGTGTCTTTTACCTTTGGTAGCAAAACAATTGAGAAATTAGCTACACTGGTCTTAGTTTGCCTTCATTATTTAATAGCAATTCAGATATGCATGTAAAATTTATTACTTCAAATATTAGCTAGTGAAATGCAGAAGAAAGAAGTGAAACTATTGTTTAAAATTTCTAGAGCATTATTTGCAAGTTTATTTTTACCTCAGCATTTTTCTTTATTCCACTATAAGTTGTGTCACACATTTTAAAATAGAGCAAGAGTTGAAAGTTGTGTTTCAACCTGAAAACATGTAATAAATCATAAGTCATGGACAACTTATTACTCTAATAACAAATGATGGTTTAATATTCCAATGGTCACTTTAATTACCATTGTCAGCTTCCAAAGATTTGTATAACTCCGTTGTATCATTCACAAATCCTTCCAAAGTGCTTATCATCACATACTGTGCCCACAGGCTTGCTTTTGCCCTCCCTGTTCTGTGGATAAAATCCATATCCTCATCATGATAAAACTGGAATGAGATAAAGTGTGTAAAATGTAAAATAGTGATAAAACAATGCTAAATTTGACCTTTTGGAAGAATAAATCATAAGCTTCAGTGAAATACTTTTATGATTATTTAGACATTTGTCTTCATCCTCTAAAAAAGTAGGAAACATGTATATCAACTTTTCCTTCAAGTTAGGAGAAGGAAAAATATCCAATGAGAAATCAGATAAATAAATGTGATGATAAAAATGGATATCCAAATACATGAATTCATGTTATGAGTATTTTAGTTCAGTTCCACTAAACTAAAGAGGAAGAGGTCTGGGTGGTGGTAGGAGACCTTATAAACTGGCCAATTTGGGATCTTGGACAGCCCTTGTAGTGTCTGGCTTATCAATCAGTAAAGTGAATGTATGGTACCTTTCTCCTTAGAAAATATTCTAAGTTATTTAAGATTTGTGAAAGTGCTCTGAGTTTGGGATGAATCAAAATGTGCTTGTTTTCATCCCCTGGATATAATCTATGTTGTATTTCCATGAGAATGGTTCGCCTATCCACTGTAGAATGAATTACCCCATCTAAAGGCAGTGTCTTTGTGCACATCAGTTCGTGCAATGCAGAGGAACTTTATTACAAGAAATACCCAAATGCTGCCTCATTACCCTTTATGGCTTGCATATGTCCGCTCTCTTTCCCATGCCCAAAGCATGTCCTCTCAGCTTCTTCCTGCCTGCACAACTCCAAGCCCTAGAGGATAGTCTGAGAGTCAAGAGGCTCCACTGACTTTATAAAGCAAACTCAGCTGCCATTTGAAGAGACATCACTGAGCAAGGTGAAGTAGGGCCTCTTCTAGAAGAGCAGTCAGGATGGAGCTCCTGTACATAAGAGGCAATAGGCCCCAGAATTACCATGGATCTTTGCTTAATTATTGTATTACAGGTGAGTCACATTTTAACTATCTTCCATTTGGAAGCAGAGGATTTCATTACAGGCTAGGGGAGCTGGATGAAGAAATCAGCATTGCTGTAGAAGGCAGACCCATGAGCAGTGGTCTCCAGCACCAGCAGTTCAAAGCCTACTATTTCTCTTTGAGAGCACATCAAGCTCTTGTTTCAGGATGGGGTGCCCAAAGAAGGGGAAGTGAGTTTCCTCTCAACTACAGTTGGTTTGTCTGGCAAGCAGTGAAGTTCAGGGTCAGAAATAAGCCACACATGCAATGGCTCACGCCTGTAATCCCAGCACTTTGGGAGGCCGAGGTGGGTGGATCGCCTGAGGTCAGGAGTTTGAGACCAGCCTGGCAAACATGGTGAAGTCCTGTCTCAACTAAAAATACAAAAAGTAGCTGGGTGTGGTGGCAGGTGCTTGTAATCCCAGCTACTCGGGAGGCTGAGGCAGGAGAATCACTTGAACCCAGAGGCAAAGGTTGCAGTGAGCCAGGGTCACGCCACTGCACTCCAGCCTGGGCAACAGAGCAAGACTCCACCTCAAAAACAAAACAAAACAAAAACAAAACACACACACACACACACACACACATACACACACTAGCCACAAAGAGCTGGGCTTGATCACATTGAATCCAGCCCAAGGCCAAGCTTTCCTTTTGGAGGCTGCTCTGAAGCAGTTAAACAATCTCCTATCTGGCTTATCTGCCTTACAGTGTAAGTCTGGGTAGCAAGGAAATTCTGGACTCTACTGTTCCTGAAAATAGGTACCCGCAATAAGCAGGAAAATGGCAGGAGAAGTGGGGCTTGAGATTTGGAAAACTGAACACATCCATAACAGTGATATGACATATTGAGCATTTAGTGTGCCAAGTCAATAAACATCAATACATTAGCTCACACAACCTTCAGAACAACTTTAGGAGCTAGTGTTATCCTCATGTTATAAATTAGGCAATCATAGGAAGGAATGCCAAGTAAATTGACCAAAGTCCCATGGGCAGTAAGCAGCAAAGCCTTGGATCAGACCAAAGAACTACTTGGCTGCAAAGCTCCTGCTCCCAACAGCATGCTATGGCTTCATTAATTCAACAAACCGCTTTGCACAGAGAAACCCTGCAGTTTAAAGGTTATTAGTCCTAAAACATCTCTAATGCTGGCGGAAGTTTGAGAGAGGCCCCTTAAGGCAGGGAAATGGGTCACCAGTGTGTGCGGAGTTCAAGGAACCATATTCTGGTACTGGCAGGTGTTGGGGGCCTAGTAGAGGGGACCCTCTCAGAGCTTGCCTGTTTCTCCACCATCACCACTTTTAGCAACATAAACTTCCGCCTTGATCTGGCTGCCCTGAGCAATGATCTAAACTGCTCAGTACTGACAAATGAAAAGAACCCATGGCTCAAGAGTCACTGTGGCAGAAAGACGCCAAAAGCCTTCTCTGGCTTCCTTTTGAGGCCACACAGCCTCACAGTAATTTCAGCCAACTTCTGCAGCCCATGCAAGTTTCTGTCTCCACTTAACTCACCCCTGCCCACTCCCCCACGCAGTTCACCCCTGCCCACTCCCCCACGCAGCTCACCCCTGCCCGCTCCCCCACGCAGCTCACCCCTGCCCGCTCCCCCACGCAGCCTACCCCTGCCCGCTCCCCCACGCAGCTCACCCCTGCCCGCTCCCCCACACAGCTCACCCCTGCCCGCTCCCCCACGTAGCTCACCCCTGCCCACTCCCCCACGTAGCTCACCTCTGCCTGGTCCCCCACGTAGCTCACCCCTGCCTACTCCCCCCTGGGGCAGGATCACACCTGGTGGAGTAGGTGGCAGCACAGACAGCCCTTGAATATCAGTTGCTTCAAGTGCAGAAGGTGGTTCACCATAGAAGTGATGTAAATGACAACACATTTCAGGAGCTAGCCCACAACCCATTTAAACCATGATGTTCAGAAGGTCCCTTCTGACTGGAACTCAGTGAAATAGAGCACCTATTAAAATCATATTGAAACCTTATGCTAGTAATATCATAGATCTTAAGTATTTGGTGCAATGGCTCCAACAGGGAGTGAGCTGGGGAAGGTGAAAGAGTCAGAGACAGGGCTCAGGACTTGGGGGTGAGAGGGTGGGGCTAAACATCTGGAGCAAGACTCTTAATGCAGTTTGGAGTGAAAAGCAGGAAAGAGACTCCAAGAGGATGTGCAGGGAAAGGGATGTGAGGCAAACAGGGCCTTCTGCCATTGCACACCCTTGTAAGCAGCTTTCTAGCCACCTCTTCATTTTCTTTGAGCAACAAAGATAAGCCCCCAGCTTTTCCATCCACTACCTCTTGTACCAATGGGCATAGCCCCTCTGCTGTGGCCCTCCAAGAATGGAACTGGGCTCCCAACCTCTTCCCCCATCCTCCTAGACATGAAGCTGGTCACATGGTCCTTCTTGTAGTTTTTTTCTAAGGGCCTTTACTGCCAATGAAGAAGGAAACCAGCAGAGGGGAGGGCTTCCTTCTAGATTCTCTCCACTCGCCCTCCATCCTCATCCTTTTCCTTCTCCACTTAGACCCTTTGGGAACAAGGAAAGGCCTTGGAAGGTCACAGAGGGTGCTGGGGTACACGCAGGACCCTTCCACACAGCAGAAGGAAATAGCCTGGGGCTCTCATCATTTCATCCCCTGGGCTAGGGGAGGGCTCTTTGGGTGGAGGGGACATGGGATGAGGGCTGGGCCCACTACTGGTGATATCTGCACTGGGGCTGGGGGAAAAGGGGCAACAGAACAAGAGGGAAGAAAAACTCCTGGGGAAGAAGTTCTGGACTCCCCTTTGACTTCTCATCCCACTTTTTGTTCACCTCCAAGGCACTCCTGCTGAAACCACTCAAGGTTAACCCTAGGACCAAATGAGAAGGGGGCGCTGTGGGGAGGCAGGGTCCCAGGAAGAGTAACCATTCCTGAAGGCTATTTTTAAGTGAAGCACATGAGGGACGTAGACAAATTTAAAAAGAATTCACATACGCATATACACAGAAACACATGAGCATGATAGTTCTATTCATATAATGCTTATTGCTATATACATCTGTGTTCTGTGTGTTATAAATTTACTTTTAGAAACTAAAAACTGATTTATAAGTCTTTGAAAAAGACAAAATATTTTATAATATTACTGTGTTTCTCCCCATTTTTCTGTGTTTCTGTGTTCTGTGTTTCTCCCCATTTTTCACTCCACAGATTGGTCTACAAATGGTTTCTTTTGATCTACAAACTCAGCTATGCATTTGGTGTTGTGGGTTACTTGGCGATCATGTTTACAATGTGTGGATTCAATCTGTTTTTCAAGTAAGTATCTCCAATTAAGACATTAATATCTCCAAGCACTTGCTTGGCACACTCACCTGGTCATGTTCTCTTAATCCAGAAGCATCTGGCCCTACAATTTTCCATGCACACATGTTTTATAGTAGATATCCACACGTAGTCTTCTCTGGGGAAAACCAATAGAAAGGGAAGAAAGAAGCACCCTACAAAATAATTTTTTAAAATTAGGAGCTTTAAGGAGAATTTATATTTGGTCTGCAAATTTAAAAGATTGCTATTAACAGTGGACCTACAATTGTGCTAGAGTAATTCTTACTGAACTAATTTCTCTTCTACAAAATTCTCAAGTACCTAGATCTCCTTTTATATATATCTTCTTATCTAAAACCTCTAGAATTATGTTGTCCAGTATAGTAGCCACTAGCTCATGTGACTACTGAACACCTAAAATATGAAATAAGATGTACTCTAAGTGTAAAATACATACTGAATTTCAAAGACTTACACAAAAAACATTTTCATATCAATTACATTTTGAAATGATAGTATTTAAATATATTGGTGAGATTAATTTCACCTGTTTTTTGTTGTGTTTTTTTTTTTTGACTTATTAAATGCACCTACCAGAAAATTTAAAATTATATTTGTGGTTGTATTTACATTGGACAGCACTTCTCTCTTGAATTTGGTTTCTGATAGTCATGAAATGCCTTGTGTTGGGGATACTTGGAAAAGGAGGAAAAAGTGAGTGCTTCGAAATTGTAAGAGGCTGGGCGCCGTGGCTCATGCCTGTAATCCCAGCTACTTGGGAGGCAGAGGTGGGAGGATTGCTTGAGGCCAGGAGTTCAAGACCAGCCTGGTCAACATGGCCAGACCTCGTCTCAAAAATAATTTTAATTGGAAAAAAATAAAGCTGGGAAACCAAATAAATAAAAAAGATTTGAAGGATAGAAAACATGTCAATATCTATTGTTTAATAGATGGGGAGTTTTAAAAAAGCAATTGAAAGACAAGTAAAGGCATAAAACAGCAAGAAAGTCTAGGGAGAGATAAAGGAAGTAGGGATAACCACATCTTTGACCAACAGCTGTGCTCCCACTTAAGGTGGTTGCTGAGACATGCTGTGGATGGCATTCTCAGGGACACGACTGAGGCTGAGTAACCAGCCTGTGTCCTGGAAAGGGGACTGAAGACATACCACACAGCTATGGAAAGCAGCTCAAATACAAATCCCCCAGAATAGCTCTCACATCAAAGTTACTCTAAACTTCTGGGACCATAACAGAAATTGAAAAGGAGAGCTCATCAACCCTTTACTCAGAAAACAGGGAAGGCAATCAGATGGAGAGTCAGCCCTGGGTGAAAGGGCTTTTCCTATGGCAGCATAGCAATCTGATTTTATAAGCATTTCATAAAACTTTTGGAGCAGGAGCACCTAACATTTTCTAGCAGGAAAGCGGTAGAAAGTAATTGTACAAATCTATTATTGCTAGGTTAGGATATAGAAAGACACTGTAATGTCTTTTTTAACATACTGTCTATACTGGTTTATTTTAGTGAACATAAAAATACTCATAAGGATTTTTTTGAAATCACTGGGAACGATAGCTGTTCCCAGATTATTACCTCATAAGATTTCAAGATCCTTATTCATGAATTTTCCTACAGTAAGGCATACCAAAAACTTAACCCTTTAGAAAAGGAACTATTTTTTTTCACTACTTGATGATTATCATTGTATTAAGCTTTTTTCCTAGGGAGCCACAAGTGTGTTACTGTACTTTTTATCAATAAAATTATTGATACATATTTCCCTGGACATGGAAGAAAGATACTCTTCACTTCCCCCACTGTCCTAATTCTCAGATATACCCAGACAAATCTTGAAAGGATGAAGCTACCACCTGTGTTGGAAGCCTCAGTTCATATCACCCAAAAATCTGTACCTTCTAAATCTACAAAGCTGTCTGCCTTCACCATTTCTTCCTGCAATGAACAGAAAACAGAAATAGGTTTTAGAGAGAGACTACCCAACTCTTGTTCACATTTTCCTCCCTTCCCTGAATCAATCAGAACCACCAAGGGTCACCACTGATATTTGAGATTGTTTTATAGATAGAGCAAACCAAATGTGCAATTATTTAGATTCATAAATTAAATTTATGGCAAATTATTCACTTTTAAAAGAGATCTTTCCCTTAAGAAAAAAAAAAACTGGCTGGGGGGATGATCACAAAGAATCCTGGTATAATTGAAATATGATTTAACTTACAAAAAGTTTTTTTCAGTTAATACATAGCAACTCTGGCATGGTAATCAAGGGCTTCAAGATGTGAGCTTGATTTGTGGCTTTGTGATGTACCAATTTTTGTGTCAAGCAAATAATGTTTTCTAAGTCTCCATGTTTTCACATGTAAAGTGGTGGTGATAATATCTATCTCAAGCACTTGTTAGGAAAGATCATTAGAAAGTATTTTATAAAAATCTAAATTCTACAGCAGACATACTCAATCCTTGCTGTGTTAAAGAATCAATCACTTAACAAGCTCTTTAAAAATACTGCTGTCCAGACCCCAACCCGGATTAACTAAACTCCAGTCCTTGGTGGTGGGCCCATATGTTAATGTGCTTTTAAATCTTCCCAGGTGATTCTAATATATGTTTAGGGCTAAGAACTATTGCTCTAGTGGTTCTTAATGTTAGCTGCCCATTGGAGTTACCTGGGGTGTGGCCTGGAGATGGAAACTGTTACAAGCTGCTGAGGCCTACGTATAGCTGAGCCTGAAACCACTGGTCAGAGTCAGCTTGTCTAGGCACTGCAGTCCTAAGAAGCACTTGAAGGCTATCTCAAGAATTCCTTTGTCCAGTTGGCACTGAGTGCTACAATTTGAGGGAAATTCAGAGGATTTTAAATTATTTCATTTAAAAAAGAAAAATCAAACACATAAATGAAAAAAAAAATACCCACAAGGTTCTCTTAGATACCATCAACAGGAAATATTTTCCAAACTCCAGCTGTTTGGAAATATGCCACATTCTTATTTCCTTATACTGTTGTTTTCAATAGAATCAAAGCTAGAGATTCCATGGATTTTGGCATTGTGTCTTTGTTCTACGGCCTCTACTATGGAGTAATGGGGAGAGACTTTGCCGAGATCTGCTCAGACTACATGGCTTCCACTATAGGGGTAAGTGTTGCTTTCATTTTCTGAAACCATGTATGACACAAAGAGAAATGGTCTCATCTTACATGTCTGCATCCATTTTCAGAAACAAATAAGTCTTTCTCCATATACTGATTATTGTTTCCTTTGGAACTCTTTTGGTTCACCTAGACCAATTGCTCCCTGGATTCTCCTTTCATCAAAAAATTCTTTGTTAATTAATTGGAAAATACATGTCTTATGTATATAGAATACTTGTGCAATAAGGCATCTTTTAAAATAAAATACGCAAATTATTTATGTTATTGTATCTAGCATACTCCAATTGCCAACATTTAAGGATTAGTAAAACATTAACAATAACTAAAACCTTTCAGCTCTGTCTGAAACCCTGCCTAATGCAAATAAAAACTATAGTTGATGATGCATAAAACAGTTCAGAATCAACAGTGCATCTGGGTAATACTTATTATAAATACCAGTCACATTATATAGCATCTGAAGAAGTAGAAGATATAAAAAGTATGCTAGATGTATTCTGACTCTATACTGTTACCTAGAATTTTTTTAATCCCTAACAGTTGTTTTTCTTTTCTTTTTTTGAACTCTTTTAAGACTAAAATTCAGAATGGACATACTTTGGAGTTAGATGTATTCCTGATTCAGATATCAGGGGCATTTATCTATGTCTGACTCTTGCATATCTTAAAAACTTACAAACTAAAGGCTCTAGGGATGACTTAGTAGTTTCAAGAATTCCACATCTCTGTCCTCTACATGTGTCTCCTGGTACACAGCCAGATGTGAAGTAGAAAAATCAGTGTAAAGCAAAGACATGGAAACAACCCATCAATGATAGACTGGAAAAAGAAAGTGTGGTACGTATACACCATGGAATACTATGCAGCCATAATAAAGAATGAGATAATGTCCTTTGCAGGGACTTGGATGGAGCTGGAAGCCATTATCCTCAGCAAACTAACACAGGAACAGAAAACTGAAGACTGCCTATTCTCACTTGTACATGGGAGCTGAACAATGAGAACACATGGACACAGAGAGGGGAACAACACACACTGGGGCCTATCGGGAGCGGGAGGGAGAGCATCAGGAAAAATAGCTAATGCATGTGGGTCTTAGTACCTAGCTGATGGGTTGACAGGTGCAGCAAACCACCATGGTACATGTTTACCTATGCAACAAACCTGCATGTGTATCCTGGAATTTTAAATTAAATTTAATTTTTTTAAAAAAAGAAAAAAACAGTGTAAGTAGCAAGAAAAGGGTGAACTTCTGGACTGCTCCCTCCATTTCTGGAGCAGGACCTAAGTGGCTATGACCTTGACTTCCTCCCCACAGCAATTGTCCATCCCCTCCACCATAGGCTCTATCTTACTCTTTTCCTAAAGCCTGCAGCCCAAATTCTGTGGTGAAATGCTGGTACAATACAACTGCCTTTCTTATAAGGTTTAATGTGAGCACAGGAAGGAGTATTTTTATTCCCAGTTTCTCCAAGAAAAAACAGAAGTTATACCCCTTGGAAAATTCCCAAAACCTCTTGTGTTTATGGACAGAAAAGGAAGATTAGAATTATATGTGGCTGTTCTCAAGTGGACCAAGAAGAAGAGACTTTACCTGGCAAGACAACCAAGTCTTTAAGCACCAGCTTTTGGGAAACTTCTCACCTGATCCAACCCGACCAGTTCTTAACATTTTGTCATCCTGTCTGTTTATTCCAGCGACCAAATCTATAAAAACCACTGCCTCAAGCCATTGGTACAGCCACCAGTGATTTGGATTAATAAGGGGTGTGTGTGTGTGTGTCCACAGACACTTGTGCATGTGCTTGTGACTGAGGTAAGGACATACAGTCTCCATTCCCGTATCAGTGCCTAAGCCCCACACCAAAGCAAGTAAATCAGAATCTCTGGGAGTAGATCCAGTGCATCTGCTTCAAAAAAAAAAAAAACAAACAAACAAACAAACAAACAAAAAAAACTCCTTAGGAAAGGAATGAGCTATTAAGCCATCCAAAACCATGGGGTGAATCTTAAATGCATGTTGCTGAGTGTGAGAAGCCAGTCTGAAAAGACTCCATCCTGTATGACTGCATTTATCTGACATTTTAGAAAAGGCGCAACTATAGAGTTGCTAAACAGATCCATGGTTGCCAAGGCTTTAGGGAAGGAGCGTGGTTGAATAGGTGAAGCACAGGAAATGTAGAGTGGTGAAACTCTTCTGTGTGATACGATAACGGTGGATATATAACACTATACATTTCTCAAAATCCATAGAAAGTGTGAACCTTAAATTTATGCAAATTTTAAAAATAATTTAGGAAGTCAGAGAATCCAAGGGTAGAATTCAGATCATGCCAAAAGAATCTAACCATATTACAAATGTATGAAATAATGTCATTGAAAGGGGTGGGAAAAAAGGTGCTGACCTAAGTAACTTTGAAATGAATGGAGATCATAAGACTAAAAACAAAAGAAACTGTGTCATAAGCACTGTACTCTAGTTGATAAAGTTATTGCTGTCAAGTCTATGGGTTAACAATTTTGATACCACCATACATGTATTCTGTAATTGTAATTGTTTAGCTTAATATAGATATACATGGATAGATATAGAAATATTTACAGATATGTATGTGTGTGTGTGTGTGTGTGTTTGTGTGTGTATCTGTGTGTGTGTGTTAGTATATACAGATGAATTCCTTGTTCTGTCAGCTAAGAGGTCCTAGGGGCAATGACACCCCAGCAACAATGAACATACATAGTGTCCAGATCTTGTTTTCTAATATCATTCTACAATAAAAGGAACTGGCACTCCTTGAAGAAATGGCTCATTATAGGTCTGGGCAAAGAATACACAATATAAGCCTGGAGCATCTCGTAGTGACCAAAAGCAAGAAAATGCTAAAAACAAAACAAAAGAACTCCACAGTGATTGGGGATATGTCAAAGAGACACAGGAGCCAACTGAAAGAGCTCCCAATGGCCAAAGCTGGAATTTGAGCAACAAAATAGTAATAGTAGTAGTATTGGGTTATAACCCAAAGCATAAATATCCATGAGTCCACATTGATATCAAATAAATGATTGAATAAATAAATAAGTGGAAGAGAATAGTCAAATCTGTGCAAAAGAATTCCACATAATTTATATAAATTCTCCTCCCTTAACGAGGTTGTGATGATTACATTTTAGAGTCAGTTTGCCTAGGCTATGATACCCACTTGTTTGGCAAAATCACTAGTCTACATGTTGATGCAAAGGTATTTTGCAGATATGATTAATATCTATAATCAATTGACTTTACCTGAAGGAGATTATCCTTAATATTCTACATAGACCTCAGCCAATCAGTCGAAGGCCTTAAAAGCAAAAACTGAGGCTTCCTAGAGAAAAAGGAGTTCTACCTCAAGACTGCAACATCAATCTTGCCAGAGTTTCCAGCCTGCTGGCCTGCCAACCTGCTCTGCAAATTTCTGACTTGCCCACAAATGTGTGGGCCAATTCCTTTAAATCAATCTAATAATAATATAGGGAAACTAGATATGTGGTATATAGCCAATCTCTGTAATATTTTTGTATCTTTTCTTTAAATCTAAAACTATTATAAAATAATTTTCTTTGGAAAAAAAAAAGCTTCCTAGGGATTCTAATATGCTGCCAATGTTGAGAACCACTCCTTATCCACAGTACGGGAAGATGCAGATATCCCAAAGTAAAGTTCTAAATGCATTGCCTTCTAATGGTGATTGCTCAGCATGCACCCAATAAAAACATGGGGATTTAAATGACGGAGAGATGCCTCGGTTTACTCCAGAGATCTGAATCAGAATCTCCAGGACAATAAAGGGAAGGGCCAATCTATGGATTAAACTCAAAGGCTTCCTCTGAAGCTTCCTCTTAACTCCAGCCCTGGATAAAAACGATTCCTGTGAAAGGATTCCTCAATGTGGAGGTTAGATGAGAAGTTATAATTGGCAATGTGCTTTGGGTCCCTTTGGAATTCAATGAGTTTTTGCCTGGAAACCTTAACCCCTCTGTAGCATTCTTCTTACAGGAAACGGTGTCTCACATTCTAAACTATCTTAGAAGCAGTGGAGATTCTTTTTTTTTTTTTTTTTTTTTTTGAGACAGAGTCTTGCTCTGTCACCCAGGCTAGAGTGCAGTGGCGCAATCTCAGCTCACTGCAACCTCCACCTCCCGGGTTCAACCGATTCTCCTGCCTCAGCCTCCCGAGTAGCTGGGATTACAGGCACCCACCACCGCACCTGGCTAATTTTTTTGTATTTTTAGTAGAGACAGGGTTTCACCCCGTTGGCCACGCTGGTCTCGAACTCCTGACCTTGTGATCCACCTGCCTCAGCCTCCCAAAGTGCTGGGATTACAGGCATGAGCCACCATGCCCGGCCGCAGTGGAGATTCTATGTGCCAAGGGCTGCCTGTCCCAGTGCCTGGCAGTGGCTTCCTGCATTCAGAGAGTGGCATGTGCTCTCCTTTCTGACTGTGCTCTGTCCATTTCCTCTGATAGTTCTACAGTGTCAGCCGGTTGCCTACAAGGAGCTTATCGGACAATATCTGTGCAGTCTGTGGGCAGAAGATCATTGTGGAGCTTGATGAAGAAGGGCTCATTGAAAACACCTACCAGCTTTCCTGTAATCATGTGTATCCTTTTCAAAGGAAATTGTTTGGGCTTCATCAAGCCTCCTTCTTTCCTCCTTCTCCTCCTCCTCCTCCTGTCCCCATCTCCTCCATCTTGCTTACCTTCCATGCCCAAACCCCAGTCCTTTATCCTCCAGCCCAGTCGAGTCTTCCTGTTTGTCCCTGCTGAATAATGAACTGCTAATTAAGGTGAACCTCCTCCTCCAGTAATTTCCTTTCTAAAGAGGACTGTTAATGCCACATAGACAGGAAGGCAGTATCTGAGCAGGGTGCTGGCAGGGGAAATTGGTTGAAGTCATAAGTGAGCAGATAGCCAACAAAGATCAGGGAAAGAAGGGGTTTGGAGGTGAGAAAAAGAGTGAAGTATCAGGTGCAGGGGGGAACTTAAGACTATCCAAGTGGAGCCCAAGGTCTGAATCTTAGCAGATCAAGAAATACAAAGAGTGCTTTGCCTAGAAATAATCCTAGGAACCTACCTGTGGCAACAGTAGTCTTGGGGGCAGCCAAGGGAGGAAACCAAGCCTTCTTCTCAGCTTCAGTCTTTAGAAGAAGATACAGCCACAGGCAGCAAGACACCTTGGATTACAAAAGCAGGGACCAAAATTTGGACATTTGTTCTTGGACCATGGGCTCCTCCACCAATGGGTTCTATCCCAAATAGCTATCCATTGGCTGAGGGATCTTCATATGATAGGTACCAGACAGCCTGAGCCTGGAAACCAGCATTCTATGTGAACTCCAGTAACCATTAAGGAAAGCCTCAATGTGCTGAAAAATGCTGGCATCGAGACCCCTGAACAAATCAACCTGTGTTGCCTGAACATGTATGGACACTACTTTTGCTATGGATACCAAAGTTAGGCTTAGGTTGGCCAATCATCAGTATTTTAATTCTTCCTAAATACAAAAAAGGGTATCATTTATCTTTATTTTATAGTACAGTATCAATTTAATAATGTCATCGCTATGTACCCAGTTAGTTCAAAGCTCTGGCATTATGAGATGGTTAAACCATCTGTCTTTTGCCTAAAGCCCACTTAATTTAGTCAGTCATACCTCGGTGTCCAGTACCTATGATTCAATTCTGTTTAATCTGGACAGTTTCCACTTATTCAATCCTGAAAGTAAAACCAGGACCAAATGCATCTCAAAAGTAATAGGAGCCTTTACTCCAATACATAAGCCTTAAAATCTTAAGGGAAGAAACACAAAGATACCCCATATGGATTTCTGTAGTGGTTTTTTCAGTGTGATACCTTTCCCAAAAAACTCATTCTTTGTAGCAATTTTCCAAGTCTGGCCCTAGTTTTAAATATGATTTATTTTTCAAATGTTGGAACAGAGCCCCTTCTGCCATTTGCAAATGGAAATGTTTTCTCTCTCCACCTTTAAAAGCCCTTAGGGATTGTTGTACATGTGTGCATATATAATCTAAAATGTAGTCACCTTTAAATTTGCTTTTCAGGGAGTATTATTAATGGCCCATTTTAGCATGAGTCATATTAGTGAGAAATGGGCAAATATGAGTCATATTAACAAGGATGGGTTATCTGAGTCTTGCTCTGCAGAAGTTCTGCCAGTGTGCAAGTTTTTCAGCATTGAGATTTTGAAAATGAAAAAGAACATTAGAGAGAATGTGGACATTTCTGTGCTGACTCAATGGCCCCTGAATTCTATACCTCTGTAGAAGATGGGGCTGTATTCCAGCCCTTTTGAATGAAAGGCTGTTTGAGTTTTGGTTCAAAATCTTCGTTATAATACACCACTTTATTTTAAAGCATATTGCAAAAATGACCCCAATTCCAAGAACATAAAATAATGGAAACTCCTGGTTACATTGAAATTTAATACTGAGGAGTTATATACATGGCCTTGACTTGCTACACCTCCAAGCTCCTCCATTTGTTAGGGAGGGAACTTCTACATCGTTGCTGTTCACCTGGGTGTGTAGCAGGCCAGTCAGAAGATCATGTGATCTTGGCCCAGAAAGTCACATTGGGAGCAGCGATTGTAGAAATAAACAAATCAGTAGGATGGATTTCATTATAGTTCATTTTGCCCAAATCCATAGTATCAGGGAACATGGAAATATATATTCCCAAAAATAATCAGTTTTGAAAGAGTCATTCAAATGTTCATTCAATAAATATTTCTTAGGCATGGCTTAAGGTGCTGAGGACACTGAAATGAATGAGACATAGTCCTACAGGTAACACATGGTCTAGGAGAAACATGTAAGTACCAAAAGTCCTGCTACACTAGAGTAAGTCCCTGGTGCTGTGAGAACACATAGGGTTCACTCAAGTTTGGGGACAAAGGGTCAGACTTTCTGGACCAGGAGACGTATACAAATGGATCTGTAAATGCCTAGAGTTTGAGAAGTTAAGTTTAGTAGGTATATATTCTATTAAAAATAATTGGCTCCTTATCAGTACTTTTAAAAGTCAAGAAAAAAAATTATGAAGTTAATGGAAATATTTGTAACTTTATGACCACAAATAATTTTAACTTGTCTAAGTGCCTAAGACAAGTCTGATTACATGAAGCTAAAGAATAATGCACAAAAAGTAGAACAGAGAAATGCTACGGTAAATGCCTGAGAAACGCACAATAACAAGGTGGGGAAATATAACAATACACTTATGGAAGACATCACTGTAAAGGAAAAAAAAAAAAAAGGACTCATATTCTTTATCTAATCTAATTCTTACCAGAATCAAGTGAGGCAAGAAGGCCAAGAAGCTAAGTAAATTCCTCAGGGTCATAAAGCGAAGGCAGCTGTGACTCCAGGCTCACTGTCATTGTCAGGTCCCTTACAGAACCTCCCGAAAAAAGCGATGTGCCTCATCAAGTCATGACTCCACCACTAGACCCTGAAGATGGGACCATTCCATGCCATCATGAACCAGACATTGCCTTTTCATATCTAGAAGCCTCCCTAACAAGATGCTTCAGCTTTCATGAATTCTGCATCCGAGGTTGGTGTATCGTTGGGAAAAAGCAGACTTGCCCTTACTGCAAAGAGAAAGTTGATTTGAAGAGGATGATCAGTAATCCATATCCTTTAAAACAAAAAGGTTATAAGAGATTATCTTGAATGTTTCTGGGGATATATTCTTCAATGAAAAGTTTCAGTGTTTTTGTATAGTTCCAGCAGAAAATTTTTTGTTTTCCCTAACCACCTATTTCAAAATGACTTATGGTCTCTTTTCTCCTCTGTGCCTATATTACTATTCTGGTTAGAAAGTTAAATGCCAGAAAACATTCCACTCTTTATGTTCTATATTTTCCACATTAAGGGCTGTAGTGGAAATGTGATGAGACACTGCAAAAAATAGGTAAAATATATGGAAGAATATTCAGGATGGATGGATGGATGAATAAATGAGTGAACTGGATGGGTGGGTAGATAGGTGCATAAATAGAAAAATTGGAATTGAAATTTTAAAAGCCGAAATGTGAACTAGAGTACAGAAAACTATTTTTAAAATATGTTAGGGTGTACCAAATTTTATTATTCCCAGAAATGAGTAGGTATTTCCCCGTCTGGATTTTGGCTTTTTAAATTCCATGCCATGCATCATCTCTTCTTAGGCCAAACACTAGTGATAACAATATTGAAAATAAATAAAGATTTACAGAGTTGATCAGCTTCTGGCAGCCACTGAGATTTGTATAGACATCAGAGGTGTGCAACAGAATAAATTCAAGTCACATTAAGGTCGCAGGAAGGTAATGGCCCCCATCAGGAGCTAACTAGAAAGACTTTGTCTTCAACCTCACTATCTCAAGACCATAGTATATCTCATTCAGGAAGCAGGGTGGGAATGGAATTAAAACATATCCTCCCTTAAGCAGAAGAGTCCTGAAAGGTTGGCATCAACCTGCCAAGTACCATCTCTTCTCTAAGAGACAGCCTTTCTGTACTTTCTAAGTAATAGCTAAATTTTACAATGCTAAAGGAATCACCTTCCTTGCTTCCTGCTCCCCTGTTCCTCACCAACCCTATACGTATGGTTTAACAATGGCTACTGGCAGCAATGCCCTCATCTCTGGGCACTGCAGATCAGGGAGGGATTCAAGGAGGGCATCAGAGAAGGAGGCAACATCAGTGGATCTTTGGGTCTCAAGGCCCATACCATTGCAAGAGACCACCCTCTGCAGTGCCCACTCCATCCACAGACCTGGCCTTTCTCGGTGAGTCAGTGCCACTCAAGCCCAACTCAAGGCTAAAAGTGTGTGATGATCCTTCCACCTTCCTGTTCATCCACTGTCCTGGAATTCCTCTTCTAAAATGAGGATACCAAGTCCAGAACAGTTTTTGGTTATTAACCTATAAAACCTCAATGCATAAATCTTTGTTATAAAATTGGTGATAATATGATCATAAATGTCACCTCAAGTGATACTTTAACAAAGGGTCATTCATTTCTTTATGTAGTCTTGAGAAAATAAACTGTTGAATAAAACATATACTACTCTTTTATTGAGACTCAATATAAGAAAAAACTACATGTGAAAAAGCTGTCATTTTGTTTGTAAAATTGTTGTCGGAGACACTATGCATTCATTAAGCTCCCTAGCACAGTTTATCAAAGACAGCAGAAAAAGGTCTCTCTTATCTGATGAACCAGTGTTATTCTTTGTAATATACAATGGGTTCATTCTAATGTATGACTACAGGAAAGCCCAGAGCTGTTTTTGCTCATTTAGAGCAGTTTCCACTATCCTTGGTTTTCCAATATAGTCATTCCCCTCTTCTTCCTTCTTTTAGCATATACCCTTGCCTTTGATTCTTGTTTTCTAGTTTGGGATTTTATTGTAAAGAACTTCAATTTATTTTCAGGAATTGGGTGTGGTGTAAGTAACAATGACAACCATAATGCTATAAAACTCACATAAGGGGCTTTTAATTGAGCACATAGAATTAACAAGAAAGGAAATACCCATTCATTACATTGTTTATTATATTTGCAAATGACATTTATGAATATTTCTGCTACTTGGCTGTATATAGAACAACCTCCTTAACTGAGATTTAGCTGGGAGCGCACACATTTTCTGTATGGACAAATCCTGGATTGGCTTCGTTATTTGGTGGCCTGGCAACCTGTGGTGATAGGAATAGTTCAAGGCATTATCTATTCACTAGGGCTGGAATAGGACAGCAGACCCCAGAAGCAACATACTGCATGGTTGAAATCCTTGGTCCAACATTTAATATTAATTTTTTTAATTTTAGAGATGATCCCAAGTGTTTAGAAAACTAAGTAAACTTTGTTGTCAAGCAATTTGTCCATGTGGAAAGAATTTAAAGAGAAGCTGAACAATGGAATAAACAAATAAAGCATGTTTTTTCATCTTTCCCATTACAGCTGTTTCTTAACTCATGCACATGTCACATTTGTTACACTGCACTGTGGACATTCTACTTCCAGTTTGACTGATAACAATATCTGTAAAGTGTTTCAGAGGTTTGCAAAGTACTTCTCACACACAACATTTAGCCATAGCTAATACTTTCTCATCAGTTCAACATCTTTAAAGTAGGTGGAGTCGTTAAGTAATCTATGGTCAAGGACATTGTGCTTGTCTTCTGCTCCATGTGCTTGTTACCATGTGGCAGCTTCTGCACCACAGAGCTCTTCTGTAGAAAGTGGGTTACTCCCAAAGCCTCTGGCAGCAGGTGCCACACCTTCTCAATGGGCCACAGGTACTTTGGGTTTCCTGGAGCTGCCAAAAGTGCTCAAACCCATGCAACAGCTGTACTAAAGCAAGAAGAATCACTTTTCTTTTGTTCCACTCTGCGTGCGCGTGCACACATACACGTGCACAGTCATTCCATTGTGGCACTCTGCTTTTATTTTCTTCATAGTACTTCTCAATACCCGAAATCCTATCATAAATTTATTGTCTTCTCCTCCATGAAGACAAGGAATTTTATGTTTTGTTCCCTACCATATCCCCTGCACTTTGAGCACTGCCTAGCACATAAGAGGCACTCAAAAAATATTTGCTGAAAGAGTAAATTAATCTGGCAGAAGGGAACAAAATTAACTGAATAGAGAAGACCAGTCAGAAAGAATTAACCCATGAATGATATGTTGGACTCTCAAAATTAATTTGTTTTGAATTACTGGTCATTTTTAAAATAGTCAACACTGTATACATTTAACACCAGACATCTACTCTGCAATACTTGAAGCCATTACAATTGTATGAAGTAGAAAGGAAATACAATGATTATTTTCCTTGTTCAGATATTGGCACTATACTTAATGCTATTCAAAGGTCCATCATTAAGATAACTCACACTACAATTTCTTACTGTTGAGAACTTTCCTCTTTCAAACTGCCCAATGCTTCAGTATTATTGAAATAGGTCAGGGTCCATTGTCTCATTGTCTAAGGTGTTATTTGAACTTATTGTGTCATGACTGAGAAAATTAAGGAGCATGAATGCAAAGGGTGAGGTTGGAGCAAAAGTTTAGTAAGTGAAAGAAGAAAGCTCTCCACAGTGGAGAGGAGAGCCCAAGTGGGGTGCCATTTTACAGCTGAATGCAAAAGCTTTTATAAGAAACTCCTCTCATCTCTGTAGCTGTTTGAGTAACTTCTCTTATTTGAAAACCTGTCTGCACAACTCCACCTACCTATACAGCTGTGAGATGTCTCTAGGTAAGCACAAAGCATAGTTTTTTCTTGTTTGAGTAATTGTGGGTTTCTTTTAGGTAAACCCCCTCTGTTTCCAGTGCAATCTCCCATGGATCCCCCCGTGTTCATATCTGAAAAGGGGAGAAAACATTTTCCTGGGAGCCTGCTAATCACACAAAGAACAAAAGGCTTCTGTGCTGGACCTTGCCTGCTTATCTGTGCAGGTACAGTCTGAGTTTTCCCCAGGCTGCTCTATTTTTGCCTGTAGCTGTGATTTTCCAGGCAGACTGCTTCTCTGAAGACTAGCCTTAGCTGTCTACCGAACTGATTTTTCATTTTCTCCTCTCTCATTATGATTGATTCAGCATCCAGATTATAGAATTTTTAATTGCTTATTTCTCTACTCTGAAAACATCCCAATAATTCAATACTTACTATATAGTAGGCATGTTCAAGGGGTAGGGAGATAAAACAAGATTCTTGAGCTTATAGTCTATTGACAAATAAAAGACTTCACATTTGGATAAAGCACTAACAAAAAATTAGTTTTTCTCCTGTTAAACAAAAAAAAGAACCCTTAAACTGATCTCTAATTTAGTTCCCACTTATCTTTTATGTATAGCCACAATGGCAGCTTTCAGAACCATTTAGAACTCTCGGCAAATAAGCCAGTATTTATCTGAATGGGATTCACAATGACCCTCAGAGTTCAGGAATGTCAGATAATCACTAAACAGCCTCAGAAAAAAATGAAGATGCCATTTTCTTTATAAAATTTAAGTATTTACAATCTAATCCCAATTTTGTAAAGTAGTGTGTATATGTACACTGAAAAAAGATTGGAGAGTATTATGGCTAATACTAGGTGTCAACTTGATTGGATTGAAAGATGCCTGGATAGCTGGTAAAGTATAGTTTCTGGTGTGTATGTGAGGGTGTTGCCAGAGGAGATTAACATTTGAGTCAGTGGACTAGGAAAGGAAGATCCACCTTTAATGTGAATAGGCACCACAACACCTCAGGTGATCCTCCCACCTCAGCCTCCCAAAGTGCTGGGATTACAGGCATAAGCCACCACGTCCGTCCTAAAGATTATTTTTTAAATATTATTTTAAATCTATCAATTATCTATGAAGCTATTTCAGTTGCTATTTTAAGTTCTTGAAATTAAACATAGATCGAGTCAATGTTAAATCTACCTTGTTCTCATAATTAACATGGAAACAGAGAAGTAAAGCAGAAAGTCCATTACTGTATTTGGTGTCTGTGGAATCTCAAGTTTCCTTCCTCTAAACTTGTTTTTCGTTTGTTTTGTTTCATTTTGTTTTTTTGAGACAGTGTCTTCCTCTGTCACCCAGGCTGGAGTGCAGTGGTGCAATCACAGCTCACTGCAGCCTGGACCTCCCGGGCTCAGGTGATCCTCCCACCTCAGCATCCCGAGTAGCTAGGACCAGAGGCACATGCCACCATGCCCTGCTAATATTTTGTATTTTTTGGTAGAGACAGGGTTTTGCCATGTTTCCCAGGCTGGTCTCCAACTCCTGGACTCAAGCAATCCTCCTGCCTTAGCCTCCCAAAGTGCTGGGATTACACCAAGCCTGATTTTTTTTAAGGCTGGCTACCGTTTCCTCCATAACACTCTTCTGGGAGGTCGTGTGAAACAGCAGCAGCCCTATGCGAGTTCCCCAAGGACAAGCTTGTTCTGCAGTTAATGAGCATATATTTCTTTGTGGTATTTTTCTGCAAACAGCAGGATCCCTTATATCCCTGCTAGTATCCATAACAGAAAAATATCCACTTACAAGCCATAATATATAAGGGAATGAAATATCTTCTTGGAAAATAATAATAATAGCTAACATCTACTACAGACATCACCCTCACCCCACACACGAACCCATAGTGCCCATTCTCTTAGGCGTGGTACTCTTGCCCTCAACACCCCTCCAGAGAAAATGGGAATCAAGGAGCTTAGGCTCATGGTTTACTTACATTCCTACATTTCATACTCTCAGTATCTTAGGATATAGAGATCATCATCCCTATTTTAAAGACAGAAAAACTTTTTGGGTCATGTCAACTGACTTGCCAAAGATTACACATCTACTAACCCAGGTCTTTCTGACTCTAGTGCCCAATTAACCACATACACCCAGTTCTGGTTGAGAATTGAGCAGGGGTCAAAGGCTCACTTCCTTTCACATGGTTCCCAGCTTAAGAAAGTTACATAGAATCAGCAAATAGTGCTTACCAAAGAAAGTTGCATCAAAATTTAATGTGTGGTATTATTATACCTAGATTGCAAAATTAACATATGGTAGTAGTATCTACCTTTAAATTACTGTGTATCAAACTATTTTTGAGTCATTATGAGGAAACTCTAGGTATATATTTGCTTAAAAATCTATTTAGCTCACATGTACTTTTTAAAATATTCAGAAGGGGAAAAAGGGCAGGCTTTTTTAGAATTAAAAACAAGACTTTTCGAAGAAGGAAAAAGCAACAAGATGCAGGAGATATAGGCTAAAAAACAGGAACTGAGAGTCAGAGTGATTGGACAATAACTAGAACTCAAAAGGTAGTTAGAGGCTGAGGAAGACCAGAGTCCGGATGTGGGAAGTGTCTTTCAAATTCTCCTAAACTGAGTATTTATTTTGTTAAATTACAGAAATACATAATTTACTGTACCTTGCACTGTGTACTCACTCTCTCAAGTAACTATGGCTGGAGAAACCTATCTAATAGCCAGAAAGACAGATCCAGATCACATGAAAATACACCCTCTAGTATTTCTCATCCTGTAAAGTTTAATAGGAAATACACAGCACTTTTTTCTAGGAATAGCAACAAGTTTTGGGGAGTGCCCCAAATACTTTGCCTTGTTGCTCTTGAGATCAGCTGCACAGAGAAGTGACAGCTAGGTAGGACAGAGAATGCCTTTTGTGGCCACAGAGGAGTCTCTTAGCAGGAAGAAAGAATGACACAGTCATTGAGAATCTTAAGTTCATTTGTGCTGTTTCCTAATGAACTAAGCCAGTTGCTACAGATTACAGTTGGCCCTCTATATCCATGGGTTCTGCATCCATGAAGTCAACCAACTGTGGATCAAAAGTATGTTTTAAAAATTTTGAAAATAAAAAATAACAATAATAATATAAATAAAAAGACAGTACAACTATTTACATAGTATTTACATTGTATTGGGTATCATAAGTAATCTAGAGATGATTTAAAGTATACAGGAGAATGTACACAGGTTATATGCAAATACTATGCCACTCTTATAAGGGACTTGATCATCTATGAATTTTGATATCCACGAGGATCCTGCAACCAATTCCCTTGGATACCAAGGGACTATATTCAGATATCAGTAATAGACTTATGATCATGGTTATCTCATAGAAAAAAGAAAAACCAAAAACCAATTTTTAAATCTGGCATATGTTTATAAAACAGCACCCCAGACAAAATTTGAAGTTTTGTAGTTTTAGTAAGCAAGTCCTCAAATGACGGTACATCCACGTAGTTTTTATATAATTATGTCTGAATGAACTTAACTATAACTAGTGACATAAAGATCCCAACTAGACAAAGACTGGTCTTAAATATGGGAACCTAGGACTTTATCGCAGCTCTCAGATTTACCCAAAATCCTTCCCGCTGAGCCTCGTCCATGGGCCACTCCAGGTAGGTCTTGGTGTTCATTATCTTCCGCAGCTTGCAGAAGCGCTGGGGAATGGCTTTTTTCTCAATGGGCTCCAGAAGAATGAGAATGGCAGCATCATTGTTCTCATCAAAAAGACGGAAATGGGAGAAGTCCAGTTCATACTTGCACCACTCACTCTTCACAAAGTTTTCAGAAAGCACAAAGACAGTTTTGTGGCTCTTTTCAATGGAGTCAATGATATTGTCAATGATCCACTTGCCAGGAATGAAGTCCCGCTTATGAAGACACAACTTGAAGGGGGGATTGAAGTTCTCCAGCTCCTGGACCATAAGGTTCTCCACCCAGTAGGCATCCCGCTCACTGTAAGAAACAAATGCATCATAGCAGATGTTCCTGCTGGGAGCTTTCCTGGGCTTCCTTTTGGCCTGGAGCCAGGCCCACATCATTTTCATATACCACAGGCCATGGAAACGGTGGCACAGGACCCCCGTGAGCAGGATCAGCAGGAACAGAGCACAGCACATGCCAGACACCAGTGCTGTCCTGTGACATTCCGACACCGAGAGGCGGACATCCTGAACCTGCTGGCCACGCACATGGGATGGAGAGTCACACAGGTAATTTGCTGGCCAATCAATCAAGACTTTGGCCAGTGCTTGCTGCTCCTGAGTGAAGGAGAGGAATTCACAGGAGCAAATGAAGTTATTGCCACCAGCTTCCAAAGTCTTCAGTGTGTGAAATGAGTCAAGTTGCTCCTTAGAAAACGTAGTTATTGCATTCCTACTGATTTTCAATACTAGTAACATGGGTAAGAGGGAGGCATCTGGTAGAGTCATCAACTTATTTCTGGAAATATAAAGTTCTTTGAGTTGCGGCAAATTCAAAGAAAATAAATTGAGATTGTTGTTGCTAACATCTAAAATTTCCAGTGTCTTGGGAATGCAGCCTGTTACACTGTGTATTCGTGTGCTGGATAAGTTCAAATATTTCATCTTTTCTGGCCACTGACAAGTTTCAGGCATAGAATGAAAACTATTCTTACTGATATCAATGTTAGTCAAGTTTTTCAGAGTGAGCAAAGTCTCTCCGGTTTTTTCCAATGATGCCAAATGATTTTGCCTTAAAATTAAAGTTTGTAGAGAGGGCCAGGCATCCTCACAGGCTGAATTTTTCAAGTATTCTTCAACCATCAAATTTTCACTGAGATCCAAGTATTCTAATGATTTTAAATGTTGTGAAAGTAAACAAGGAACCAGAAAAACTTTACTGTTTTCTACTGTGATTCTTTTAACTCTTTCTGTAAGTGAATATAAAGTGCTCAGATCATAAAATAAGTAAAACCTTGGAATATGCAGCCTCCGGATTGTTAACGTTTCCACTTTACCTGGATCTATAACTCTGTCATTATCAGATGCTCTAAAATTACCAACTCCATTAAGGGTACAGTCATCAAACTCTAATTCTAACAATCCAGAAATCTGATTCAAAAGTTTCATAACCTGAAACAAACTTTCATCGGTGATTTTCACATTTCTAAATGTAAACTTTTTAATCAATGAATTTGTTTCACCAGTGGATAGTTCTGAAAAATGGAAAGTGTCCAAATCAGTATCTCGCAGTTCCAAACATTCCACGGAACTTGTAACATCTACAAAAATCTCCAGCAGTAAAATATGCTGCTTCATATGAAGGATCAGATGACTTACATTCTGAATTGACTTCAAACTTTTTGGCTCATAGCTCTGTAGATCTGAAGCATCAATCTCAAGTTCCTCAAGGAAGGTAAGTCCAGCAAAATCTTTTCTTTGAATCTTAGTGAAGGTGTCCATATTTCCCACTCTCAGGATTTGCAATTTTGTGAGATGAGAAAAAAGAGATGTTTCCCCTAGGGTTTTGTAAGGATTTCCCAGTAAGTTTAAGAATGTTAAAGAAGAAAGGGGCTTGAACCAGGAAGACGATAAATTAGATAAGTAATTATAGGATAAGTCTAAATGTTCAAGACTGCCCAGGGAAGAAAAAGAATCTTCCTCTATTGTGTTAATTCCATTGGATGTCAGCACCAGAGCCTGGAGGTTCACACACCTCTGTAGGTCACTGTTGCTAATGTAGGTGATCCTGTTGTTGGACAGGTCAAGGCTTTTTACAGCTTCTGTGAGCCCTGAGGGAATGGAGTTTAAAGATCCTGAGCTGCCCTTGCAGATACCATTGCGGTCACAAGACAGAGAAGCCTGATTGGAGGATTCTTCCTTGGAGAGGCTGATGATGACCCCCAAGACCCACACCATCCACAAAGTATGTGGCATTGTCCAGTGCTTCAACCTACAAATAAAAGAGGTTCAAATAAGTCATTGTGTTTGACAGCATATCGTAATTCTAATTCTTGAGAAATGTTTTCTAGGCATAACACACACACACACACACACACACACACACACACACACACACACAAAGAGAGAGAGAGAGAGAAACAGATGAATGGAACGAATGAATGGGGATAAAAAAATGAATTCCCTGATACATTCAGCAATGCTAACACAGACATACAACCACTATGCAGTACTTAAAAGCACAACCATCCGGAATTACAGAGCAAGACTCAATAACATGGATTGGAAGAGTGAGTAAATCAATGAATGGAGGAATGAGCAATCAAGCCTTTTAAGAAATGGGCTAAGCTTAACCATATGGATTTACAATCACCTTTTTCTGCACTTCAAACTTTCTTAACATTTAAGCATTTCTTTTCTCCGCTTCAGTGGCCGCCTTGATTCATAGAGATCTCACAGAACCAAACTATAGTTCTCATTCACTGAATGAAACTCCAGGAGTAGCATGCTTTGGGACCAAAAGAAAAAAGTTCCATGTTCATCAACCTGCCTCACACCTATCACTAGCAGGCAGGAGGGGTGTTGGAAACTCGAGGCAGACCAAGGTGGTTTGCTGAGTTGAAGGAGACTCACACCATCAGAACCCTGTCTTCCTGCCTAGAAGTAAATGCAAAAAGCAGTGTTTAAGTCTGGATGGGCTGTTCAGATTAATGTGGGGGAAATAAAACTATCTGCACCACAACTGCTAGTTTACTTGTAACCATAAACCCAACAACTTTCTCTTTGCCTACCTTCTGGGCCCTATATCATTCTTTGGTCTATTCAGCTACCTCATTTCTTGCATCTGTATGCCTTTGTCTGTATTTTCTCAGTGTGCTAACTATACAAAAATTTTTTTAAAAAATTTATCCCCAAGAACAAAACTTTTTATGAGTAAAACTAATTCCCCACATTCACAGAATCTGAGAGACTATAAAGGCCTGAGCTGTACAATTTATGGCCACAAAGAATTAAAACACAAACATGCTTGGTTTGGGAATTTAAATGCTGTTGAAGCCAGAATTTTTGTGTTCGCACCAAAACCACTGCTTCGCATTCCCTCTTTTTTTTTTTAAATAAATGGGTCATACCATGCATATTTATTCTGGATTTTCTTTTTTTTTTCCTTAGCTTTATTAAGGTATAATTGGTATACAAAGAAACTGTACATAATCAATGAACACAATTTGTATACATTATGTATACACACATATGTATACACTCATGGTATCATCACCGCAATCCAGGAAGTAAACATATTCATCATCTCCAAAAGCTTCTGCCACTCTGCGGTTGCCTTTTCACTTTCATAATGGAATCTTTTTGTCTTAGTCCATTAGTGCTTCTGTAACAAAATACCAGAGACCAAGTAATTTATAAAGAACAGAAATGTATTTATTATAGCTCTGGAGGCTGGGAAGTCTAAGATCAAGGCATGTGCACTGTTGTCTGGTGAGGGCTTCTCTCTCCTTCCAAGATGGTGCCTTGTTGCTGTGTCCTCACATGGGAGAACGCAAGAGGGCAAGGGGGCACTACATTCCATCTCAAGGCCTTTTATAAGGATGCTAATCCCATACCTGAGGAAAGACCCCTCATGACTTAGTCACTTCCCACAGGTCACACCTCTTAATACTTAGTTTTAGGATTAGTACTGTTACAATGGGGATTAAGTTTCAATATGAATTTTGGAGGAGACACTGCTATTCAAACTATAGTACTTTTGATGAACAGATGTTCTTATATTTTATATATTTTAATAGTGAGTTTTCTAGCCTATTTTTAAAATATTTCCTGTATTTTCATAAAGATATTCTCTTTGTTATTTTCTAAAATCTTTATTGCTTTGCCTTTCACTTTTAGATCTATAATCTACCTGGGGTTGATATTTGAGGTAGCAGAAGGATTCACTTTTTTCCCATATGGATGTTCAATTAACTTGTTTTTTACAGATCATCTTGAGGAAATAATCAACAATATTTTTTTGTTAATAGGGACATGCCCATATAGGGGTAGATCTTGTTTCAGTGCTATTCTGATCCAATGTTCATTTGTCTATCCCTATACCAGCAACACACTATATTAAATGTATAATATATCTCAATATCTAGGTGATAGATGTATTTCAAATGTGTATCTCAATATATAGGAGATATACACTTAATAGAGTTCCTTATTCTTCTTCAAATACGTTCTTCTTCCTCCTTGTTCTTCTTCAAATGTGTCTTGGTTATTCTTGCCCCTTTGAATATTATTATAAATGGCAGAATCAGCTTGTCAGTTTCAAAAAAACAAAGTCCACTGAGATTTTAACTGGCAATGTTTTGAATCTATAGAACAATTTGGGAACTATTCATATCATTACAGTATTGAATCTTCCAATCCATGAGCATGACAGATCTCTCCATTTATTTAGGTCTTCTTTAACTTATCACAATAGTATTTTATGGTTTTTGCTTAAAGTTCTTAAGCATATTTTGTGAGATTTATTTCTATTCGATACTTTAAAAACATTTAAAATAGTTTTACATATTTATATATGTGATATGATTTGGATGTTTGTCCTCTCCAAATCTCATGTTGAAATGTGATCCCCAGTGTTGAAGGTAGGACCTGGTGGAAAGCGTTTGGGTCATGAAGGTATACCCCTCATGAATGGCTTGGTGTGCTCTTCATGGTAATAAGTTAGTTTTCACTCTGTTCACAGGATTTCAGGTTATTTAAAAAGAGTCTGGGACCTCCCCCTTCACTCTTGCTCCCTCCCTCTCACTCCCTCTCTCACTATATGACATGCCTGCTCCCCCTTCTTCCACCATGAGTAAAGGCTTCCTAAGGTCAAACAGATGCTAGTGCCATGCTTGTACAGCCTGCAGAACCATGAGCCAAATAAGCCTCTTTTCTTTATAAATTACCCAGCTTCAGGTATTCCCTTATAGCAATGCAAAACAATCTAACACAATATGGCATATACATATATGTAGAAATTCAATTAAATTTTGTATACTGACCATGCATTGAGCAACCTTGCTAAATTAACTTAGTAATTCTAATAGTTTGTGGATTCTTCTCATTTTCTGTATCCCCAATCATCCTCAAGACATAATGATGGTTTTCTTCTTGCCAACTTTTATACCTTTATTTCATTTTCTTTATAACAGATTCCTTTATGCAAGTGCAGTAGGATGTATTAGCTATTATACACAGTGTCCCCTATCACACCCCCTGCCCCACTACAAACCAACAGATAGTTCAAGGCAATCCTGTTATTTAAAGAAACTTTAGCAAGAGAATTTAGAGAACTTCACTGGGCAACTATATAGCCTTTGCAGTAGAGTGAGCTGTAGTAGCTAATGTTTGAAGGGGATTTCTAATCATAACCTCATTTACATTTATTCCAAGCCAGGGAAGGAGCATTTGAACAAAAGATGCCCATTTAGAGGGATTCGTACCTGCTAGAAAGTTCCTTTTTATACCATAGTGCAAATTAAGAGGTATAGAACAATGTCAAATTTTCAGTTGGTTATGGAGTGACAGTGGTACTGTTAGAATCCCTAATCCACACTGACTTCTTATTTCCTACTGACTGGGACATGGAGTTGCCTGTGCCTATGATTGATAGTTAAATCCTTCATAGATAAAAATATATGCTAGAGGGGCACAAGAGACAGTTCCCTGTGGGACACTGTGTGCTACAGGGGTCATCAACGGGGAAGCAATAGTAGTATTTATCTAAGGCTCCACTATTAATTATCATCAATGGAGGCTACCAACAATTAGAGAATTAGGGTTATGAATTCGTCTACAAACTGTCTAATTATCTCTCCTTTTGGTTTTATTATTCAGTTTCTGGAATAATTTAACTGTAAAGCCTCTCCTATATGTTTTGTCTACTGTTAGCTTTAAACATGAAATCTGAATATGTGACTCAAAAAGCCTAACCCTATAGAAAGACCAGATGTGCAATTTGAACAGGTAGTCACACTTGGAATATCAGTGAAATCTGCTATAGGGTGAATTAGAAGATCTTTAAAAGCATATTAGTATTTGGTTCAACATGACATATCCAGCATTTACTTAAGTTTCCTGCAGATTCCCAATGAGGCAACTGAATGCAATCCATCTGTAAATGTTCAAATAGTCCAGTGGATGGTGGAAATGTACCAACTGAGGTTTTTATTATCTTATAAAAATTGTGGATTTGACAAACCAAACATTGATTATAAGCCATTTTAGCAATTTTAGAACAGTCATAACACCAATATTTTTTCATAATTTCACGTTATCTATTCTGTGATGAGTCATAGAGTGCAGAACTTTTAATAATGGCAGCTATATGGACTCAGAAAGGACCAGATAGCTGTCTGATCCATGAGGCCACATTTAACACTAAATTTATATCATTTTAAATATCAGTTTTGTTTCTCCAATTCAGGTGCATGATGCTGTTCATTTAAATAGGTTATCATAGATAATTTGATTCAGATGAATATTATAGTGTTCTTTCAAATTGCATATCTTAACAATTTCAGTACTGGCTGACTTAGCATGAAAATCTGCCAAAGCATTTCCCTGGTATTCAATTAATTCTTATTCTGCTTCATGTTGGGTTGGCAGTTTTATGAACCAATCCACTTCTTTGCTAGAGTTCTGGAAATTCTTACCCAGTCCAGTAGTATGATCTTAAAGTTATCAGAAACCTGTACTTATCAGAGTCCTTTCCACGAATCTTTTAAAAGAACACTTTACGATTTTTGTTTGGTTGTTTGTCTTATAGGTCCACACCCTTTATATAATTGTTTTTCACAGTGTTCCGGAAAGTACCAGAGTAAAACAAGTGACTCTTTGTAGATGACAAAGCTTAAAATGGACTTGGTTAAAGATATGATGAGAGTTCACAATAATGCAATTGATAAGGAAATTGTATTACTTCTGCAACACATAATATTTCACGATAATTAGAATTTTGGCTGATAGTATTATACCACGACTATCTGGTTTCTAAGAATTTCATATAATTTCTGAAGCACATATTAATAACATACCCATACAATATGACTTAAAGAAAGTTCAGCATCACTTATAATTTAACAATTCTTCCCATGCAATATAACATATCAAATAAGCCCAATTAGTTTAATATCTCTCTTTTTTATCAGGAGAGAAAACAATTTCTTTTGAGATATTCCAGAAGCCCATCTAGAAGCTTCCAAAGTTTGTTCAACGTCAAAAGGTTTTAATTTAGAATTTGATTTTGAGAAGTCAAAAATATCAAAAGGTTTAAAATATCTGATTAAAATAGGATCACAGGTCCCTATGAAACAATATTTATTCATTTAACTAGAGTGATTGGTAAAAGACTTCAAAGGCAAATAAAGAAAGCCACATAATTGTAGAAACTCTTTCTCTTTTAATAAGGTGAACTCAGGTCTCTGAGGCAGTCAAAGATCTAATAAAGACAACATGAAGCACAATAAATTATCTCAATAAAACACAGAATCTTCATTTCCTAGGCCAATTACTTAGCAGGTAAAGAAAAGTCTTTCAATTTCTTATTAAGAGCAGACCAATACTCCAAGAAAACCTTGTTGTTTTAACATAGAGGACAAATTTCTAGTTCTGTGTCAGTATGTTTTTGATATTCATGCTCAATTTTTTTAAAAAAAAACTTAGAATTTTCTTCAAATCTTAGTTTGATCACATATAAAATTCCCTTTCCAGGATTCCTATCCCACAACCTTCTACAACTTTCTTATATCCATTCAGTTTTTCTTCTATACTCTTTCTCTTTCTCATTGTCTTAACAACCAGGCATTCTACTTTAGGACAAATATTATTTTATTTTTTCCTTAACAAAACAAAACATCCCCTCATACTTTATAGCTGTTCTTACCCAAAACACATCTTACCTTCTTTTCCGAGTTGTTTCCCTTATTATTTCTGGTAATTCTAGTACCACATATTAATTAGAATTCCTTTTTTTTTTTGTAGATGGGCTCATGCTACATTGCCCCAGCTGGTCTCAAACTCCTGGCATTAAGCAATCATCCTGCCTCAGCTTCCCACAGTGCTGGGATTACTTTACCCTTAGTAATTTAATTTCCAGTGAAAACTATAAAGCAAACAATTGTGAACTGTCACACCAGCATTCTGTACATTGACATATCTATGAACTGTAATTACTAGAAGCATGTGCCTTCTCATGGTATAATTTTTCAATGTGACAGAAAACACATTTGGTAATGGACCTAACTATCTTTAGTCTCTCTGTAATAAGCAAATTCAGTGAAATTGTAGTATACAAAATCAACATACAAAAATCAGTAGCATTTGTATATGCCAACAGTGAACAATCTGAAAAAGAAATCAAGATAGTAATCTCGTCTACAACAGCTACAAATAAAATACCCAGGAATAAACTTAATCAAAGGAGTAAAAGATCTCTACAATGAAAACTATAAACACTGATGAAAGAAACACTATAAACACTGATGCAAGAAATTAAAGAGGACACCAAAAAATGGAAAGATATTCCATGTTCATGGATTGGAAAAATCAATATTGTTAAAATATCCTTACTACCCAAAGCAATCTATAGATTTAATGCAGTTCCTATCAAAATACCAATGACATTCTTCACAGAAATATGTTAATAAAATATAATCCTAAAATTTACATGAAACCACAAAAGACCCAGAATAGCCAGAGCTATTCTGAGCAAAAAGAACAAAACTGGAGGAATCACATTATCTGACTTAAAATTATACTACAGAGCTATAGTAACTAAAACAGAATGGTACTGGCATAAAAACAGACACACAGAACAACAGAACAGAATAGAGAACCCAGAAACAAATCCACACATCTACAGTGAATTCATTTTCAATAAAAGTGTCAAGAACATACATTGCAGAAAGGACAGTCTCTTCAACAAATGGTACTGGGAAAAGTAGATATCCATATGCGGAAGAAACTAGACCCCTATATCTTGCCATATACAAAAATAAAAACAAAATAGATTAAAGACTTAAATCTAAGACATCAAACTATGAAACTATTAAAAGAAAACATTAAGAAAACTCTCCATGACATTGGTCTGGGCAAAGATTTCTTAAGTCATACCCCACAAGCATAGGCAACCAAAGCAAAAATGAGCAAAAGGGATCACATCAAGTTAAAAAGTTTCTGCATAGCAAATTAAATAATCAACAAAGTGCAGAGGCAATACACAGAATGGGAGAAAATATTCACAAACTATCCATTTGAAAGGGGATTAATAACCAGAATATATAAGGAGATCAAATAACTCAATAGGAAAAAAATCTAATAATCCAATTTTTTAAATGGGCAAAAGATCTAAATAGACATTTCTCAAAAGAAGGCACATGAATGGCAAACAGATATATAAAAAGGTGCTCAACATCAATGATCATCAGAGAAATGCTAATCAAAACTACAATGAGATATCATTTCACCCCAGTTAAAATGGCTTTTATCCAAAAGACAGGCAATAAAAATGCTGCAAGGATGTGGAGAAAACAGAACCCTGTACACTGTTGTTGGTTGGGAATGTAAATTAGTACAACCACTATGGAGAACAATTTGGAGGTTCCTCAAAAGACTAACAGTAGAGCTACCACACAATCCAGCAATCCCACTGCTAGGTATATACCCAAAATAAAGGAAATCAATATATCAAGGAGATATCTGCACGCCCATGTTTAGTGCTGCACTATTCACAGTAGCCAAGATCTAGAAGCAATCCAAGTGTCCACCTACACATGAATGGATAAAGAAAATGTGGTATATATATACAATGGGGTACTATTCAGCCATAAGAAAGAATGAAATTCTGTCATATAACAACATGGATGGAACTGGAGGATATTATGTTAAGTGAAATAAGGCACAGAAAGACAAACATCCCATGTTCTCGCTTATTTGTGGGAGCTACAAATTAAAACAATTGAACTCATGGAGATAAGAGAGTAGAATGATGGTTAACAGAGGCTGGGAAGTGTAGTTGGAGGAGCAGGGGGACTGGGATGGTTAATGGGTACACAAATATACTTAGATAAAATGAATAAGATTTATTCTTTGATAGCAAAACAGGGTGACCACAGTCAACATTATTGTACATTTTATGATAAAAGGTTTAATTGGATTGTTTATAACACAAAGAAAGGATAAATGCTTGAGGTAATGGATACCCCTTTTACCGTGATGTTATTATTATCCATTGTATGCCTGTATCAAAATATCTCAAGTGCCCCATAAATATATACATCTACTATGTATCCACAAATATTAAAAATAAAAATACAAAAGTAAAACATACACAGGATTCTCTTAGTTTGTCTAGCTATTGTAGCTTTAAAAAATATGTGCCTGTTTGCCTTAAGCAGCTTTTCTTCTTTGTCCACTGTTGGGAACAGGCCCTCAAATCTGGCCATAAACTGGCCCCAGATCTTGCCATAAACAAAATCTCTGCAGCACTGTGACATGTTTGTGATGGCCATGACGCCCACACTGAAGGTTGTGGGTTTACTGGAATGAGGGCAAGGAACACCTGGTCCACCCAAGATGGAAAACCACTTAAGGCATTCCTAAGCCACAAACAATAGCATGAGCGATCTGTGCCTTAAGGACGTGTTCCTGCTGCAGATATCTAGCCAGAGCCCATCGCTTTGTTTTGGCCCATCCCTTTGTTTCCTGTAAGGAATACTTTTAGTTAATCTATAATCTACAGAAATAATGCTTATCACCGGCTTGCTGTCAATAAATACGTGGGTAAATCTCTGTTCAGGGCTCTCAGCTCTGAAGGCTGTGAATCCCCTGATTTCCCACTCCACACTCTATGTTTCTGTGTGTGTGTCTTTAATTCCTCTAGCACTGCTGGGTTAGGGTCTCCACGACCGAGCTGGTCTCGGCAAGTGGCGCCCAACGTGGGGACTCAAACCCAGGATGAAGGCTCGCTGGAGCAATGGTTGGAAAACGTGGAACAAAGCTGGAGGATACCCGAGTACTCTTAAGCAATCCCCATGGTGAGTAAGAAGGGGAGCTCGGAAGCATCAGGGTAACAATGGGCAAGTGTGGGCTCTAGCTCATTCCACCTTGGAACCTTTTCACACTAAAGATGAGGAGGAAGGAAAGTATAATGAAGTAACAGAAGAGGTGACAGAGCAGGTTTGTTTGCCAGCTAAAGCTAAAGTGGCAAAGGAGGGAGAGGTTTGTCCCTACCCTTCTGCACCCCCTCATTATTTCGAAGCAAAAGAGTAGCCTGATCCTCCAGATCTTTCTTTTCCAGAGGACACTGGGCAAAAAGTAGTCGCCCCAGTGACTGAGCAGCACCTCGAGCGACCACTCTCAGTTCTATTCAGCCAGGAATTCAGCAAGTTAGAAGAGAGGGTGATATAGAGGCTTAGCAGTTCCCTGTTAGAATATACCCCGTAGATCAACAGGGAAATATTATAGCTACATTTGAGCCTTTTCCTTTTAAATTACTCAAAGAATTTAAACAAGCTATTAATCCATATGGAACAGGTTCTCCTTTTGTAATGGGACTGTTAAAGAAGGTTGCTGTCTCCAGTCAGATGATGCCAGCGGGGATGGTAGGATTACTTCTAGGTAGGTCTAGTTTAAATTTAAAAGGCGTGCAAGTACAAACAGGAGTCATTGATTCAGATTACAAAGGGGAAATTCAAATTGTTATATCTACTTCTGTTCCCTGGAAAGCAGAGCCAGGAGAGCATATAGCACAGCTCCTGATTATGCCATATGTGGAAATGGGGAAAAGTGAAATTAAATGAACAGGAAGATTTGGAAGCACAAATAAACAAGGCAAAGCAGCTTATTGGGTGAATCAAATTACTGATAAACATCCTACTGGTGAAATAACTATTCAGGGAAAGAAATTTAAAAGTTTGGTAGATACAGGAGCGGACATTTCAATCATTTCTGTACAGCACTGGCCATCTGCATGGTCAATTCAACCTGCTCAATTTAACATAGTTGGAGTTGGTAAAGCCCTTAAAGTATATCAAAGTAGTTATATTTTGCATTGTGAAGGGCCCAATGGACAACCTGGGACTATACAAAAAATTATAACTTCTGTACCTATAAATTTATAGGGAAGAGATTTATTACAACAATGGGGATCACAAGTTCTAATTCCAGAATAATTATACAGCCCTCAAAGTCAACATATGATGCATGAAATGGGGTATGTCCCTGGTATGGGACTAGGAAAAAATTTGCAAGCTTTGAAGGAAATGCTTCAAGCGGAAAGACAAAGTTCCCACCAAGGTTTAGGATATCATTTTTGATGGTGGCCATTGTTAAGCCTCCAGAACCTATATACCTTTAAAATGGTTAACAGATAAGCCAATTTGGATAGCACAATGGCTGCTGAGTAAAGAGAAACTGGAGGCTTTAGAGGACTTAGTTGCTGAACAATTAGAAAAAGGACACATAGCTCAACATTTTCCCCTTGGAATTCTCCAGTTTTTGTAATTAAGAAAAAATCAGGTAAATGCAGAATGTTAACTGACTTAAGAGCCATTAATTCAGTTATACAACCTATGGGGACATTGCAGCCGGGACTGCCTTCTTCTGCTATGATTCCAAAAAATTGGCCTTTAATAGTCATAAATTTAAAAGACTGTTTCTTTACTATCCCCTTAGCTGAGCAAGGCTGTGAACTGTTTGCATTTACAATTCCTGCAGTAAAAAACCTGCAGCATACTAAAGCATTTGTATTGGAAAGTGTTGCTACAAGGCATGTGAAACAGTTCAAAAATTTGCCAGACTTATGAAGGGCAAGCAATTGAACCTACTCGTAAAAAATTTTCACAGTGTTACATTATTCATTATATGGATAATATACTTTGTGCTGCCCCCACTCAAGAAATATTACTCCAATGTTATGATCACTTGCAAAACTCGATTTCTCATGCCAGTTTAATTATATAGCTCCTGACAAAATTCAGACTACTACTCCTTACTCCTACTTGGGGACCTTAGTAAATGACACTACCATTGTGCCACAGAAAGTAACTATACGTAGGGATCAATTGAAAACATTAAATGACTTTCAAAAATTACTAGGGGACATTAATCGGATATGACCTGCTCTAGGCATTCCCACCTATGCCCTGAGTAATCTATTTTCTATCCTTAGAGGAGATCCTAGTCTCATTAGCCCTCAGCAATTAACAAAAGAAGCTGAGGCAGAGCTGCAGCTAATCAAAAAGCAAATCCATAAATCTCAAATAAATAGAATAGATCCAAAAAAGACCCTAGATTTGCTAATTTTTCCAACTCAGCATTCACTTACTGGTGTTATTGTATAAGAGCAAGACTTTGTACAGTGGCTTTTTCTTCCACATACTAATTCACAGACTCTAACTCCTTATTTGGATCAAATGGCTACGATGATAAGAAATGGGAGAATTCGGATTGTTAAATTACATGGATATGATCCTGGAAAAATTATTGTCCCTCTCACAAAGGCACAAATACAGCAAGCTTCTATAAATAGTCTTACTTGGCAAACCCATTTAGCTGACTTTGTGGGTATTCTTGATAATCATTTTCCTAAAATGAAATTATTTCAATTTTTGAAATTAACTAATTGGATTCTCCCCAAAATAACTAAATTTAAACCAACTGAAGGTGCTGAGAATGTTTTTACAGATGGGTCTTGTAATGGTAAAGCCTCTTATTCTGGATCAAAAGGTAAAGTTTTTCACACGCCCTATACTTCAGCTCAAAAAGTGGAGCTTTAGCTGTAATTGAGGTATTGACTGCTTTTGATATGCCTATTAATGTGATTTCTGATTCTTCCTATGTGGTTCATTCCATACAATTAATTGAAAATGCTCAGTTATGACTTCATACAGATGAACAACTGATGACTTTATTTACCCAATTGCAAACAGCATTTAGGAGTAGAATGCACCCTTTTTACATCACTCACATTAGGGCTCATACACCTCTTCCAGGACCTTTAACTGAAGGGAATCAAATGGCTGATCGCCTAGTTGCTACTGCAATATCTAATGCTAGACACTTTCACAATTTAACCCATGTTAATGCCTCTGGTCTCAAATGCAGATATAACAGTACCTGGAAAGAAGCTAAAGCTATTATCCAGTGATGCCCAACTTGCCAAATGGTGCATTCCTCATCTTTAACAGGAGGAGTTAATCCTCGAGGATTGGAACCTAATTATCTTTAGCAAATGGATGTCACACGTTCCCTCGTTTGGGAGACTAGCTTATGTACATGTATGTGTGGACACCTTTTCTCACTTTGTCTGGGCTACATGCCAATCAGGAGACTGCATGTGTTAAGCATCACCTTTTGCAGTGTTTTGTGGTGATAGGAATTCCAACTTCTGTTAAAACAGATAATGCCCCAGGCTATACTAGCCAAGCTCTAGCTACATTTTTCTCTATATGGAATATTAAACACATTACTGGCATCCCATATAATTCTCAAGGACAAACCATTGTAGAAAGAATGAATCTCTCCCTGAAACAGCAGTTGCAAAAGCAAAAAGGGGAAACAGGGATTACAGGACACCCCATATACAACTGAATCTAGCATTAATGACTTTAAATTTTTTGAGCCTGCCTAAAGGCCAGATGCTATCAGCAGCTGAAGAGCATCTACAGAAACCAGCTGCAAAAACAGAAGCAGAACAACTGGCTTGGTGCAGAGATCTGACAACAAAAAGTTGGGAAATAGGTAAAATAATAACTTGGGGTAGAGGTTATGCTTGTGTTTCTCCAGGCCAGAATCAATAGCTGATTTGGATACCATCAAGACACCTGAAACCTTATCATGAGCCAGATGCCAAGGAAGAGATTCTGGGAGGATCCCGAGGACCCTCTGGTTGCAGCCATGTCGAGACTGATGCTGAGGAGGACCCAAACTATCACGAGCAACAACCATCAAACACAGCCATCTACCTGGGGACAGATCAAGAAACTGCCATAGAGGGTGGAAGAAAACCTGAGGAAAGTGGGACAACCAGTCACAATGAGTAATTTAATGATAGCTATGATAGCAGTGATCACCATTGCCATTAGTATTCCTTCAACAAGGGCTAACACAGAGAACAATTATACTTATTGGGCATATTTATCAATCTTGGCTGGCAATAATGCCTGGATGTAATCATTCTATGACACAGTTACACATGCTTTCTGATCTCAGTATTTACCATAATAAATCTGTTTCTATAATTGAGGCATATTGCCCTCAAAAACCTATTTGTAAACAGAATTGGACCTGGCCAGAAATAATGAACATACTTGTTTGGGAAGATTGCATTGCAGAATAGGCAGAGGTGCTGCGCAGTGATTCCTATGGAATCATTATTGATTGGTCCCCTAAGGGGATGTTTAGCTTAAATTGCACCTCTCAGTCTGCGTGCCATGGCCACACTATGTTTAGCTGGTCTAAACAAAATGGTCAGATGGTAGAAATAGCAAGAAATATGGCAAGAGTTCCTATTATCTGGAAACATGATGGTATAGTGGCACCTCACCCTCAAATGATATGGCCCGCTGTAGGAGCTAAACATAAGGATTTGTGGAAACTATTAATGGCTCTTAAATAAGACCAAATTCAGGAAAGAATAAAAAAGCACCTAGAAGACACTCTACAAACTTGTCTTTCCATATTGCAATATTAAAAGAACAAATATTTAAAGCATTCCAGGCACACCAGACCTTAATGCCAGGAACTGGAGTGCTTGAAGGAGCTGCAGACAGATTAGCAGTGATTAACCCATTAAAATAGATAAAGACACTTGGAAGCTCTGTGATTTCAATGATGGTTGTGCTTTTAATCTGTGTTGTTTGTCTTTGTATAGTATGCATATGCGAATCCCGACTCCTGCAAGAAGTAGCTCACTGTGACAAAGCTGCCTTTGCTTTTATTGCTTTGCAAAACAAAAAAGGGGGACATGTGGGAACAGGCTCCCAAACCTGGCCATAAACTAGCCCCAGATTTGGCCATAAACAAAATCTCTGCAGCACTGTGACATGTTTGTGACAGCCATGACGCCCACGCTGAAGGTTGTGGGTTTACTGGAATGAGGGCAAGGAACACCTGGCCCACCCAGGGCAGAAAACCGCTTAACGTGTTCCTAAGCCACAACAATAGCATGAGCAATCTGTGCCTTAAGGACGTGTTCCTGCTGCAGACATCTAGCCAGAGCCTATCCCTTTGTTTCGGCCCATCCCTTTGTTTCCTGTAAGGAATACTTTTAGTTAATCTATAATCTATAGCGATAATGCTTATCACTGGCTTGCTGTCAGTAAATATGTGGGTAAATCTCTGTTAGGGGCTCTCAGCTCTGAAGGCTGTGAGTCCCCTGATTTCCCACTCCACACTCTACATTTCTGTGTGTGTGTCTTTGATTCCTCTAGCGCTGCTGGGTTAGGGTCTCCACGACCGAGCTGGTCTCAGCAGTCCATTGTAATTCTAAGTTACCTTTAGTAAGGCTCACACATTTCTCTAGAAAAGCACAGGTTCTTGGTCCATAATTCTTATAAATGAAATCGGCTGGAGTTGCAGATGGAGTTGTAGACTCCTTAAATCCAGATAAGCCCAGGATTCCCTGTCTTCTAGTAACCTTATCTACTTGAGGCCTCCTAGAGCACCAGTCCAGTTTCAGTTTCTTCACTGAATCCAATCCAATTCTGGAGCCAATCCATCAAAGAATTGCTCAAATAAAGTCAGAGAGCTGAAAATGCAAATGTATAGTGCTCAAGTCTGAGCAGGAACTTACCCACAACTACCAGTTGAAAGCAGTGAAAGAGCAATGGGCACAATGAGCCCCACAGGTACCTTCACTTGGTCACTAAGAGCTCCTGGGAGTCACTATAGGTCTCCTTTGGATCCTGCTTGCAACACCAAACACTGTTAAAAGAGAAACTTCAGACAAATTAAATTTGACAGAGTTTATTTTAGCAAAGAATGATTCATGAATCAGGCAGCACTCAGATTCACAAAAGTTTCAGAGAGCATCCAACAGTGTGAGCAGTGAGCTTTTATAGGCCAAACACAAGAGCATAGTAATCACCTGATTGGCTTCAGCTAGGAGTCTGCCTTATTTGGGTATGGTGTAATAGGCATTTACCTTGTTTGGGCATAGTCTGATCAGTTGGCTGCCTGTGATTGGCTAAAGCTTGGCTATTTATGATTTGGTGGAAATTTAGCTATTAATTACAAAAAAAAAGCTCCTAAGTTAGGTTTCAGTTTGTTTATGTAGTATACTAAATTAGGTTGCAGTTTATTATGTAAGAACTCAAAGTGTAGAGACAGTCTCAGGATAATGGCCTCCTGCTTATGTCATTTAACAAAAGAGAGGTCCTCAATTTTATTCCTTAGATGAGTTATTTGTACCAGCTTTTATTGTCTTGCCAGAGGTTCATCATTTTTATTAGCATTTTCAAAAAATCAACTTCTGACTTGATAGATCCCCTATTTTCTAGCACATTAATTTCTATTCTTATATTATTATTTCCCCTGTTCTGATTTCTCTGGATTTATTTTACTATTCCTTTTCCAGTTTTTAAGGTATTTGCTTGCTCATTCATTTTTCGTCACTCTTCATTTCTAATATATGCACTTAAGGTTGTAAGTTTCCTTTAAGCAACAGTTTAGGTGCATCTGACAAGTTTTTATATGTAATTTTTTTCATAAGTCATTAAAAATATTTTCTGATTTTCATTCTGATTATTTTTTGACCCATGGGTTATTTAGAAATTTACTAATTTCCAAATATATGAGAATTTTCTATAAGTTTTTCTGTTCTTTTCTACTTTAATTGCATTATGGTCAGAAGACATATTCTGTATGATTTAAATTCTTTAAAATGTATTGCAATTTACTCTATGAGCCAGTATATGGTCAGATTTTAAGTATGCTCTGTGATTTCAGCTGCTGTTGGAAGTAGTATAGGTTCCTTATGTGAACTACATTGTGTTCGCATTTTCTTTATCCTTATTGATTTTTGTCTGGTTTTTCTATCAGTTACTGAGAGATGTATGATAAAATCTCCCACTATGATTGTGGATTTTTCTATGAATTTTCTATTTTTCTAGTTCAGTCAATTTGGCTCTATTCTTTTTCTATTTTCTAGTTTCTTAATGTTGTTATAAGTACTTATAAATTCAAAATTTTTATTTCTTCTCAGTGAAACCTTTAACTTAGTGAAACGTTTATCTACAGTTATGATTTTTTTCCTAATTCTATTTTGTCTAATAGTAATATTGCCACAACAGCTTTCTTTTGATAAATGGTTGCATCTGTTCACTTTATACCTTTTAGTATCCATAAATGTGTCTCTTGTAAACAGCATATGATTGTTGGGTTGTTTTGAAGTCTAGTCTGATAATATTAGTCTGATTATCATAAAATTTAGTCTATCTCATTTAGTTACTGATGTATTAAATTGCATTTAATATAATTACTGACATTTTGGGCTTTAAAGTAATTGAACTATTGCTATGGTTTGAATGTGTGCCCCAAAGCTCATGTATTGGAAATTTCATCTTCAATGCAACAGTGTTGAGAGGTGGAATTTTTGTTTGTTTGTTTGTTTTGAGACAGAGTCTCGCTCTGTCACCCAGGCTGGAGTGCAGTGGCATGATCTCGGCTCACTGCGAGCTGAGAGGTGGAACCTTTTAAGAGGTGATTAGGTTATGAAGGCTGTACCCTCATAAATGGATTAATGTTATCACCAAGGGAGCAGTTTATTGTGAGAATGAGTTTGTTATAAAAGTAAGTTCTGTCCTCTCTTGCTCTCTCTCACCATGTGATGCTTTCCATCATGTTATAATGTAGCCAGATGACCCTCACCAGATGCAGCCCTTCAATCTTGGACTTCCCAGACTCCAGAACCATGAATGGATAAATTTCTGTTCTTTGTAAATTACCCAGTCTCAGGTATTTTGTTACAGCAGCACCCAAGGGACTGTGACAACTATGTACTTTATTCTTGTCCCATTTGTTTTATGTTCTATTGTCTCTCTTTTCTTGCCCTCTTTTAAATTTGGGGGTATTCCATTAGATTTTTTCTACTCTGTTAGTTTATCAATAAAACTGTACCCCAAAAAATTAACTGATAGCTTAGAAACCCCCAAAACATGCTGTCAACTTCTGGCAGTTTTTGTAAATGTAAAATGGGTACATTATAAAGAACTTAAAGATGTTCCTTGCTTAGAACAGGAAGAACCTTTAAAATATTGGTGAATAAATCATTTTCCAATAGTTTCTGCTCTTGCTTTTGTTGTTTGTTTGTTTTGTTTTGTGTTTTGTTGTTTGTTTGGTCTGTCCCTTCAAGTCAGGCCACCATAGCTACAGTTGCTCTTTGGTAAAAATCTTAATAACAGAGTCAAAAGATTAAAGTCATCTCAGCAAACTTTGAGTTGTCTACACCCAGATTACTCTCCTTCTCTTTCTCCGCCCCCACCCACCACTTCCAATCACCTCTTTCTCTCTCTTTCTCTCTCTTTCAAACAGGAAAAAGACTTTCCTGGCTTGCATTTAAGTTCTAAACACAAGTTCATATTTATAGAAGTTGAAGAAGTTGTAAAGGGCACTTCAAAGCATTCTTACTTGAAGGACTCGACTTTGCTTAAACGCTGTAAGTTGTTTTCTAATCAGAGACCTAACTCACACATCCTAAGAATGAAGGAACGCAGAGGTGGGGCGAAGCCTGCCAGGGAGCAGAGGTCAGACTTGGGTTAGGGAGCCAGGGTCCTGGACAGACCCAGAGCACGGAACCTTTCCCACCTCTGAGCCACGGTGACCAAAATCCAAGCTCCGTCCTAGCAGTAACCAGTGAGCGAGGACACACCCCCTGCCAGACGCTAGCTCGTTGAAAGCCTTTACCCAATCTTTGTCATCCGAGCCAAGAGGGGCCAGGAGGCGGGGAGAGCGACCCTACCGGGAATCAGGGAAGCGGGAGGGCCAGGCCGTGAGGGAAGCGGGAGGGCCGGGCCGGGGCCACCGCCCCCCTCGGCCTCCCGAGGGAGGTGGCGGCCAGAGGCCCGGAGCCCCAGCGGAAGCTCTCCGCGGCAACCCCCCCGGGGCCTGCAAGGTTGGAAGGGCGCTCAGCCCAGCCGCAGCCCATTGGCACTGCACGCGCGGGGTCCCGACCTCGGGCTCTGCAGGACCCTCGGGCTCCCTTTCCGTGTAGCCCCTGCTTCTCCCGAGGGCCGACCTGAGCCGGCTTCGCTGGTGTCCACATTCCCGCGCTGGGCCGTGCAAAGAAGCACCGGCGTCCCGGGGGCCTGGTGCGCTTCCCGCTATCCCCGCCCGGACAGGAGCTAGGGGCCCAGGTGCAGCCGAACGGGAGCCCGGGTTCCCCAGAGCCCGTGACCGGGCTGCGGCTCCCCTCCGCCCCTGCCCGACCCGACCCCAGGAAGGGGTGCAGAGAGACCACACGAGTGGGGAGCGCACGACGTACCTGGGAGAACTCCGAGCAGTCACCTGAGAGAACGCCGAGCAGCCGCCTGGCTGCGCTTTCTCGCTGCCTCCGAGCCGGCCTGCCCGGGACTAGGAAGTAAGCAAAAGGGAAAGTCCGCGCGGCCGGGCGCCCCCTCCTTCTGGGGTGCGGGAACCGCCCCTTCCACGGGGCACGTGCGCCGCTGCGCAGCCGGAGGGAACTCTGGACCTCGCGCTGAGTTCCAGGCAGGTGGCCCCGAGCGAGCCCCCGCGGCCGTGCTTCCCAGCAGGCTCCCGCCCTTGACCGTGAGCTAGGCTGCGACAGGCCAGAGGCGGGTCCTGCCCCGACAGCTGCCCCGTGCAAGGCTGGGTCGAAGAAGAGAGCTGGGGGCTTGGCGGAGGTTCCAGGTCAGAGAAAAGCGAATCGAGACGCTAGAGGCGGCCTGCGTGGGATTGGCAACCACAGGGAAAGCTAAGTGCCCAACCAGTATTTTCTTGAAGCTTCGGGCATCCAGGACCTCACATCACCTGAAACACACCGTCTTTAAATTCCACTCCTGATGCTTTTCCATCCATGGAAGCCCGAACTCAGGCTCATGAATCGTGCTTCTCCTTTCCCCACTTTTCCACACTCTATTCACCTGCCAGTACATCTCCAGGGTCCGCTTCCACCCAAAAGTCTATGCCCTCCTGCATTAAAATAGGTTCACCCTCCAGACTAACACAGAACGATTTTGCCTAAGGGAGCAGATAAGGACAGCCCCGGATTTTTTTCCCCAATCCAGTGACAGTCCCTACTGGTGCACCATCTCTAGCACCTACATTCCATCCCACTTCTCACCATGCAAAGATTTGGGCTTCCCACTTCTGTCTACAGTTTGAAGCTAAGCCCTTCCCTTGCCCCTATTCCATCCCTACTTCCCAAAGTAATACCAAAAACAGTCATTGATCAATTTTCTTCATTGCCACAGAACCTAGCTGTCTCCACGGTTAGGAATATGTATAAGGGAAGAAAACAAGCTTTTAAAATTCAACTGCCTTAATGTTAATAATCTACCTTTTATGTTCATAATTACATTTGATTTTCACAAAGTGAGATATGAAGCAGAGCAAGCATCCTTGTTCCTCCCTTACACAAGAAAATGTCATGTGAATTGTATAACATATGACAGAACTGAGATTTGAAACCAGAATTTTACCTTAAATCCAGGGCTGTTTCTCCTACCCTGTTCCACATCCCTAATCCTCTCTGATGGTTGGAACATCAGGGAAACTTAATCAATAGACCTAAATATGAAATTGAGAGGTTTTTGTATACAGGTCACTATCTTACTATTTTTCTTTATCCTGACCATCAGGTTGTCCAGCTGGCTGAAAATGCTTTCTTATTAATTCCAAATCTCCAGCTCTCTACCTTGTGATTTCTGACAAAAGAAAACTTCCTTCAAATTATTTCTCCTGAAACTAAAAACTTGTTTTTTCTCTATTTCTCTTCCCTAGTTGAACTGCCTAAGGTGGATTTTGATGCTATTGCTCTATAATCCCAAAGTCAATTAGAATTGTCTGGCAAAGTCAGATAGAAATCATTTATTTAGCCACAAATCAGTGTCCTCTGCATATATTGAAGGTAGTTGTACACTGTCCACAAAGCTATTAGCACGTCCAATTCAGACACAGTCCTTATACTTGTTCAGTTCTTGACATTTTCTTTTTTTTTTTTTTTTTTTCTGAGATGGAGTCTCGTTTTGTCACCCAGGCTGGAGTGCAGTGGTGCAATCTCATCTCACTGCAGTCTCCACCTCCCAGATTCAAGCAATTCTCTGCCTCAGCCTCCCAAGTAGGTGGGATTACAGGTGCGTGCCACCACGCCTGGCTAATTTTTGTATTTTTGGTAGAGACAGGGTTTTGCTATGTTGACCAGGCTGGTCTTGAACTCCTGGCACCAAGTGATCCACCAGCCTAGGCCTCCCAAAGTGCTGGGATTACAGGTGTGAGCCACAGCACCCGGCCTAGTTCTTGACATTTTTGAAGCACCTTCACATCTAGAATTTCATCTGAATCTTACAATAACACATGCAATAAATAATTCTGATATTACTATTCCTTTGGTTAAAGTGATTAGGGAACTTGCCCAGAGTCGCATGGCTCACAGTTAACATGTGGCAAATCCCAGGTTAGACTCCAAGTCTCCTTCTGTATCTAGATATAAGACCTCCTATAACTCTCTACCAAAAAAAAGAAAAATGTTGATTAAAGTTAGAAAATCAACACGGCATATGAAATGTACTAATATTTGGGGAAAGGGTAACTTTCATTGTATATATTCATAGTTTTGAGCATCTAACTGAAATCCTAAGCTGTTATCTGAAAGTTATCCGAAAACACAAGGCCAGCGTGGTGGTTCACACCTGTAATCCCGGCACTTTGGGAGCCCAAGACAGGAGGATCTTGAGTCCAGGAGTTTGAGACCAGCCTGGGCAAAACAGGGAGACCCCCATCTCTACAAAAATTCAAAAATTAGCCAGGCATGATGGTTTGTAGCTGTAACCCCAGCTACTCAGGAGGCTGAGGTTGGAGGATCGTTTGAGTCCAGTGTGTTGAGGCTGGGAGATAAGAGTGAGACTCTGTTTCGAAAAAACAAAACAAAACACACAGTCTATGTCTTTTTCACATAAAGTATATTGTAATTGTCAGATGAAATAATAAGAAACTCATCCACCGAAAACCACTTAATGAAAATATGCCATAAATCCTGCATTATTTTACAGATCTTTATACATGAACATACATTCTTCAAAATTTTTTTACTCTGCACAGATGTCCGTATGTCCGTAATTTTTTAAGACATTTCAAAAATATTGCCTATGCAAAATAATAGTAGTAAACTTCTAAGTTAACATAGAACCAAGTTCTGAAAACAGAATATTTCATGTTGTATATATTTCCCTTTTAAAAACTAGGAGTTTTTTTTTTTTTTTTTTTTTGTGGGCTCCTGCGGGCCAGGGGACTGAGGCAAGCACCTTGGAGCTGAGCCATAGAAATCAGATCAAAAAGTGTGTTGGAATGAGTAGATGGACAGAATGAATTATGGGGAAGAGGGAACTGCACTCTTCAAAGGTCCCAGCCAGAAGTGGGGCTGGGGGCTGGGGGCAGGGGAAGGGAGCAGGAGGCATGATGACTCCCAAGCTCATTTTTCTTTTTTTTGATATGTTTTATTTATTATTATTATACTTTAAGTTCTAGGGTACATGTGCACAACGTGCAGGTTAGTTACATATGTATACATGTGCCATGTTGGTGTGCTGCACCCATTAACTCGTCATTCACATTAGGTATTTCTCCTAATGCTACCCCTCCCCCAGCCCCCCACCCCACGTTAGGCCCTGGTGTGTGATGTTCCCCACCCTGTGTCCAGGTGGGAATTGTTCAATTCCCACCTATGAGTGAGAACATGCAGTGTTTGGTTTTTTGTCCTTGTGATAGTTTGCTCATAATGATGGTTTCCAGCTTCATCCATGTCCCTACAAAGGACATGAACTCATCCTTTTTTATGGCTGCATAGTATTCCATGGTGTATATGTGCCACATTTTCTTAATCCAGTCTATCATTGATGGACGTTTGGGTTGGTTCCAAGTCTTTGTTATTGTGAATAGTACCGCAATAAACATACGTGTGCATGTGTCTTTATAGTAGCATGATTTATAATCCTTTGGGTATATACCCAGTAATGGGATGGCTGGGTCAAATGGTATTTCTAGTTCTAGATCCTTGAGGAATCACCACTGTCTTCCACAATGGTCGAACTAAAAACTAGGAGTTTTCTTTAACTAAAACCCTTCCCGCTGAGCTTCATTAGTGGCCACTCCAGGCAGGTCTAGGTGTTAATTATCTTCTGCAGCTTAACAGAAATGCTGGGGAATGATCCTAGCCATAGACTGAAGGCCTGTGTCCTCCTGAAATTCATCTGTTGAAATCCTAACCCCCAATGTGAGGTACTGGAGGTGGGCCCTTTGATGAGTGATTAGGTCATGGGGGCAGAAGCTTCATGAATGGGATTAGTTCCCTTCCAAAAGAAACTTCAGAGAGTTCCCTCACCCCTTCCACCACCAAGAACACAGTGAGAAGACAGCTATCTTTGAGCCTGGAAGAGTTCCTCACCAGATACCAAATCTGCCAACACCTTGATCTTGGACTTCCCAGCCTCTAGATCTGTGAGAAATGAATTTCTCTTATCTATAAACTACCCAGTCTATTGGCATTTTTGCTATAGCAGCCCAGATTGACTAAGGCAAATGGCTTCTTAATGGGCTCCAGAAGAATGAGAATGGCAGCATCACTGTTCTCATCAAAAAGACGGAAATGGGAGAAGTCCAGTTCCTTCTTGCACCACTCACTCTTCACAAAGTTTTCAGAAAGCACAAAGACAGTTTTGTGTCTCTTTTCAATGGAGTCAATGATATTGTCAATGATCCACTTGCCAGGAATGAAGTCCCACTTATGAAGACACAACTTGAAGAGGGGATTGAAGTTCTCCAGCTCCTGGACCATAAGGTTCTCCACCCAGTAGGCATCCTGCTCACTATAAGAAACAAATGCGTCATAGCAGATGTCCCTGCTGCAAGCTTTCCTGTGCTTCCTTTTGGCCTAGAGCCAGGCCCACATCATTTTCATGTACCACGGGCTGTGGAAACAGTGGCACAGAACCCCCATGGGCAGGATCAGCAGGAACAGGGCACAGCACATGCCAGACACCAGTGCCACCCTGTGGCACTCCGACACCAAAAGGCAGACGTCCTGAACCTGTTGGCCACACACGTGGGATGGAGAGTCACACAGGTAGTTTGCTGGCCAACCGATAAGAACTTTGGCCAGTGCTTGCTGCTCCTGAGTGAAGGAGAGGAATTCACAGGAGCAAATGAAGTTGTTGCCACCAGCTTCCAAAGTCTTCAGTGTGTGAAAAGAGTCAAGTTGCCCTTTAGAGAAAGTTTTCTTTTCCTGCTTCTTCTCAAAGGGGAAGAAAGCATCTGGTAGGGTCTTCAACACATATCTGAAAATGTAAAGTTATTTAAATTGCAGCTAAATAAAAGTTTACAAGGCTCACTTCTAGTAAGCCTCGTGTCTGGGAAACAATTGGTTAAATTGTGAATTTTTGTGTTAGATAAGTTCAAGTATTCTTCCCTTTCTGACCATTGATAAGTGATATGTAAAGAACCAAGTATATGCTGACCAAGATCAAGGTTAGTCAGTTTTTCTAGAGTTAAGCAGCATTTTCCAGAACTTGCAGATTATTTAGCATGAAATTCAAGGTGTATAGGGAGCTTCAGGCTTCCTTATGGACTGAATACTTCAATTATTCTTCAAACATCAATTTTTCACTGAGATCTAAGAATCCTGATGATTTTGAATGTTGCAACAGAGGATATGCTATTAAGCAGATCTTGACACTTTCAACCTGAAGATCTTTAGTCAATACAAAAGTAGAAGCATGTCTTTAAAATTTTGTCATCATTGAAAATTCCTGTAGCTGAGCTCTGTTTTATTACAGTTTCTATTGGACGTGGTCTTTTCGTGGGATCTCAGCCATCTCATCTTCCATTTTCCTGAACTACATAGGCTTCCAGCTTTACCTCCAACAAGTGATTTGCAAATGCTCTCATTTGATTGCTTCAGCTTATCTTAATATTAGTTTTTTCACAATGAGCCTGACTATAAGGTCCTTTTTTCTTCCTTTTATCTCATATGAAGAACAGTGTTTCCCGCTTCCAAATACTTTTAGAAACTTGAAAGATCAAACAAAACGTCTCAGAGTAAAGTTGACTGCTTCATATGTCAGCTCAAGTGACTGATCTACATTTATTTCAGGCTTTTTAGTTCATATCTCTGGGGATTGGAAACATAAATTTTAAATTAGTTCAGAACAGAAAGTTGGTAAAATATCCTGTTGTTTTTAATTTAGAGAACTTATATATATTTCATGAATTTAAATTTGGGAAAATGGAAAAAGAGAGAAGGAAACATTTCCTCAAGTCTCTGTTGGACTATCCCAGAAGTAAAGAGTCAGACTGTGAGGATGATAGACAAGGTTAGTTGTTAAAGGATAGATCCAAATGCACAAGGCTCCCGAAGACAAGGCAAGTAGTTTTCACCTGTTGTAAGAATTCTGTCAGGCTATAGAAAAGGTGCTTCCAGATTCACACACATCTGCTAAGTATGACTGGATGTAAATCCCATGGGGCAGGGATTTTGTTTTCTTTTATGCACTGAACTATTCTCATCCCCAATAGCATGGCTGGCACTCAATGAATACTTGTTGAGTGGTGGATTGCCTTGCCTTTTCAGAATATGGGCTAGACCTGGAGGAATGGAGTATAAACATCTGAAGTGGCCATTGCAGAGACAAGACTTCAGGGGAAAGAAGCCTAGACCAGGCCCCTTGTCTTGACTGACATCTTGCCTCCACCACACAAGAGCTGACTTCATTTAAAGATGGGAATGAAGAAATATAGTGCACTATTTTCACCCACATAGTCAAGCAAAACCATGAGTGACTGATATCATTTTAATATATATAAGGGTTATATGGCCTTTCAGACCACTTCAGAGAAGAATATGAAAAGAAGGTAGAATTTTATCAAGTTCTAACTTATTTGGAGCACCTTGAAAAATGTACTAAAATATCTTAGCCTGGTTCACGCCTGTAATCCCAACACTTTGGGAAGCCAAGGCAGGTGGACCACCTGAGGTCAGGAGTTTGAAACCAGCCTGGCCAACATGGTGAAACCCCATCTCTACTGAAAATACAAAATTAGCTGGGTGTGGCAGTACCCGCCTGTATTCCCAGCTACTTGGGAGGCTGATACAGGATAATCACTTGAACCTAAGAGGCGGAGGCTGCAGTGAGCTGAGATCATGCCACTGCACTCCAGCCTGGGCAAGACAGAGTTGAGACTCCATCTCTCTCAATCTCTCTCTCTCTATATATATAATATAGATATATATCTATATATCTATATATATATCTTAGCCAAATAACTGCTGAGTCCAACTTTGTGGTATGCCAGTCTGTGTAGGGGTTGCCAACTTCCATGTAGTTGGAAAAACAATGAGTCATGATATGATTCAAAGTCAGGAATATAAGCTGTGTAACCACTGTTTTCTTTTCATTCAGTTTCTATTATTAAGTATAACTAGAGCTCAGTGTGTACTGGTCAGGGTCACAGACAAGACTACTGTCAGCTTCTCAGCCAATATTGCTGGCCAAGTATCTAAGAAGGAATTCCCCAAATTACATACAATGATGTAATCGTTTCCTATGGGTGTGTAAGAATCTTTCAAAGCCTGCAAGGTTTTTGTCCTATTGGGCACTTAGATGGACAGTCTTACTTACTCCAAAAAGTTTCTAGGTGCAACCTCTGGAAGATGTATAATTAGTATTTATATTAATATTTTGTGTTAAAGAATTGGTGGATACTTGATTTTTTAAGACTTGTCATGTTTAAAAGAATTTGGCCTATGAGAGTCGCTTATCATAGCGACTTAAAGTGTATACTTTGGAGAATTTCAGTTCCAAAATGGTGGCATACTGGCTTCATTTCCCTGTCCACAGAAAACTCAAAACAAATAGACAGTGCAGATATTATCACCAGCAATATCCCAGAACTCAAAGATGAGGATGAGTCAGTTCCTGGGGCCACAGACAAGTGAAAAAGCCTGGAATAGACTAAGAGAATCAGATTTCCACATCCACGATGCCCCTCCCCACAATCTGCCTGTCATGAAGCATGGGGAAAATTCCTCCCCACTCATAGTTTCTACCCTGGAAAAAGTGAGATAGAGGTCGACAAGCAGCTTCCCCATCACCTTCGGCTCCCTGGCAGGGGAACTGTACCTGCCTCAACCCACAGAAAGCATCACAAGTGCCTGAAGAAAGAAATATCCCTGCAAACAGCAAAAGTCAAGGTGAGAGGTGGGACTACCTTGCCCAGCCCTGGAAACTCTGCTCTGTAATTAAGCCAAAGGAGATGCCAAATCAGAGTGACTGTTTAGCAGCACTAGCTTTAGGAATTACCTTCCACAGGTCCCTTGGGCATGAACCTCTAGCCAGCCTTCCCAAATTGGCAAGATATCCCCACTGGGACTTCTTCCATTTGGGACTTGCAGCACTCTGATTCTTTGCTAGAGCTGAGGCAAACCTGTGCTTAAGGCATCATCTAGCACCAAAAAGGAGGTGGCAACTTAGTGGTGGGGGAAATAAGAAATTAACAAGTAAATTACAAAGAATCTCTAGGCAAATATACCAAATAAAAACCAAAACAAGCCAGAAAAGACTGGAATAAATAACAAATCCTTCAATGCAAAGACATAGAGGTATATCCACAAGAAACAACAGCAAATAGGGAACCAAAACCTCCCTAACTGGACAAAGCAAGATACCCATGACAGGCCCTAAGAAGATGGCGATACATGAGCTCTCTGACAAATAATTCAAAATAGCAATTTTAAGGAAACTCAGTGGCCTTCAGGATAACACAGAAAAGCAATTCAGAAATTTATCAGAGAAATTTAACAAAGAGATTGAAATAATAATTTTAAAAATCAAACAAATCTTGGAACTGAAAAAACATTTGCTGAAATGAAAAATTTATTAGAGGGTCTCAACAGCAGAATAGATCAAGCAAAGGAAGGAATCAGTTGGCTTGAAGATAGCCTATTCAATATCACACAGTCAAAAGAGAAAAAAGATTGAACAGGAAGAAAGTTTACCTAAAATACATGGAAATGACCAAGTCTAAAATTTATTGTTGTTCAAGAGGTAGTTGAGCAAGAGCAAGGGATGGAAAGCTTATTCAAATAAATAGTAACAGAAAGCTTTCCAAAAATTGAAAAAGATATAAATGTCCATGTAGAGGAAGGTCAGAGAATACCAAACAGATTCATCCCAAATAAGACTACATCAAGGCATAAAATAATCAAACTCCCAAATGTCAAGGATAAAGAGAGGATCCTAAAAGCAGCAAGAGAAAAGAAGCAAGTAACATACAAAGAAACTCCAATTCATCTGGCAACAGACTTATCAACGAAAACCATACAGGCCAGGAGGGTACGCAACAACATTTTCAATGTTCTGAAAAAACCCTGCCACCCAAGAATACTATATTTGGAAAGGCTATTCTTCATATATGAAAGAGAAATTAACTCTTCCCAGACAAACAAAAGCTAAGAGAAGTCACAACCACCAGACCTGTCTTACAAGAAATGCTAAAGGGAGTTCTTCAATTTGAAAGAAAAAAAAAACACTAACATGCAAAAAGAAAACATTTGAAGGTATAAAACCCACTAGTATGAAGACAACCCAAGAATACTCCAGTGCTGTAATTATGGTATGCAATCCACTCAAAACTCTAGTAGGAAACCTATAAGGCAAGTATATGCAAAACAATAATAGCTATAGCAACTTATTAACAGACAGACAATATAAAAGTATGTAAACTGAGAAAAGAAAAGTCAAAATGTGGGGGGTATTGGAGTCAATGTATAGAGGGTTTTTTGTTTTTTAAGTTTGTTCTTTGTTTCTATTCTTTTTTCTGATCTAAGATAAATTATCATCTCTTTAAAACAACTTGTTATATCTATAAGACATTTTTTGTAAGCTTCATGGTGACCACAATGCAAAAACCTATAATAGATACACTAAAAATAAAAAGCAATAAATTAAAACATACTACCAAAACAATCACTTAACCACAAAGGAAGACAGTAAGAAAGGAGTTTAAAAAGGAGAACACAAGCAACAAAATAGCAGTAGTAAGCCCTTATCAATAATAACACTAAATGTAAATGGATTTAATTCTTCAATTAAAAGACATAAAATGGCTGAATGGATAATGAAACAAGATCCAGCTATAAGAAACCCACCTCATCTATAAAAACCCACATAAATTGAAAGTGAAGTGATGAAAAATGATATTCCATGCAAGTAAAAACAAACAAAAAAACAGGAGTAGCTATACTTATGTCAGATAAAATAAAGTAAAAAACTATAAAAAGAGCCAAAGAAGGTCACTATATGAGAATAAAGGGGTCGATTTGCAAGAGGCTATAACAATTATAAATATCTATGCACCCAACAGCAGAGCACCGAAGTATATAAGGCAAACATAATGGAGCTCAAGGGAGACGTAGACTGCAGTACAGTAATAGTAAGGGACTTCAATGGACAAGTCATGCAGACAGCAAATCAACAAGGAAACATCAGAATTAAACTACACACTAGACCAAATAGACCTAACTGACATTTGCAGAGCATTTCACCCAACTGCTGCAGAATACACATTCTTTTGAATCAGCACATGGAACATTCTCCAGAGTCTGCCATATTTTAGCCCACAAAACAAGTCTCAACAAACTCAAAAAGGAGAAATCATATCAAATATTGTTTTTGACCACAATGGAATAAAGCTAGAAGTCAATAACAAGAGGAATCTTGGAAACTACACATACACATAAAAATGAAACAACATGCTCCTGAATGACCAATGGGTCAATGAAGAAATTAAGAAGAAAAAATTAAAATTTCTTGAAACAAATAGAAATGGAAATATAACATACCCAAATCTATAAGATACAGCAAAAGCAATACTAAGAAGGAGGTTTATAGCAATAAATGTCTACATCAAGAAAGTAAAAATACATCAAATAAACTTACCTAATGATACACTTCAAGGAACTAGAAAAGCAAGAACTGTATTAGGGTTCTCTGGAGGGACAGAAGTAATGGAATATATATATAACATATATATAAACTTCCCTTTACATATATATATATATATATACCCTTTATATATATATATATATTCCTTTTTTATATATATGTATTCCATATATATATTCCACATATATATATATTCCACATATATACATTCCACATATATACATTCCACATATATACATTCCACATATATATACATTCCACATATATACATTCCACATATATACATTCCACATATATACATTCCACATATATACATTCCACATATATACATTCCACATATATATATTCCATATATATATATTCCCTTTATATATAAAGAAAGGGAAGTTTATTAAGTTTTAACTCACATGATCACAAGGTCCCACAATAGGCTGTCTGCAGGGTGAGGAGCAAGGAGAGCCAGTCTGAGTTCCAAAACTGAAGAACCTGGAGTCCAGTGTTAGAGGGCAGGAGACATCCAGCACAGGAGAAAGATGTAGGCTGGGAGGCTAGGCCAGTCTCTCTTTTTCATATTTTTCTGCCTGCTTATATTCTAGCCCACTGGCAGCTGATTAGATTGTGCCCACTCAGATTAAGGATGGGTCTGCCTTTCCCAGTCCACTAACTCAAATGTTCATCTCTTTTCACAACACCCTCATGACACACCCAGGATCAATATTTTGCATCCTTCAATCCAATCAAGTTGACACTCAGTATTAACCATCACACCAACCAAAAATTTTTTTCTTTTTTTTGAGACAGTCTCGCTCTGTCACCCAGGCTGAAGTGCAGTGGCACGATCTCGGCTCACTGCAAGCTCCACCTCCCAGGTTCACGCCATTCTCCTGCCTCAGCCTCCCTAGTAGCTGGGACTACAGGTGCCCGCCACCACGCCCGGCTAATTTTTTGTATTTTTAGTAGAGACAGAGTTTCATCGTGTTAGCCAGGATGGTCTCGATCTCCTGACCTTGTGATCCGCCTGCCTCGGCCTCCCAAAGTGCTGGGATTACAGGCGTGAGCCACTGCGCCCAGCCTACACCAACCAAAAATTAATAGGAGGAAAGAAATAATAAAGATCATAGCAGAAATAAATGATATTGAGACTAAACCATACAGAAGACCAACAAAACAAAAAGTTGGCTTTTTGAAAAGATAAAATCAACAAACCTTTAGCTAGACTAAGAAAAAAGAGAGAAGAAATAAATAAAATTAGAAATGAAAAGGGGGGCATTACAACTGATATCACAGAATACAAAGAATCATTAAAGACTAGGATGAACAATTATACACCAACAAATTGAAAAACCTAGAAGAAATGGATAAATTCCTAGACACATGCAACCTACCAAGACTGAACTGTGCATACATAGAATACCTCAATAAACCAATAACAAGTAATGAGATCAAAGTCATAATAAAAAATTTCTCTCAAAGAAAACCCCATGACCCGATGGCTTCACTGCTAAATTCTACCAAATATTTAAATAACTGATACCAATTCTAGTCAAACTCCTCGAAAACAATTGACAAGGAGGGAATTCTTCCAAACTCATTCTACAAAACCAGCATTGTCCTGAGGCCCAAACCAGATAAGGACACAACAACAACAAAAAGAAAACTACAGGCCAATATCACTGATGAACATAGACACAAAAATCCTCAACAAAATACTAGCAAACTGAATCCAACAGCACATTAAAAAGATCATTCACTATGATCAAGTGGGATTTGTCCAAGGGATGCAAGAATGGTTCAACATAAGCAAATCAATATATGTGATTCGTTGCATTAACAGAACCAAGAACAAAAACCATATGATCTTTTTAATAGATGATGAAAAAGCATTTGATAAAATTCAACATCATTTCATGATAAAAACCCTCAATGAACTAGGTGTAGAAGGAATATACCTCACTGTATATGGCAAACCACAGCCAATATCATGCTGAATGGGGAAAAATGGAAAGTTTCTCTCTAAGACCTGGAACAAGACATGGATACCCACTTTGACTGCTTTTATTCAACATAATACTGGAAGTACTGGTGAGAGCAATTAGACAAGAGAAAGAAATCAAGGGCACCCAAGTTGGAAAGGAAGAAATCAAATCAGGCTTGTACACAGATGACATGATCTTATATTTAGGAAAACCTAAATACTTCACACACACAAAAAAAGCTATTAGAACTAATGAACAAATTCAGTAAAATTGCAGGATACAAAATCAAAAAATCAGTAGTGCTGGGTGCGGTAGCTGACTTTGTAATCCCAGCACTTTGGGAGGCAGAGGCAGGAAAATGGCTTGAGCTCAGGAGTTCAAAACCAGCCTGGGCAGCCTGTCTATACCAAAAAAAAATACAAAAATTACCTGGCGATGGTGGCGTGCACCTGCACCTACTTGGGATGCTGAAGTGAGAGGATCACAAGCCCCAGATGTGGAGGTTGCAGTGAGCTGAGATCGCACCACTGCCCTCCATTCTAGGCAACAGAGCCGGGCCCTGTATCAAAAAAAAAAAAATTAGTAACATTTATATACACTAACAGTGAACAATCTGAAAAAGAAATCAAGAAAGCAATTTCATTTATCCATACAAGGAAAATTATAACACACTGGAAAAAGAAGTTGAAGAGAACACACACCAAAAAATGGAAAGATATTTCATGCTCAAGGATTGACAGAATTAATATTTTTAAAATGACAGTACTATCCAAAGCAATTTATAGATTCAGTGCAATCCTCATGAAAAGACTAATGACATTCTTCACAAAAATAGAAAAACAATCCTAAAATTTATATGGAATCACGAAAGACTCTGAATAGCCAAAGCAGTCCTGAGCAAAAAGAATGAAGCCAGAGGCATCACTCTATCTGGCTTCAAAATATACTACAAAGCCATAGTAACAAAATCAGCATGATATTGGCATAAAAAAAAGACACATAGACCAATGGAACAGCATGGAGAACCCAGCTGTAAATCCACACATTTACAGCCAACTAATTTTTTACAAAGGTACCAGAGCATGCAATGGGGAGAGCGCAGTCTCTTCAATAAGTGGTGCTGAGACAACTGGATATCTATATGCAGAAGAATGAAACTAAACTCCTATCTCTTACCATATACAACAATCAAATAAAAATGGATTAAAGACTTATGTCTAAGACCTGAAGCTATGAAAGTTCTAGAAGAAACCTTTAGGGACCGCTCTAGAACACTGGTCTGGGCAAAGAATTTTTACATAAGATCTCAAAAGTACAGGCAACCAAAGCAAAAATAAACAAATAGAATTTTATCAAGCTAAAAAGCTTACACACAGCAAGGAAAACAACCAAGAGACAACTCACAGAGTGAAAGAAAATATTTGCAAACTATCCATTTGACAAGGGATTAATAACCAGAATATATAAGGAGCTCAAACAACTCCACAGCAAAAAAAAAAAAATCTGATTAAAATATGGGGAAAAAGATATGAGGTGACATTTCCTGAAAGAAAATATATAAATGGCCAAGGGGTATAGGAAAAAATGTTCAATATAACGAATCATCAGAAAAATGCAAATCAAAACCACAATGAGATACCATCTCACACAGTTAGAATGGCTTTTATCAAAAAGACAGAATATCAGAGCTGGTAAGGATGTTCTCCACATCCTTACCATTGTACACTGTTGGTAGGAATGTAAATTAATAAAACCACTATGGAAAACAGTATGGAGGTTCCTTTAAAAACTAAAAATAGCGGGGCACGGTGGCTCACACCTGTAATCACAGCACTTTGGGAGGCCAAGGAGGGTGGATCACCTGAGGTCAGGAGTTCCAGATCAGCCTGGCCAACATGGTGAAACCCCATCTCTACTGAAAATACAAAAATTAGCCAGCCATGGTGGCAGGTACCTGTAATCCCAGCTACTCAGGAGGCTGAGGCAGGAGAATTGCTTGAACCTGGGAGATGGAGGTTGCAGTGAGCAAAGATCATGCCACTGCACTCCAGCCTGGGTTACAGAGCCAGACTCTGTCTTAGAAAAAAAAAAATTAACTAAAAACAGGCCCGGCATGGTGGCTTAGACCTGTAATCCTAGCACTTTGGGAGGCCCCTCTGGGATCACCTGAGGCCAAGAGTTTGAGACCAGCCTGGGCAACATGGTGTAAGAAAACCAGTTCCCGTGAGGCTCTAGTCTCATGCCACTGGACCACATTGTCCTCATGCCCTTCAACTTCTGTCACCATCTGCTGACCTCCTAGTTACTCCTCTTACTTTTTGAAGACTTTGGGACCTGCTCAGAGTCTTCTTCTTCTCAAGATCTTCCAGGAGACCCAATGCCTTCAGTGTTCCCACAGATGACCTACCCAACACCCTGGCTGCTCAGTTCCTTTACCTCCTCCTCTGCAGGGATCTTCTCCTCTATGCCCCTTCAGCCACGCCCTGGACTTTGTCATTACCTACAGTTACCCAGCCTTCAGAACGACTCATTCAAACCTCCTGCATCTTGATCAGAGTCCACTGATCCCTCCTCTTTCCAATCCATTTGTTACCTCCATTCTTCTCAGACAAATACTTGGTTCAAGTTGGACCTCACAGCAGAAGAATCAGCAGATCCCTGGGCTTCCCATTCTCATAGCATACTATGGGGAGTCATACTTGGCCCCCCAAATTGCTAATTGCAAAACAGAGAGACCTGACCCCTTTTTATAGGGGAAAAAATCCATCCTGAGTGTGGCCACCAGATGGTCTGAACATGAATGCCAGCTGCCCAGGAGTGCTGGAATGAACTACTTCAGGGAAGTTCAGATAGTGCACAGCCCTTCTTACTGGCTTTTGGAAGAGCTCCCAGACTTCAGAATCTCCATATCACCCTTGCCAAAACCAGAAACTCTTTCCGGTGGTGTTGGTGAACGCAAGGTTGCAGGAGAGGGCTTTACATCATTCTCAATTTTCCTATGTCTTCCCTGTTCTTCTATATGAACAATTGATGTTTTCTTAATATACCTAATGTAAAATACTGTACAAGATGCTTCAAGCCCTCCTATCCCCAAATCAGATTGCTTCTTCTAAAGCTCTACTAAACAGAAATTCTGGAGCCATCACTGTCTCTTCTCCTTATGCCCCTATGTGACAAAACCCCAAACCTAAAAGAACCCTATGACATGCCTTCTTAGAGGAGACCAGGTACTTTATTGCATTTCTTGAGCCAGCTCTCTTGCAATTCCTGCAACACTGTCTCAAGCTTACTCCACTCTTGTCCAGCCACCAGCAGCTTCTGCCTCCTCACATCCTTTCCAGGAATGACTTTATCTCTTATTTCACAGAGAAAATTAAAACCATCTAGAGAAATTCTAACTTCCCACACCTGAACTTATACCCAAACACCCCCTCCACCTTCCTACCACAGTAGAAGAGGGGACCTCCAAGGATGCTGGGTACCCACTTGTCCTATGTAGATGTTATCTAGATGCTCTGCTTATTATCCCTCTCTTTTCTTTTGTGTTCTACTATTCCATCTTATCCAGACCATTCCTACCAATATTCACACATGCTCAAGTTTTCCATATTTATTTTTAAAATGAACAACAGCAAAAAATCTTTTTGGTCTCCTTCAAACTTCTCTCTTTCTCTCTCTCTCCACTTCACAGCGCAACACCTTTAAAGAGTTTTCTGTACCTACTGTCTCTATCTCCTCTCCTTTTACCCAGTCTTCCCTCTATTCCAGTCTGGCTTCCACCTCATCACTCCATCCAAACAGCACTTGCAAAGGTTACCAGGGACCACTGCATTTCTCACTCCCCCAGACATTTTTTGGTCCTCATGTTGCTTAACCTCTCAGAGCAGATGTGACTGACCACTCCTTTCTTTTTCTTTTTTTTTTTTTTTTTGAGACAAAGTCTTACTGTGTCGCCCAGGCTGGAGTGTAGTGGCACAGTCTCGGCTCATCGGCTCATTGCAACCTCCACCTCCCAGGTTCAAGCGATTCTCCTACCTCAGCTCCCAAGTAGTTGGGATTACAAGTACGCACCACCACACCTGGCTAATTTTTGTATTTTCAGTAGAGACGGGGTTTCACCATGTTGGCCAGGCTGGTCTGGAACTCCTGACCTCAGGTGATTCACCGCCTTGGACTCCCAAAGTGCTGAGATTACAGGCATGAGCCATCGCACCCAGCTGGCCTCTCCTTTCTTAAACGTTCTCTCCTTTTCCTTGAATGACCACATACTTAGTCTTTCCTTTAAACCCTCTTTTTCAATGTTATCTCCTTCCCTGCCCCATTTCCCAAGTCTAGGTCCGAGGCCACTTCTCACTGGCTGCTTTCTTCTTAATGAATCTCATTTATGCTGTCCATAACCCAATAACTTTCCAATTTAAATCTCTTGCCCAAATATCTCACCTGAGCTCCAGACCTAGATAGGCAACTGCCTACTTGAGACATTTGTCTCAGAGCATGCACATTCAATATGTCCCAATCTGAGCTCAAAATATTTTTGCCAGGTGTATTAGTCCATTTTCACACTGCTAATAAAGACATACCTGAGACTGGAAAAGAAAAGAGGTTTAATTGGACTTAAAATTTCACATGGCTGGGGAGGCCTCAGAATCATGGCCGGAGGCAAAAGGCACTTCTTACATGGTGGCAGCAAGAAAAAATGAGGAAGATGCAAAAGCAGAAACCCCTGATAAAACCATCAGATCTCATGAGACTTATTCACTACCATGAGAACAGTATGGGGGAAACTGCCCTCATGATTCAAATTATCTCCCACCAGGTCCCTCCCACAACATGTGGGAATTATGAGAGTACAATTCAAGATGAGATTTCAGTGGGGACACAGAGCCAAACCATATCATTCTGCCCCTGGCCTCTCCAAATCTCATGTCCTCACATTTCAAAACGAACAGTTCCCCCAAAGTCTTAACTCATTTCATCATTAACTCAAAAGTCCACAGTCCAAAGTCTTATCTGAAACAAGGCAAGTCCCTTCCACCTATGAGCCTGTAAAATCAGAAGCAAGTTAGTTACTTCCTAGATACAATGGGGATACAGGCATTGGGTAAATACAGCCATTCCAAATGGGAGAAATTGGCCAAAAGAAAAGGGCTACTGGCCCCTTACAAGTCTGAAATCCAGCAGGGCAGTCAAATCTTAAAGCTCCAAAATGATCTCCTTTGACACCATGTCTCACATCTGGGTCACGCTGATGCAAGAGGTGGGTTCCCATGGCCTCAGGCCACTCTGCCCCTGTGGCTTTGCAGGGTATGGCTCCCCTCCTGGCTGTTTTCATGGGCTGGTGTTGAGTGTCTGTGGCTTTTCCAGTTGCATAATGCAAGCTGTCGGCAGATCTACCATTCTAGGGTCTGGAGGACAATGGCCCTCTTCTCACAGCTCCACTAGGCAGTGCCCCAGTAGAGACTCTCTGTGACGGCTCCAACCCCACATTTCCCTTCCGCACTGCCCTAGCAGAGGTTCTCCATCTGGGCCCTGCCCCTGCAGCAAACTTTTGCCTGGACATCCAGGCATTTCCATACATCTTCTGAAATGTAGGTGGAGGTTCCTCAAACCTCAGTTCTTGACTTTGGTGTACCCGCAGACTCAACACCATGTGGAAGCTGCCAAAGCTTGGGGCTTCCACCCTCTGAAGCAACAGCCCAAGCTGTACCTTGGCTCCTTTTAGTCATGGCTGGAGTGTCTGGAACACAGGGCACCAAATCCTTAGACTGCACACAGCATGGGGACCCTGGGCCTGGCCCACAAAACCATTTTCTTTTAGGCCTCTGGGCCTGTGATGGGAGGGGCTGCTGTGAAGACCTCTGGAGACATTTTCCCTATTGTCTTGGGGATTAATATTCAGCTCCTCATTATTTATGCAAATTTCTGCAGTGGCTTGTATTTCTCCTCAGAAAACAGGTTTTTCTTTTCTGTCATATTGTCAGGCTGCAAATTTTCTGCTCTGCTTCCCTTATAAAATGGAATGCCTTTAGCAGCACCCAAGTCACCTCTTAAATGCTTTGCTGCTTAGAAATTTCTTCTGCCAGATACCCTAAATCATCTCTGTCAAGTTCAAAGTTCTACAAATCTCTAAGGCAGGGACAAAATGCCACCAGTCTCTTTGCTAAAACATAACAAGAGTCACCTTTGCTCCAGTTCCCAACAAGTTCCTCATCTCCATCTGAGATCACCTCAGCCTAGACTTTATTGTACATATTGCTATCATGCTTTTGGTCAAAGCCATTCAACAAGTCTCTAGGAAGTTCCAAACTTTCCTACATTTTCCTGTCTTCTTCTGAGCCCTCCAAACTGTTCCAACCTCTGCCTGTTACCCAGTTCCAAAGTTGCTTCCACATTTTTGGGTGTCTTTTCAGCAGCACCCCACTCTACTGGTACCAATTTACTATATTAGTCTATTTTCACACTGCTGATAAAGACACACCCAAGACTGGAAAAAAAAAAAAAAGAGGTTTAATTGGACTTACAGTTCCACATGGCTGGGGAGGCCTCAGAATCATGGCAGGAGGCAAAAGGCACTTCTTACATGGTGGCGGCAAGAGAAAATGAGGAAGATCCAAAAGCAGAAACCCCTTATAAAACCATCAGATCTCATGAGACTTATTCACTACCACGAGAACAGTATGGGGGAAACTGCCCCCATGATTCAAATTATCTCCCACCAGGTCCCTCCCACAACACATGGGAATTATGGAAGTACAATTCAAGATGAGATTTGGGTGAGGACACAGAGCCAAACCATATCACCAAGGCTGATTTTTTTCTGGTGTTATTTCAACATGAAGCTCCACCATCCATCCAGATGCATCTGCTGCAGCTCTTAGTTGTGCTCATTTTACCTTGAATTCATCCAACTCTTTTTATTCCCACCGCCGTCATCCTAGTTCAAGCTACCTCCTCCTCTCTTTCCTGGAGTACAAAGACAACTTCCTAAATGTTCTCCTCTACTGTGCCTTCTCCGTAGCACCTTCTCCATACTGCACTTAGAGTAGCACCATCTAGTTCAAATACAATGGGAGCCACATATGCAATTTTTAATTTTTTTATTATTATTTTGAGATGGAGTCTCACTCTGTCACCCAGGCTGGAGTGCAGTGGTGTGATTTTGGCTCACTGCAACCTCCACATCCTGAGTTCAAGCAATTCTCCTGTCTCAGCCTCCAGAGTAGCTGGGATTACAGGCACCCACCAACACACCTGGCTAATTTTTGTGTTTTTAGTAGAGACAGGGTTTTACCATGTTGGCCAGGCTGGTCTCAAACTCCTGACCTCAAGTGATCCACCCACCTCGGCCTTCCAAAGTGCTGGGATTATAGGTGTGAGCCACCATGGCTGCCCCCAATTTTTAATTTTTAATAGCTGTATTTTAAAATGTTATCAAGAAACAGGTAATTGGTTTTTTGGGGAGTGGGGGAAATGGGTTTTGTTTGTTTTTGAGACAGGGTCTTGCTCTGCCATCCAGACTGGAGTACAATGGCATGATCATGGCTCACTGCAGTCTTGACCTCCTGGGCTCCAGTGATCCTCCTGCCTTAACCTCCCAAGTAGCTGGGACCATAGGTGTGTGCAACCACACCCAGCTAACTTTTTTGTTTTATTGGAGACAGGGTCTCCCTATGTTTCCCAGTCTGGTCTCGAACTCCTGGGCTCAAGCAATCCTACCACCTCATCCTCCCAAAGTGCTAGGATTAGAGGCATGAGCCATCATGCCTGGCCTAGTAATTGTTTTTAAAAATAATTTTAAAATTGATTTTAATTACATTTAATCTGAAATACTTTTTCAAGATATAATTAATATTTTTAAATTAATGAGATATTTTACATTTTTTATACTAAGTCTTTGAAATCCAGTGTCTATTTTACATCTCTACTAAAACTAGCAATATTTCAGTGTTCAGTAGCCATGTGTAGCTAGTAGCTACCATTATTGAACCATAAAGAATTAGAATGATCTTTTCACAATGCAAATCTGATCACCTCACCTCGCCCCATGTTTAAGCTTTTCTGTGGCATCTAGTTGTTCTTAGGACTAGGATCCAAATGCTTAACATATTCTACAAGGCCCTCTAGGGTCTGTGGTGTGGTTTCTGCTTTCCTTTTGGTCTCTGCTCCTTCTCTCTCACCAACCACATGCCAGCCACACTAGTCCTTCAGCTTCTCAGACATGCAGAGGTTCCACCACTACTGATTCTTTGAATATATTGTTCCCTCTGTTGTGAATGCTACTTCCTACCACATTCCCTCCATCATCACCAGTACCTCCAATATCATCACCACCATCGCCTCATCATTGCCATTGACTCCACCATCATCACCACCTCCATCACCATCATCAACTCCACCATCACCACCACCTTCATCATCACCATCAACTCCACCATCACCATCACCTTATCACCACCATCAATTCCACCATCACCACCACCTCCATCATTACCATCAACTCTACCATCACCACTACCTCCATCACCATCATCAGCTCCATCACTACCACCTCATCATCACCATCAACTCCATCATCACCACCAGGACCTCCATCACCACCATCAACTCACCATCACCACCACCTCCATCATCACCATCACCACCACCATCACCATCAACTCCACCATCACCACCATCAACTCCACCATCACCACCACCACCATCCTCACCATCAACTCCACCATCACCACCACCTTATGACCATCAACTCCACCATCACCACCACCTCCATCATCACCATCAACTCCACCATCACCACCACCTCCATCATCACCATCAACTCCACCATCACCACCACCTTATGACCATCAACTCCACCATCACCACCACCTCTATCACCACCATCAACTCCACCATCACCACCACCTTTATCACCACCATCAACTCCACCATCACCACCACCTCCATCATCACCATCAACTCCACCTTCACCACCACCTTATCATCACCATCACCACCATCATCACCACTGCCTCCATCACCACCATCAACTCCACCATCACTACCACCTCCATCATCACCATCAACTCCACCATCACCACCACATCCACTAGCACCAGCACCACCTATCATAGACCACGCTCATTCTCTTCAGGCTCCCACCCAACTTCACTTCCCTCACTTTTCAGCCTAGAGATGTGATCTTTTCCTTCAAAGCATGTGGCTCAGCTGGTAGCTTTCTTCCTGCTTGTGTGATTAATGCCTGTCTCTCTCACTAGGCCATAACCAGGAATTCTGTTTGGTTTAGCTTACCATTGCCGCCTCAGTGCTTATTCTAGTACCTCATATATAGCAGTTGTTCAGTAAATACCTTTGAACAAATAAATGAGTAAATAAAAGTAATTAGGAAATACAAAACTATAAAAATGGGACATAGAAAAGAGGGTGAAGGAAGGAGAAGTCAGTAAACACTGTAGAGTTTGGCAGGTAGAATCCAGGGTAAGGTTGGGGAGTGGAAGTCAATTACTTCTATTGAGACCCTATCTTGAGCTAAGATCTCTTCTAGTTGTTTTAAGTGTGTTTGTTTAATCCTATAAGAAGTCTATGCAGCAGGTATTATCAGCATTTTAGTCAAGGAGGCTCAGAAGAGTTCACAAACTTGCCAAGTAACATAGTTAGGATCGGAACCTCCACCTGATTTCAAAGCCTACATGCCATGCATTTCACTAGATTTCCATAAACCAACTTCCCATTCTTCATAATCTTTTTATTTCATGAGAGCATAACCAAACACTCAAATAATACAAAAGGCTGAATTTTTTTGTTGTTGTTTTTAAGACAGAGTCTCGCTGTGTCACTCAGACTGGAGTGCAGTAGCATGATCTCGACTCATTGCAACCTCTGCATCCTGGGTTTAAGCGATTCTCCTGAAAAGGCTGAATTCTTTATTTTTATTTATTTTATTGTTGTTTGTTTTGTATGTGTGTGTGCATGTTCCCATTTTGTCACATGGTTTCTTCATACAAATATTGCCCAAATGCATTGCACAATTCAGGTACGATTGCCTCATATGAGAATTTTAAGCAATAACAAATCTTGCCTGAAACAATGCCATATACTATTTTAAGTCCAAGAAGGAAGTCAAACGATGATTGAGTAATGGCTCAAGTACCGGATACCACTCAAAGGACAGTTGATTTTCTTTCCTGTTTAAATGAGGTTATGCATATAATGTGCTTAACAGAATGCTTGACACAAAGAAAGAATTCAATCATTGTTAGCTAGTATCATCACCATCATCATCATCATCATCATCATCTTCATCATCATCATCCCTGACCTGTGACATAGCAAGAACTCTTCATTGGAATTTTTCATTTATTTATTGCATAATACTACAATATAGTATCTTTAAAATATGCTATACTGGCTCTAAAGCAACAGTCTCCAACCTTTTTGGCACCAGGGACCAGTTCCACAGACCGGGGAGGAGGACGAATGGTTTCGGAGGCATTAGATTCTCATAAGGAGCACACAGCCTAGATCCCTTGCATGTGCAGTTCACAATAGGGCTCATGCTCCCATGAGAATCTAATGCTGCCACTGATTTGACAGGAGGCAGAGCTCAGGCAGTAATGCTCACTTGCCTGCCTCTCATGCCCTGCTGTGCGGCCTGGTTCCTAGCAGGCCATGGACCAGTACCATGGGGTTGGGGACTCCTGCTCTAAAGGACACACTATGAATCACTGCCACAAATCAGCTTCTGGATTGTCTCAAGGCAGCCATCAACTGTGGCCCACGTGCCTCAGATCCAAGGTTATGTCCACTGATTCCTGGGGCTCAGCACGATTCAGTCATGCCCACCCTCCACATTATGGGAGCAATGTACCATGGTTTGTAAGGGCAAATGTTTTGCAGTCAGACAGACTTGGATTCAAATCTTAATTCTTCCACATGTTATCTTTATAACTGAGCAGATCTCCCAAGACTCAGTTTTCACATTTATTAAATGGAGATAATTCTTATCCAGAATATAGTACCTAGAACCTGGTTAAATGTTCAGTGCTAGCTATTATTTTCAAGAAAGGCCTTAGGATTTAAACTGTGAGAACTTAGTTCCATTTTTCAGTGGGACCAGGAAGTCTAATCACATTGTTGATGGATCAGAATGAAAATAGTGGAAACATTTGTCCTGGGGAAAAAGGAATATCATACAGTTACTTGCTCTGCTTGTAGTCAACATTTTATTTCTTGATTCAGGTGGCCACTGCCTTCAAACCACCAGAATCTGTTGAGATTAGTGATGGCCTCACCAAGTAACTAGAGAATAGCAGGAATAGTACCTCATCAACCTTGAGTATGCAAGGTTGGGTACAATGGGGTCTTAGTCTACCTTAAGTTTTCATTTGGTCAAACTGTTCAGATTGGCTTTTAGAAGCTTAGGATGATGTAACTTTTGTTTGTTGTGATAAATAACATTCCAAAGTGATTTTTAAACATTTCTGATAACATGAAACATAACAAAGGCAGTATGTATAGAGGTTATGAATAGAGATTCTGAGCCATCTTGCTAACTGCATGATTTTGAGCAAGTTATTATCTCTGTAAAATGGACTTCATAGGGTTGAAAATTTGGTGAGATGGCACATGTAAATTACCAGCAGTACCTGATGTTTGTTTGTTTGTTTGTTTGTTTGTTTGTTTTGCCATTAAGGGCCTTTTATTCATATTCATCACATCGGAGATCATCTCTTCCTAGGAAGCTTTTAAAAAATCCCCAGGTTGGATTAGGGCACTTCCTCTGGGTCCCTGGCAATTTCCTCCAGGTTAGGGATCCCAAGGGGTCTCTGCCTTCCTGGGTCTCTGGCCTGGCCCTTGGGGCACACAGTCATCAAGAAGTGCTGGGGGGAAGTGAGCTCTTTATTTAGACATAGCTCTGCTGAGTGGAAAGTGGGCACCAGCCGCATTAATGCTTGCTGGCTAGTGGCTTCCAAGCATGCCCCACTGCCAAGGCTCAGCTCTGCAGTCTGCCACTGCAGGTCTCTAGCACAGCTCCCAGGGTCCTTAAAAGTCATCATCATCACAGATGTCAAAGTACACATCGAAAGCCTCTCTGTTGCAGCTTCCATCAGGAGTGAAGACATATTTGTGGAAGGTCCCATCTACACAGATGGCAATGACAGAGTTGAATTTCTTGGAAGTATTGCGACCGAAGGAGCAGATGCAAGCTGACTCAGCAGGCACAGTGAACCTCGCCAGGCTCCACTGAGAGTCCACGTACTGCCCAATCATAGGCCCCACCTTGTCCACGGAGCCAGCGCGGAGCAGCGGTTAAGGTGGGTATCCTTGAGAGCAAAGATATGGATGGTGCCCTTATCGCTGGAAGCGCAGAGGAAGGAGGAGTCGTGGCTGAAGTTAATGCAGTAGAGGGTGGCAGGGTCAGTGCCTCGGTGCAGCTCCACCAGTTTCTCCTTGAATTGTGTGTCAAAGAGGCGAATAAGGGTACCATTCTGGGAGGCTGAGGCCACTACAGTGCCTGGCTGGTTTAGAGACACACAGGTTATGTCACTCTGATGTGCATTGATGGTGAATGGAGCAGACATGGTGCCAGGCTTTGTGCTCGCCAGGTCCACAAGTTGCAGACTCCCACACTTGTGTCCCGGGAACACTAACAGTTGCTTGTCCAGGCTGGGGCAGAGGTCACAGAGCCTGTTGGGGTTGACCCGGGTATCAAACTCAAACAGCTTTCGAGGATTGTCTGGGAAGGAGTACACATAGATGCGGTTCTTCAGCACGGTCACGATCTTGCCATGGAGCATGCACAGAGAAAGCACTGGCTTGGTGAAGATGAACTCCAGCACCAGCCTCTCCTTGGAGTCCTTGCCCTCCCGGGCATCGTCCCAGATCAGCACTGAGATCTCTGAGAACTTGGGGCTACTACCACCGCCCACCAAGGCCAGAAGGTTGCAGCGGTGCAGCATCTCCACCAAGCCTATGCTGCCACCTGCTTGTGGTCCAGATGCCCCTTCTCCATCAAGGGCTCCACGTTGTAGATGCGCACACCTGTCTCCATGGCGCAGCAAAAGCAGTTTTGGTCTTGGTTGAAACGCAGGCTGGTCACTCCTCAAAGTGGCTGTTGAGTCAAGGTCCAGGATTGTTCCCCCTGGGATCGTGCTCCAGCTTCCTGCCGCCTTCACCAGCCTGACCTCCGCGTGTCCCCGACCCAGGCCCCAGCTGTCGGTGCCGCCTGCCCGTACCTAATGCTTGTAAGTGCTAGATATGAGTTCCTTGGTAAGTAGAGCCAAATGAATAAGTATATTTGTTTTATAAAAAATGAATTCTGGTGATAGGGTCTGGGGAAAGAGCAGCAAGGTGGCAAGAAGAGACCAAGAAACAAGCCAAAGAGATGGAGGAGGAAGACAGGATTCCAAGCAGAAGCAAAAAGAGGAGCAGAAGAAACTTGAGGGGCTAAAAGCAAAGGACACAGGGAAGGGACTCCTGGCCACAAGTGGAATTAAGAAATCTGGCAAAAAGTATTATCGTAAGCAAATTAGTGCATAGACTGAAAACCAAATACCATGTGTTCTCACTTATAAGTGGGAGCTAAACTTTGTGCTCATGGCCATAAAGATGGCAATGATAGAAACTGGGGATATTAGAGCAGGGAGGAAGGAGGTTAAGGGTTGAAAAACGAAATATTGAGTAGTATGTTCAGTACCTGAGTGATGAGATTATTTGTAACACAAACCTCAACACCACACAATATATCCAGGTAACAAACCTGCTCATGTGCCCCCTGAATCTATAATAAGAGTTGAAAATAAATAAATAAGAAACCTGAGGAAAAAAAAAAGCTGTTCCTTGTGACTGAGGCAATGATGACCCTTGATTCCATTGCTATTTAAACCTCTGCATTTCCTGCCATAACATCTTTTGCCACCTATAGTTAGAATGAACTGTTGTCTTACAGCCTGCTGTACATGTAAGAGTAAACTTTTGTTTAAAAAAAATCAAAAAAGAAGAATCGAGTGGAGAAACAAAGCTGCCTGTCTATACAACAGATATGCAAAAACATTAGGCATATGAATACTAATTATAATGATAGGTTGACAAAAGTACATAATTATGGGGTGAATGACATGAAAGAGGAGTTATACGTCAGTTGACTGAGGAACTTTTAGACACTGCAGAGTTACTAAGGAAACTACAGAGTTTCAAAGCTGTATTGGCAAAGAATAAAAATTATAAGAGAAAAACAATATGAAAATTTTCCTCCACCTTTTATTTTTTTAATTTTCTTTCTTTTTTTTTTTTTTTTGAGACAGAGTCTTGCTCTTTCACCCAGGCTGGAGTGCAGTGGTGCAATCTTGGCTCACTGCAACCTCCACCTCCCAGGTTCAGGCGAGTCTCCTCCCTCCCAAGTAGCTGAGATTACAGGTGTGCACAACCATCACAACCATGCCAGGCTAATTTTTGTACTTTTTTTTTTTTTTTTTTTTTTAGTAAAGACGGAGTTTCACCATGTTGGCCAGCTGGTCTTGAACTCCTGACCTTAAGTGATCTGCCTGCCTTGGCCTCCCAAAGTGCTGGGATTACAGGCATGAGCCACCATACCTAGCTGACCTTTTGTTTAAAAGCATTTGTTTCTAAGATCATAATTCAATTGACAGGAAAATACCAGGTAATGATTGCCTCTAAGAAAATCAGTCCCTAAACTTGTCCCATCTCTAGCTCACTGAGGGCATAATCCCCAGTGTAGACCCAATATGAGATCACTGACCTTCCCTTCATTTTACTCTTGAAAAGAAAGACAGAAGTTATGAAGAAATAGTCATTCCCTGAGGGACACGCAGAGGAATAACTAGCCCAAAACTCTTTAGGGGAATTCTATGTGGAAAGTGTTTACTTGGATTAATAAGCGCCTTTGGTAAAAAGGCAATTATATGAAGTAATGTAAATATATTGGGCTGTCAGTCATTCACACTTTAATATGAATTAGATCAATCATAATGTTTTCCTCTAACCAACTAGATGAGCTCAGTGTCTCTCAGGAAATGAGACTATCGATGGCAAAAAGGGAGCAGAGGGCATTACGTAGCAGAGGTTCAGGTGGGACAGCGCAGGAGGAAGTATTTGGAAAGAAGTTGGGGATACATTTAGAAGCAGAGACCTAGAGAACAGGAAAGGGGAGGAGGGGACAGAGAAAGGGGAGAGAGGAATGCATTAATGAAAACTTTATTTCTAGGAGTGTTTTGCCTCTTTGTCAAAGGAGGGGTCGAGGCCCAATCTGCAATCTCAATAATAAATTATCACTTTTCTATCAGAGAAGAGGAGACAGGGAAAAGAAAAGGACATTCCTCTCTTTTCCAAGAATGAGGGACCGCTCTGCTGAGAAAGTTTGCTTTGGCATTGAAAGAAACACTGGAAGGTTGTTGTTCTGTTTTAAACCTCAGAAACTTGCGTAACTGGGCCAACACCAGCTGTGCCAGGAACTGGTACAGGGTAGGTCTGTCTTGCCCAGACCGTCCAGGGAATAACTACATTAAAATTCTGCTCTTGCATAATATGTTTCACAGAAATTTTAATCATAGGAAATGAAACTGACTGCTGCAAAGGACCTGAATTTCCTGTGGACACTGCCCCTGGCTAGTACATGGCCATCCCCTCCAGACTCAGAGAGGAAGGGGTGGCAGAGGGAGGATGGGAAGAAAGCAGTAACCAGCAAGCGCCTACTGGGGACCAGGCATGTGATTTCGGACAATCAATGTTTATTGTCATCAGCATGCCCTTTGGTCAGGCATGATGCTAGTTGCTGGGGTTAATGGCAAGAAAGTCCTGGTCTTTGACCTGAAGAAGCTCACAGTCTAGTGGGGAAGAAAGAAGTTGAACAAGTAATTCCAAGGGGGCAACATGAGCAGCACTGCAGGCATGAGGCAGAAGTCTCTTAGCATCCCCAGGAAATAACTCATCCTTGTTTAGCAGATGGGCCACCCAAGGCTCAGAGAGATCATTGAAGCAAGTAAGAGTGTCGTCAGGGAGTGAACATCAGACATCTCCTTCCCAAGCCTGTGTTCCTTCTACCAGCTAAGTGAAGGGCCTGCCATGTGCATGTTGCCAGGGTAAGGGAAACTGTGGCCTCCCCCTTACTAGTTGGGTAGTCTTGAGTATGTCATTCAGTGTTTCTGGGTCTGGGTTTCTTGGGAATGTTACCTTTTTAGGGGGTTGTTCAAAAGACGAGATTAGATGGCAGAGGTGAAAAGTGGTGTGACTGAAGTTGTCTGTCTGACTAAAGCTGAAGTAGTCCAAAGTCCAAACTCTGAAGCCTGGAGTCTGAAATCCAGGGTCAGGAGTCTGAAGTCTGAAGTCAGAAGTCTGGTCTGGAGTCTGAAATATGAAATCTGGTCTGGAGTCTGAAGTCTAAAATCTGAAATCTGGGTCTGGAGTCTGAAGTCTGGTCTGGAGTCTGAAGTCTGGAGTGAATCTGAAGTTCGAAGTCTGATCTGGAGTCTAAAAGTCTCCTGTTGTCTGGAGTGTGGAGTCTCTTGTCTGGATTGTGGAGTCTCTTGTCTGGAGTGTGGAGTCTGTTGTCTGGAGTGTGGAGTCTGTAGTCTGTCGTGTGGAATGTGGAGACTGGAGTGTGTTGTCTAGAGTCTGTTGTCTGAAGTGTGCGATCTGGAGTCTGGAGTCTGAAGCTGGAGTCTGAAAGTCTGTTGTGTGGCATGTGGAGTCTGTTGTCTAAAGTCTGGAGTCTGAAGTCTGGAGTCTGAGGTCTGAAGTAGTCTGACTAAAACTGAAATAGTCTTTAAACTAAAAACTATCTTTCTCGTGCTCATTGGTACTATTGTTATGCAGTTGAACACAGTGTTGGTAGAAAAGGAGAAGCAGAAAGAATGTAGATTAAACTTTGATTCCCATCTTGCCTTTCCTTCTGCTGGAGCCACTTCAGATGTTTTCTTTTTTTTTTTAATATATATATATATATATATATATATAATACTTTAAGTTGATTTCTTAATCTAAGTAGAGAGCAGCTTTAACTTGCTTTGAAAAAGCATTTTATTCTGCACAGCAAAGGAAAAAAATTAACAAAATGAAAAGAACCTATAGAGGTGGGTAAGGGGGAGGCGGGGGGATGGGTATGGTTAATGGGTACCCAAAAAATAGTTAGAAAGAATGAATAAGACCGACTATTTGATAGTACAGCAGGGTGACTATAGTCGATAATTTAATTGTACATTTTAAAATAACTAAGAGTTTAATTGTATCATAAGACAAAAGATAAATGCTTGAGGGGATTTTCTGTGACACAATTTGCCTGTATCAAAACATCTCACACACCTCATAAATATATACACCTACTATGTACCCACAAAAATTAAAACAAGATTTTAAACTTTATAGTAAAATAAAGAAAAAAAGAACCTATAGAATGGGAGAAAATTTGTAAACCTTATATATAATAAAGGGTTACTATCCAAAATACATAAAAAATTCAATTCAATAGCAAAAAAACAAATAACTGGATTTAAAGTGGGAAAATAATCTGAATAGATATTTTCCCAAAGAAGACATAAAAATGGCCAACAGGCATATAAAAATGTGCTCTACATCACTAATCATCAGGGAAATGCAAATCAAAACCACAATAAAACATCACCTCATACCTGTTAGGATGGCTAGTACCAAAAAGCCAAAAGATAAGTGTTGGCAAGGATGTGGAGAAAGGGAACTGTTATACATTATTGGCGGGAATGTAAATTGGTATAGCCATCATAGAAAACAATATGGAGTTTCCTCAAAATATTAAAACCAGAACCACCATATGATCCAGCAATCCCTCTTCTAGGCATATACCCAGGGAAAATGAAATCAATATGTCAAAGAGCTGTCTACACTCCTATGTTTATTGCAGCATTATTCACAATAGCCAAAATTTGGAATCAACGTAAGTGTCCATCAATGAATGAATGGATAAAGAAATGTGGTGTATACTACACAATGAAATAGTATTCAGCCTTAAAAAAATAAGGAAATCTTGCCATTTGCAACAACATGGATGAACCAGCAGGACATTATGCTAAGTAAAATAAGCCAGTCACAGAAAGACAAATACTGTATAATCTCACTTACATGTGGAATCTAAAAAAAGCCAGACTCATAAAAACAGAGTAGAACAGTGGTCACTAGGAATGGTGGAAATGGGGACATTGGTCAAAGGGTACAAACTTTCAGTTATAAGATAAATAAGTTCTGAAGCTCTAATGTACAGCATGGTGAGTGTATAGTAATAATATATTGCATACTTGATATACTCGAAATACTTGGTATTTGCTAAGAGTAGATCTTAAGTGTTCTCACACAATGTAACGTGAGATAATGGACATGTTTATTAGCTTGATTGTGGTAATCATTTCACAATGTATACATATATCAAAACAAGTTGTACACTTTAAATATATTAAAATTTTTGTCAGTCATACCTCAATAAGCTAAAAAATTTTTTAAAGCATTTTAATGATTGAAGAAAAATGATTGAAGAGGTAACTTGCAATAAGAGTTACTGAAGTGCTGAATGCTTCTGTACTTCAGAAGCATCACAGAAATGCAGATCATGCTGTATATGCATATATTTTATATGACTGAGTCTGCTTTCTATCTAAACATTACTCTGTTTCTATCTAAACACTACTCTGCCTAGTACTTTTTGTGTGCGCAATATCATCCTGAGCTTTGGATATTCCCAGTTTTCCAGACTTTTCTGGGCTCTGGAAAGGCACAGTCATAGCTATATTTAACTGCCCTATTATTCCTTTGGAAACACGGGCATATAAAAATAAATAAATAAAATAAGAGAGAGTCCCAGGGTCACAGAATGTGTAGCAGGAGAGATTCCAAAAGGAGGGCTGGTCTGTAGGGTAGGATCGCATGGAGAAGTGAAGAATAAGGACTTTCCAGATACCTTGATGTGAGGTGCCAGATCCCACAGGGGCTTAGAGTCACTGACTTCCTGTTTCAAGCACCCAGGAAATTGCAAAGTGACCAAGGCAAGGAAATACCCAAAGATCAGCTTCCAATTTTTGCTGGTGCAGCCTTTTCTGTCACACCACACATTGCTGTGCGTTGTTCATTGTCCAGTCATTCATCCGCTGAATTTCCATGAAGTCACTTCCATGGGCCAGATACTGTGCTAAGCAATTGCAGGGGGCGGGGAGGCGGGGGGGTAGGTATAATTCAGGAGGGGACACGAGGTGCTCGTATCAGTAATTATGCCAAAAGCAGGATGCCCAGAGGGAATGATGACTAAGGGAACTCTGAGTCCTTCCTGAGTCCCTAGGTCTCACTTCAGTGACTGAGAATGGACAAGGGCCTGCCTAGGTCTCTCCTAGCCCCTGACTACACCTGTATGTTAGGTCGGCTTGTCCCACAGGAATGACTTGAGCGAAGCAGAACAGAAGAATGTAAACATTTTGTTTTAACAACAAGGTGGGGTTATGCTACAGTTTTGTTTTCTTGGTAACAAAAGGCACAGCCGACTTCTCATCAGGCTGACTCAGGGCTGCCGGCTCATCCTGGGTTTCATATCACATCAGAGAACTCAGTGTTCCTGTCGTGTCTTGTGGGTGACCAGCTATCCCAATTTCCTCAGGACTATCCTGGTTTTAGCCCTGAAAGTCTTACTTACATCATGAGCACCTGGAGTGGCTGACCACCACCCAGCAGCATCCCCTTCTAGTAAATTCTGCAAGGCACTAGTGTGGCAAAAACATGGATTTTAGCATCAGATGGACTCGGGTTCAAATCCTTGTGTGTGCTGTGTCACTTACAAGCTGTGACATAGGGAAGTTACTCAGTATTTCAAAACACAGACACTATTCACTTCATGTACTCATTACCCGGGCCTCATCTCAGCAGGCGCCCACTTCCTTCGTGCTCATTCACTCCATGTCACTGGGCTCCACCCTCTTCCTCAAACAGGCAGAGCTCATTCTGCCACTTTGCCTTTTCTGTTTCCTCTGTCTGGAAGGCTTGAATCTTTCCGGGTGGGCCCTTTCTTGCCCTTTAGTTCTCTGCTTCACTGTTATCTCCTCAGTGAGGTCCTCTCTAAACACTCAATGAAGACTACCTCCCCAACACTCCCAGATGCTCTTCGTCTTATCCCTGTCCTATTTTCTCTCTAGCACTGAGTATGATCTGGAATTGTCTTGTTTCTTGACTGTGGGAGGCAGCCTTCTAAAACGGCTCACAATGATCCCCATTTCCTGGTATTCAAACCCTGTGTAACACCCTCCCCTTCAATGGGCCACCTAGGGACTTGTTCCTAACAAATAGGATATGGTATAGTGATGGGATGTCACTTCAAGATTGGTCATAAAGGACCATGACTCTTGTTTTACCGGCACTCTCCCTCTCGTTCTCTCTCTCTCTCTGGCTCTTGCTTGCTTGCTTACTCTGATGAAGCAAGCTGCCCTATTGTGAGCTGCCCTAACAGAGAGGTGCATGTGGCCAGGATTGGCAGTAGCCTGTAGCCAACACAGCAAGAAATGGAATCCTGCCAACAACCACATGAATGACTTTGAAAGCCAATTCTCCCCTAGTTGAGCCTTGAGATGAGTGCGGCCTGTGAGAGACCCTGAAGCAGAGGACCTGCTAAAGCATGCCCCAACTCCTAACCCACAAACACAGTAAAATAGTAAATGTCATTATTGTAAGTCACTAAGTTTTGGGGTAATTTGCTACGCAATAATGGATAGCTAATATATTGATGTATTATTTATTCCCCCTCTAGAATACTAGCACCATGATAGAAGGTACCTTCCCCATTTGGTTCACTTTGGTATGCCCAGAGCCAAAAACAAAGTCTGGCACATAGTAGGTGCTCAATTTCACTGAATGAGAAAATCATGAGGGCACAGGCTGCACACAGGCCATGTAAGGACAGATGAAAAAAATATTTATTGAATGAATGAGTGATTTTGAGACAATTAAATATGAGAAGGGTAGGGAAAAAAGAGAGTATCTGAGCTTAATTTTAACCATTGCTATGGTTTGAATGTGTCCTCCCAAAAATTTGTGTTGAAAACTTAATCCCCATTGTAACAGTGTTGAGAGGTGGGAACTTTAAGAGGTGATTATATGGATTAATGAATTAATGTCATTATCATAAAGTGGGTTAGTTATCACAGGAGTGGGCGCCTTATAAAAAGGATGAATTTTACCCAATTTTCTCTCTGTCTTGTGCACTTGCTTCCACCTTCTGTCCTTCCCCGCTTCTGCCATGGGACGACCCACACTAGATGCCGGTGGTGCCATGCTCTTGGACTTCCTAGCCTCCAGAACCATGAGCTAAATAAACTTCTTTTCTTTATAAACTACCCAGTCCATGGTATTCTGTTATAGCAACAGAAAATAAACTAAGACAATTATCAAGTGGTTAGACCCCTACTGTGGGCTCAAAAGATGTTGAAAAAGTTAATGAAATGAAAAATGAAAAAAATGAGGTATAGGTTAGAAATGATAAGGATGGTGTTGTCACATTGAGTGTGAAATGCCAGTAAAACATCTCATAAGCATTCATAAATAAGTCTAGCTTTTCACAGAATATTAAATGAGAAAAGGAGTTCCTAGAATAGTGTATATATTCCATTTTTGTAAAAGCACACACATAAACACAAGTCTGGAAGGAGATACAGTCATGCAACTCCTGATGACACTTTGGCCAACAATGGACCACAGATACAACAGTTGTTCCATAAGATCATAACAAAACTGAAAAATTCCTATCACCTAATGATGTCATAGCCATCAGAACGTTGTAGCACAATGCATTGCTCATGTTTGTGGTGACGCTGTACGTAAACAATCCTACTGCACTGCCAGTCTTACAATAGTATAGCATATATATTTATGTATAGTACATAACACTTAATCATAATAGACTATTACTGGGTTTATGTATTTACATACTTTTTATTGTTAGAGTGTACTCCTACTTATTTTTTTTAAGTTAACTCTAAAATAGCCTCAGGCAGTTCCTTGAGGAGGTACTCCAGAAGAGGGCACTGTTATCATAGGAGATGACAGCTCCGTGCGTGTTATTGCCCCTGAACACCTTCGAGCAGGATAAGATGTGGAGGTGGAAGACAGTGATATTGATGATCCTGACCCTGTGTAGACCCAGGCTAATGTGTATATTTGTGTCTTTGTTTTTAACAAAAAAAAATTAAAAGTAAAAATAATTTTTTAATGAAAAAAGCTTATAGAGTAAGGATATTTAAAAAGAAAATATTTTTGTCCAGCTGTACGTGAGTTTGTGTTTTAAGCTAAATGTTGCTTAAAAACAATCTAAAAGTTGTTAAAAGTTAAAAAGTTCATAAAGTAACAAATTACAGTAAGCTAAGTTTAATTTCCTATTAAAGAAAAATATTTTTTATAAATTTAGTGTGCCTAAGTGTAGTGCTTACGAATTGTACAGTAGTGTGCAGCCGTGTCCTAGGCCTTCACATCCATTTACCACTCACTGACTCACCCAGAGCAACTTCCAGTCCTGCAAGCTCTATTCATGGTAGGTGCCCTACACGGGTACCTACCATTTTTTATCTTTTATATTGCATTTTTACTGTACCTTTTTATGTTTTGATATATTTAAATAAACAAATGATTCCCATTGTGTTACAATTTCCTGCCTTATTCAGTACAGTAACATGCTATACAGGTTTGCAGACTAGGAGCACTCAGCTATACCATATATCACAGGTGTGTAGTCAGCTATACAATCTGGGTTTGTGTAAGTACTCTATGATATCTGTACAGTGATGAAGTCACCTAATAAAACATTTCTCAAAATATATCCCCACCATTAAGCAACACATGGCTGTATACCAAACTAAGTGCTTCTTCGTAGTGCAATTACAGTGTTTTTAAATTATTTCCTTTTGGTTTTCAATATTTTCTACAATTGAAAGAACAAACAATATAGGAATTTCCACTTATTCTTAAAAATCAGAGAAAAAACCCATGATGGATGGAAGAGTCAGTATCACAGAAGAAGTCACTGACAAGGAGGAGGTAACCCAGTGAGAGGGAGAATGAGAGAGAGGACAGTGGTTGTTGAGAGCAAAGCCCTAGTGTCATTTCTAAAGCAAAATTTCTGGCTGGATAGGAGAAACAGCATTTGGTCTTGACCATCAATGGCATGCCAACTCCCAGGCTGCCAAGCTCACTCTACCTCATCCTGACAGCTCTCTTTTTCTGAAACATTTATCAGACCTGCCTTTCGAATCCATTTCCTGCCAGCACGCCAGCCCAGCCTTTATTTTTCTCACACTTGCATTTCTACTGCCTCCTGCTAGCATCCAGCTTTCCCAGTGCTTTGAGGCTGTCTCATGCTCAAAAGCTAGAATAACATCCCCTGGTTTTTTTGAACATCCTTCTCATCTTAGCCCCTGCATAAAATCATGAGCTGCAAGACTGCCTCAGCCTTTATCACATCTCCCAACACAACCTGATTGACACTTTCACTTCCCACTGGGAAGCCAGCATTTTACCTCCAAGATAACCACCACGTGTTTCACCAAGTTTTGCTTCAGAATTAAGCCGATGATGAGCCCTTTCATGGCTACACAGATTTCAGGCTTACCAGTTACTCTGGCAAACTATTTTTGAATAGCCGTCCAGCAGTTCACATGTATTTGTTCCTATTATCTTACGTTTTATTTTCTCTGAAATAAAAGCAAAAATAGGCAGTACACACCATGTTTGTAAAGCCAGCTTACTAGGATCCTAGTACTCTCCAGTAGCTGTGCTACAAATCTAGTTTCCCTAATAATGAAAGCATGGAAGACCAAGTGCCGGGTACTACAGTGAATTGGCACTCACTTTTGAAGAACACCCAACAGATAGCCAAAGTGGTGGAGCTTCAAGTCAGGCTTCTTTCTGCTGGGACTGCAGAGCTACTTTCTCTAGAATGAGGACCAGGTCCTACCTGCAGCTCTGAAGTTTAGAGAACAGAGTCTTTCCAACTGGATAAAAAATAAAGGAAAGCTTCTCCAAAATTGTATAGGTGTGTTTAAACATAAGTAGCACTCAGCAGTATGCCTATAATTTCTTTTCAGGACACATAGAAGCTTCCATTTCCCAGCCTCCTTCCCCCTTGAGTGGGACCACACGACCATTTCAGGCCAATGTGCTGTAAGCAGAAGAGAGGTACTGTGTATCACCACTGGGCCAAGCATAGAATAGGTGGGCTGCATACTCCTCGTGCTTTCTGCTGTAGTTGAAAACAGGGAGACCTCTTGTCTCCCTGTGATGCCACAGTCACAAGAGTCAAGTGACCTGAATTGCTGATTCACACCAGGGGACAGTTGCCCTGGACCATCATCTGTGCCTGTTAAGGGAATAAGTTGTTACTACAGCATAACCTAGTGCCATAGTTTGAATGTGTCTCCCAGATATTCATGTGTTAGAGACTGAATCCCAAATGCAACAGCACTGGGAAGTGAGGTCTAATGGGAGGTGTTTAGGCCATGAGGGCTCCGCCCTTAAGAATAGATTAATGCCATTATGAAAAGCACTCTCTGGAATGGGTTCTCTCTCTTGTGCTCTTGCCCTTCTGCCTTCTGCCATGTGATGAGACAGCAAGAAGGCCCTCACCAGATGAGAGTGCCTTGATCTTGGACTTCTCAGTCTCCAGAACTGCAAGAAAATTTCTGTTTTTTAGAAGTTAGTCAGTCTGTGGTATTCTGTTATAGCAGCACAAAATGAACTAAGACATCTAGCTTATCCCAGCAAATACAAAAGCAATTCTGGGTTTTTCAATCAACAACTTGACCCATTATTTTGACCTAGTGATTTTTTTTAACAATGAAATAAGGTAGGCAAACAAGTTATTGTCTTCTCTTTATTAGCACTATAGATCTAGAATACACAATGAACTTGGGAACCTGGCCTAACCCAGTACTACTATTTCTTTGGTTGCAGGAATTTGTTTTAATATTGAATTATAGAATGAATGGTCATATTTCACCCCACTCTTATAGCCTACTCAATCCCAAAGTCACAGTGCTGAGTCTGTTACTTCAATCATTTTGAGGTTTTAAATAAATTCTATATCTATAGTGAATGAACAAACATCTAATTAGCTAGATGAAAGGATACTGGTTAAAGTTTTTGTTTTCTGTTTTGCTTTTAGTTTCTAAAGTAATAGCTTTCCTTTAAAAATAACTGCTTGAAATCCAAATACATTCCATCTTACTGACTTCCTCTCTGTACTCCAGCAGAAGTATTAAATTGCTCAAATGTCTAGGGCACACAGAAATAATTATTTTGAAATGTCAGTTTTCGTTTCCATAAATATATGTATTTTAATAAGGCTGTATTTTAATGGTGACTTTTATAGTACTTGCCCACCATTTTGATTAATGGTAACTAGACTGTTGTGCATTTTGTATATTGGCTATACTTGTATGTAAAGACATTCTTATGTCCCTTTAATCCCAGCCCAAGTAATTACTACATACCTCATTTTATAGGTCTTCTATTAGGGAATGCTTACTGAAAGTTTCCCTTTGCCTTTGCCTTTAGATTATGTCCTTTTATAGTATAATGTACATTTTATCAGGACTTTAGCATTTGCTTTTAAGATACTTACTTTTTACCACTATTAAATAAAATACACTTTCCCTTAAGATTTAATTAAAAGTTTTGGGGGAGATGGATGTGATAGTAGTAACACATGCTTACAGCAGACAGTACCCCCCCTCCCCAGAAAAGAAAGATAAAAAAAAAAAGAAAATGAAAATCACTCAAAATTCTACACACCCAGTGGGGCATCACCCCACCCCACATGCAGTACAGGATCACACTGTTTATAAACTTTGTATTCTACTTCTTTCATCGCCTATGTTATTCTCTTACAATGATTTTTAGAGGCTTCCTAGTACTCCAACATTTGTTTGTTCTATAACTTAAGTATTTTCCTGTTTTGGAACATTTATTTCCAACTCATTACTATTTTAAACACTGTACTGTATATGCTCTTACATCATTTGTAATAGGCAGAATTATAATTCCTGCCCCAAAGGGGTCCACATCCTAATACCTGGAACCCCTGAATATGTGACTCTACATAATAAAATATGTGATTAAATTAAGAACCTTAAGATGGGCCCAGTCTAATCACAGGAGTCCTTAAAATAAGTGAACCTTTCCCAGCTGTGGTCAGAGAAAAGGATGTGAGATGGAAGAAAGGTCAGGGAGATGCTGCGTTCCTGGCTCTGACAACAGAGGAAGAGGCCACAAGCCAAGGAATGTGGATGGCCTCTAGGAGCTAGAAAAGGCCAGGACAGAAACAGACTGCCCCCTAGAGCCTCCAGAAAGGAATGCAGCCCTGCCACAGCTTGATTTTAGCCCAGGGAGATAGGTGTCAGATTTCTGATATACAAAACTAAGTTTGTGTTGTTTTAAGCCACTAAGTTTGTGAGAATTTTTTATGGTAGCAATAGAAAATTAATACCTTGTTTTTGTTTTTTAATTTGGTCATTCTTGAAATCAAAGAGAAACCTTCATTTTCAACAAAACTGCCTAGAAAAGATGGTTCATTGATCCACTATGAGCAAATCTTTCACAACATACAGCACCAAAATATAAATTTAAAAAATTAAACACACATCCTACCCCTCACACACACACATATCTCCCAAAGGCCACATGACCTAGATGAAAGGAGAAAAAAAAGCAAACTCAATACCCTCACACAAAAGTAGTCTTTGAATCAGGATTTATAAATGTATATGTTTTTTCCTATGAGTAAAGCAAACAGAAGAAAAACAAAAAATCAAAGGAGGTTGGGCACATAGCTCAAGCCTGTAATCCCAGCACTTTGGGAGGCCAAGGCAGGAGAATCACTCGAGCCCAGGAGTTCAAGACCAACCTAGGCAACAAAGTGAGACCCCATGTCTCTACAGTAAGAATACAAAAATTAGCCGAGTATGGTGGTGCATGCCTGTAGTCCTAGCTACTCAGAGGCTGAGGTGGGAAGATCACTTGAGCCCAGGAATTTGAGACCAGCCTAGGCAATATAGTAAGACTCTGTCTCTATAAGAAATAAGGAATTAGCTGGGTGTGGTGGCACATTCTTGTGATCCCAGCTACTTGGGAGGCTGAGGTGGGAGGATTACTCGAGCCCTGGAGGTTGAGTCTGCAGTGAGCCAAAATTGTGCTGCTGCACTCCAGCCTAGGCAACAGAGTGAGACCCTGTCCTTTAAAAAAAAAAAAAGCTGGGCTGAGGGGGCCCACCAAAGGGGTAAGGAAAAACTTATAGATGAAGGCCTCACAAGACTTAATACATAGACAGCATCACTGTGCATTATCTCAGACTTTTTCACAAGGTATTCAATCCTGCCTGTCATTCTTTATATTCAGGAAATACTAAAGTAAGAAAAGTGATTTTTTCTTTTCTTTTCTTTTTTTTTTGAGATGGAGTCTCACTCTGTCACCCAAGCTGGAGTGCAATGGCGCAATCTTGGCCAACTGCAACCTCTGCCTTCCGGGTTGAAGCAATTCTCCTGCTTCAGCTTCCCGAGTAGCTGGGATTACAGGCATGCACCACCACAGCCAGCTAAGTTTTGTATTTTAGTACAGACGAGGTTTCACTATGTTGTCCAGGAGGGTCTCAAACTCCTGACCTCAAGTGATCTGCCCGCCTTAGCCTCCCAAAGTGCTGGAATTACAAGCGTGAGCCACCATGCCTGGTCGATTAACTTTTAATAGACCATGCATTTAGGTTAATTATTTCTCTGGTTAAAAGCACTCCACAAAAATAGAGTTAGAAATAAATTTTAAAAGGAGGTGTATTTCTTTTTCTTGTTTGATAATATTTTATTGATTATAATGTTTTCTTGGTTTTTGCTTGTCTTTTATATAGAATAAACAGTTTAGCTTGGACTTGTGTAATAACATAATAAAATGTAAAAATTGACGCTATTAAAGGACTTAAACAATAAAATGATGGAAAGTAGTAGGTAGATTCTGCATGATAAGAAGCATATCCACAGCTCTGAATAGCTGAGCAAGTCTACAGGACTTTTCCTATGTTCATATTAATCACTAGGGGGCAACATAGACTATACCTTTAATAATCACATATCACAGTCAGATTGCGGATACAGGAAGTGAAAGCAGAGACATGAGTGGCAGAAGTCAGGAAGATAAAAGCTGCAACTAAAATCATCAGTTAATTTTGTGAACTGCATGAAACCATCAGTAACCAGTTATTTTAGTAGGATAACCTACTGAGTGAAGTCTTAGGAGCTTTCTCTTTTTATTTTTTATTTATATTTTTTTGTAGAGACAAAGTCTCCCTATGTTGCCCAGGCTGGTCTCCAACTCCTGGCCTCAAGCAATCCTCCCACCTCACCCTCTCAAGTAAAAGATTTTTCTTTTAATTTTTGAAGGAAATCAAGTAGACATGATCATTGTGCTCTGAAAGTCATGCACAGAATCATGTAGCGCATTAAAAAGTCATGAAAAATGGAATCCTTTTTTTTTTTTATCAAGCATACCTATCAATTACACATCAGTACAATCACTTTTTTTCTGTCCAGAGTGCCCAATCAATGTATCAATGTGGCCTTGTTTTAGTTTCCTTTTTTTTTTTTTTTTTTTTTTTAAAGAGATAGGGTCTCACTTTGTTGCCCAGACTGGTCTCAAACTCCTGGCCTCAAGTTATCCTCCCACCATGGCCTCCCAAATCACTGGAATTATAGGTGTGAGCTACCGCACAGCCAGTTTTGTTCTTTACATTGTATAATATACATGACATGAGTCATGTCATCCTTGCTCAGCTTCAAAAAACATGAAGGAAGCTTCCAAATGGGGAAAGAGCCAGTAATGGAGGGAAAATAAAACACCACCTTAGGAATTGTGTTTTTGATTTTCATACTTACTAGTAATTTTTTAAATATGTTTATATCTACCCAATGTTTTGGTTGTATGTGTTTTAATTATTAAATGCTATAAATCTATTTTGGGAGAAAGTTAGTTACAATAATGAATGCATTTAAAAAAACACTAATACCTAATTGTTGTGCATATCTTTTGCTATTTTCCTTAGAAGTTACTTCCTGGAAGTTCTTAAGGTGCATGACATATATGGCCAACCAATTTATAATCCCATCCCACAATGTATAAAAGTGCCTGCCTCACTTGCCCCCACCAGTACTGAGGCCCAATTTTATATTTTTCCTGTTGTTTCATGTTCTTTCATTTAAATTGACCATAGCAATTTTATGGAACAATAATGTTACCGAAACACCAGTTCAGTCTAGGCCCCATTGCTCACCAGAGAGGCAATCGCTAAGATGACAAGCGTTGCCAGGGAAGAAGCCTTTATTGCATTACGGGTGATGTCAGCCGAAGAAACAGAAGCCAAACCTCCAATCCGTTCCTTCCCCAAGCCTAAAGTTAAGGATTTATATAGCAAGGAAGGAAAACAGGCGGGGCAAGGGAGCAGACAGTTGAATGAGGAGTCTAGTGTCTCATTGTAACCACTGTGGGGAAATGGGAATTAGAGAGGGGTAAGGAAGAGGAGTCGGTCAGCAGGTAGCAGTGCGTTTCACTGTAAGTTCTCAAGCTTCAGTTCTATGGGCACCCCGCTTGTGGGAAAATTTGGTCAGTTTCAATAAGAGTAGTCAATTAGGGGTGCTATGTGCCAAACACCATCCAAACGCTAATTCATTAAACTTCACAACTGCATGAGGTATGTTGCTATTATCATCCCCGTTTTACAGAAGAGGAAACTGAGGCACGGAGAGGTTAAGTATGTGGTGAAGCTGGAGTTAGAATCCAGGCAGCCTGGCCCCAAAGAATATGCTGTTTAATGGAGCCTCTACTAAAATGGAAAGTTCTAGAAACCAGCAGTGGTTTTTCTCCCCGCCTCCTTTATTACTCAGGTGGTTCTCATTTCCCCCAGCATGAGCATAATCCAGTGTGTAATAATCATCACGTGGATGTCTATACATGGTGACTGGTGTGTGAAAGTTCACATTGTAAGGACTGTAGTCCTGTCTTTGCCTGTGGTACTTCGTCTCACAACCATAGGATAATTGAAATATTCTCTAGTAATTAAAACTCACTTCTGGCCGGGCAAGGTGGCTCACGCCCGTAATCCCAACACTCTGAGAGGGTGAGGAGGGCAGATCACTTGAGCCCAGGAGTTCAAGACCAGCCTGGCAACATGGCAAAACCCCGTCTCTACAAAAAATACAGAAATAAAAAATTAGCCGGACGTGATGGCTTGCACCTGTAATCCCAGCTACTTGGGAGGCTGAGATGGGAAGATCACTTAAGCCCAGGAGTTGGAGGCTGCAGTGAGCCATGATCACACCACTACACTCCACCCTGGGCAACAGAGTGAGACTCTGTCTCAGAAAAAACGACTCGTTTCTTTAACCACTGGGTAATTGTATCCTTCCCCATACTTTTTCCTTCACACACACTACTGTACACCAGATACCACCATGAGTACTAGAGACAACACTCAGACAAGCAGACAAGGCTGTATTAGTTGTGATACTGCAACACAGATCCCCAACAGTAGTTCAAACAAGACAATCTATTTCTCTTCCATTTCACAGTCCCCGGGGCAGGAGCCCAGGGCTTAGAATGGCAAGGGCCTCTCTGGTTTAGAAGGCCCAGGTACTTACCTTGTTGCTCTTCTCTAACCTGGAGCAGGGGTCGGCAAACTTTCTGTAAAGGGCCAGAGAGTAATTATTTTAGGCTGTGCCTGCCAAAACTCTGTATTTGCAGGTAACTGAGTGTTTGTGTTCTAATACAATTTTATTCAAAAAGCAGGCCACAGGCCATAATCTGCTGATCCTTCCCCTATAGCAGTGCTCCTTAGGCTTTGATGTGCATACAAATCACCTGAGGAACTTGACGAAATGAGAATTCAGGTGCAGTAAATCTGCATTTCTAACAAGCCCTGGGATGAAGTCAAAGCAGTGGACAGACCACTCTTTTAGCAAGGCCCTAGTGTGCTGTCCTCATCAGCCCCCAGTCTACTGAGTATTTCTCCCAGTGGATAGAGGGAAAGGGAAGGGCACACCCCTTCCTTAGAGTTGACCTATCACTTCTGCTCACATGCAACGCAGTCCCACCTGGGTACAGGGGAGGCAGAAAAATAGTCTGCAAGCTGAGAAGCAGGCACGCAGCTAAAGCGTCTCTTCCCATCATGAAACCCACCTGCTCACATTCTTGTCCACACACATTCCAAAGGGCGAAGCGTTCCTGCTCCAGTTCATGCTTAGACCTAAGCTTGAGCCTTGGTTCCTGGCGCCTAGCAGTCTCCTACTGCCAGCTTCACATCCCCTCCGGCGACTGACCTTTTCAGCTCCCCTTTACAGTTGGCCGCCTCTGCATCCATCTCACCTTCTGTCCTCTCTTCCACTTACTCTAGCTGGGCTGGCTGCAAGGACGCCAGCCGCCGACACCACCCCAGCATGCACACCCGCTCCTTGTCCACGTGACTCAGTCTGTGGCACCGACACATGTGACCTCTCCCTCCCCTTCATGGCTTCTGCTCCCTCATCAGCGAGCCTTCCTTCCTAATTCCCGCAGCTGCCTCTCCTGCCCCGCCTCTCAACACTGGGCCCCCAAATGCTCCTCCCCAAGAGGCTCCCTCCCACCCTCGCTTTAGACACTGTCAACAGACCAAAGGCGCCCCATTGATGTCTCCAGCCCGGAACTTCACAGAGCTTCAGGTTTGTGGGTGGACTGCCTGACTGCCTATCCACATGGATATGCTGGGCCTTTCACACGGAACATGTCCAGCCACAATTCTCCATCCCCTGCCTCCCACCAGATCCTAACCATAAGAGCTTCCTCTCAGTCCGGGACCCAGGTCTCAAGGCCCAACCAGAATTTCTTGCCTTCCTACTCCCCGTCAACCCCACCCCGCCAGCCTGAATGTGCACATATAACAAGCCCAACCTCCATCATCTCCACAGTTGCAGCTGACCTTGATTTGGTGTTACGTTACTCCTGAACTCCCAGAATCCTTTCTCCACTCAACCGCCAGCTGATTTTCAAAAAATTTAAGTCAGATAACGTTCTTTCTCACTTAAAAAGCTCCAATGGGCTGGGCTCAATAGCTCACACCTGTAATCCCAGCACTTTGGGAGGCCAAGGCGGGCTGATCGCTTGAGGCCAGGAGTTCAAGACCAGCCTGAACAACTTGGTAAAACCCAGTCTCTTAGCTGGGCATGGTTGGTGCACACCTGTAGTCCCAGCTATTCTCAGGGTCTGAGGTGGAAAGATCGTTTGAGCCCAGGAGCTCAAGGATGCAGTGAGCCATGATTGTGCCACTGCACTCCAGCCTGGGTGACAGTGTGAGATCCTGTCTCAAAAAATAGAAAATGCTCCAATGGCTCCTAATTGCACTTTGAGTAAAACCTATCCTCTTTTTGGTGGCTACAAGGCTTTATAAAGGTGGCCTCTGCCTGCCTGTTCAGCCTCACCTCCTTCCACTGTGGCCTCCTGCCTCAGGACCTTTGCACTTGCTGTTTGCTCTGCAGGGAAGATTTGCCCAGGGATCTTGGCACACTGCCTTTTTTTTTTTTTTTTTTTTTTGAGATAGTCTTGCTCTGTCGCCCGGGGTGGAGTGCAGTGTTGCTGTTTCGGCTCACTGCAACATCTGCCTCCTGGGTTCAAGCAATTCTCCTGCCTCAGCCTCCCGAGTAGCTGAGATTACAGGTGCCTGCCACCACGCCCAGCTGATTTCTGAATTTTTAGTAGAGAAAGGGTTTCACCATGTTGGCCAGGCTGGTCTCAAACTCCTGACCTCAGGTGATCTGTGCGCCTTGCCCTCCCCAAAGTGCTGGGATTACAGGCGTGAACCACCATGCCTGGCCTCTGGCTTTCTTCTTATTCAAGTTTTACCTCAAATGTACCTCTTCACAAACTTTCCCCGACCACTCAGAAGGACCGGCTGCCACCTCCCCCAGTTCGTCACATCACCATTTTGTTGCTCTCACAGCACACATCAGTACCTGAAATATTGTTTGAACCTTTTCCTCCCTAACCTTCCCCTTCTGGAATGTGACCTGGCAGCAGGACCGTGTCTGTCTTGCTCTCTGCTGTATCCAAGGTCCCGGGGACAGCTCCTAGGAGGTACCCAGTAAATGTTTTTCAATAAAAAAACTTCCAGTTTCCGTATTTAGTCTTAGGGCTAAAGATAATATTCCAATAAAAGTGGGTATTTGTGTTTTCCTTTGTATATATAGTGCAATAAAATCTTATTTTGCTTTCTCATATTTTCCTGATAGGGAAATGAGGATCGATGAACGTAGAAAAATAAATTAGAACAATAGCACCGAAGCAGAATAACATCTAATGTCTCATTCTCTCTAGTAGGAATGGGAGACATCACCACCATTCATCCGCAGAACTTCGTATTATCTCAAACACACTCCGCACTCATCGAGCGGTAACTCCCTGTTCCCTCTTCCCCCAGCCCCTGCCCACCACTGTTCTTTGTCTCTGAATTTGACTTTAGATCCCTCATAGAAGTGGGATCACATATTATTTGTCCTTTTGTGTCTGGCTTATTACACTTACATAATGTTTTCAAGGTTCATCCATAGTATAGCATGTATCAGAATTTCATTCTCTTTTAGGGCAGAATGATACTCCTTTGTATGGACACATTACACTTTTGTTCATTATGTGTTAATGGATATCTGGGCTGTTTCCACCTTTTGCCTATTGTGAATAACGCTGCCATCAACCTGGGTGTGAAAATATGTCTAATCCTTGCTTTCTTTTGGCTATATGCCTAGAACATAATTATTTTTAATGTTATTCAATACTGGGGGTCGGGGAGGGAAGTGTCTGCTTCACGCAGATCAGGATTCTAACCTGGCAACCTTGGGACTTTCTAGAGGCAGTGCATGCCTGGAGGCTCTCCGTGCAGGGCAGCCCCCCAAGCTTACAAGACACTTGTCTCAGGCCTCCACACAACCACAGCAAAGAGAAATAAATTCAAAGCAAGCAAACCCTGCATTCCACTCACAAATCACGCCTACTGAATTTCTAATATAAAGACAAAACAAAATGTAAAAATAACTTTTTATTAAAAGTTAAAAACATATTCAAAGTTTACACATGCAAATAGATAATTCCACCATAATATGAACTTCTAAGATCAATGACAAGCAGATACAAACCGGTCTGGAAAACATGCATCAGCCACCTAACCTCCCCTAAGTTCCTATACTCAGGGTTAGCCTGCTCACTGGGAGGGAAACCACACACTTACCAGAATGTTCCTGCTGCTGTCATTGCCCCCAAGGACTGGCCTGACAGAGGAACAGCCCTTGCCGTAAGTGGGATGGAGAGAACAGTTCTAGGGCTCTCTGCTTCATCCCAGCAACACACCAGGACTGGAAAGAACCCCCCGCTGCACCCCCAAGCAGAGTCCACCCAAGCAAACAACTTGTTAAGCTGGGCTTTCCAGCAGTTCTCAACGGCTGAGCAACTTCATTTTTTGAAAGCTCCCCAGATGGTTGTGATGCTCAGGAGGAGGAAAACCATAGCAGCCATTTCTTGCTCAACTCCTACCTTCTTAGAAGTCTCCCTTGTTCAGGAGTTCGAGACCAGCCTGACCAACAGGGTGAAACCTCGTCTCTACTGAAAATCTCTATTAACTGGACGTGGTGGCACACGTGCGCCTGTAATCCCAGCTACTCAGGAGGCTGAGGCAGGAGAATTGCTTGAACCCAGGAGGCAGAGGTTGCAGTGAGCCAAGATCGCACCACTGCACTCTAGCCTGGGCGACAGAGCGAGACTCTGTCTCAAAAAAAAAAAAAAAAAAAAAAAAAAGACGTCTCCCGTGTTCAGATTTAAAACATTCGGCATGCCTGACACACTTCTTGACTTTTGAAAGTTCTGACATATGGATGCTTTGTTTTTACCACTGATTTATGAAGAGTTAAAAAAAACAGAGCACCCAGATTTCATTAAAAAATTTATTTTCATATAAAAGTGCCAAAATATCCACCAATGTCATAATCTATCTCAATAACCAGTTTACACTAGTAATCAAAACACAAGCCTCTTTATTCACATTGTTTAAAAATCCAATTATTTTCACACATTCCCACAGTAACTCGAGTCTCTAGACAGTGGGAAATTTGCATTCCTATTCGCTGTGGTAGTCCATATGTCCAGGTTCATATAGGCGCGAAACGGGTTGAACCCCGGGTAGTATTCCTTGCACACGACCGCTTGGTTTTCCATGTGGGTCGAATGTTCCGTGGTGGGGTTGATGGGGCAGCAATTTTCATACACATCGCTTTGCGGGGCCCAGATGGAACCAAAAAGTCCAGACATTGGAGACAAGCTTCGGGTGCTTGTGAGGTAGGGCTGAAGTATAAATGAGGAAGGAAAAATAAGTTAAAAGAAAAAAAAAAGCCTTAGAAAGGTGAATACACATCAGCGAATACTACAATGCTATCAAGTTACTTGGAAGTTATTAGACTACTCTCAATTTAAATCTGGGTTGCTTTAACTCCATTTTTTCTCAAAGGGAGGATTGTGAAATCCTCATCTAATGGGATGAACTTATTTGCAACCCGGGGAAGAACCCACAGGCCAAATACCCTTTATCTGGAAAAAAACAAAAACAAGTGTCAAGCGGATGTGAAAGGAGAAGCCATCGGGCTTCTGAGCAGGGAGGGTGTGCTCACAGGCAGGGAGCTCTGGGACCCTGACCACCCACTGACCTTCCTGGGACTTTCATCTCGTATCGGTGAAGTAAAGATCAGTGAGTCCACATAAAGACAGCTGTGTCACACAGAGGGCTGGCCCATGTTCAATTTTATCTACAAAGGACCATTGCTTGGTGTGTTTGGGGATGTTTTTCATTTGGGGTGGCCAGAATGTCAATGTCTGCAAGACCCCACCCATCTAATTATTACATGTCAGTTTCCTTCAGAGGGTGGCCAGCCCTGGCTTCTGTGATCTAAAAGAAGCAAGCCAGGCTTTGGCTGGTCCAAACCCAACGCTAAAGCTAGCTGAGACCAGGATTAAGGAAGCAGTGGAAACAATTCAGAGCTGCCCAGGGGTTCACGGCACAGGATGGGCAACACTGACCGGAGAGCTGATGAAACTGGCATGTCCCCAGGCAGCAGGCATGTTGGGTGGGGTGTTCCAGGTAGACTGAGAGTTGTGATCAATAAAGTCTGTCTGAACATCTGCAGGACAGGGGAAGCCATTGGCATAGTTCATGTTTTCTACAAAGAATGGGAGAATATCATCATAGGTAAACATTTTCATTGAGAACTGAATTCTCACTCTCAGGCAAAAAAGCTTTCAAGGTCTCACTATACTGACAAGTTACAGACATAAATACTTGGTCCGTGTGGACCAGGAGAGTCGTTGCAACATCATTCTCAAGATTAAAACTTTTTATCAGACACACAACCTGGGAAGCCCTCAATGTGGAAGGTCTTCCTCCTGGCTTGTTTTTCTCTATTTGATCACTTGATGGGAATCTTTCTATTACACAAAATACATTAAAATACTACTAGATATCTAAATAGTGTCAAGGTTCTTGCCAGTCTTTAAAATGTTTTTATTACCTGTCATGCCAACCTCAGCGACCTACACATATATCATCTGGGCTGATACAGCAATCCAAAACCAAGGACTCCTTAGATACCATTAAGAACATAATGAACACAGACCCTCACAATCATAACATTCCCAAAGCACCCCCTTGTGGTTAGCATGGAGCAATGCATGTATCAAAATCTAGATAAGAATGATACATCCCTTCCCTGAAAGGGCAGCTCTAGTATAAGAAACCATGATCCAACAGTAGTGCACAATAGAGCATTTTCCAGTTGACCAGGGATATCCCATAGCTCTCATTTTTTTATTATTACAGATGCTTGAGCCCAAGCATCTGCAATTTTCCACAATTTCCCCTCCAAGCTTCTTTCCTTCCTTCTGCAGCACCACCCAAGGGCAGAGAAGTTAAGGACATAATAGGAAGCAGGCCAATGTTTCTATTTCACATGGGACTTGACTGCCTAAAAAGAAGAGCGAGCAGCTAAAGCCCCGGCTTCCCAATGGATACCCAACAATGTTACATCTACATGGATCCAAATGACCTAGTTCTACCTAACTGGAAGGACTAAATGGATTAGGGTTATTTTTGAAGCCCCCAGACACCCAAAATTGAGGGCTTTTTGAGGGTCATATAAAATTATATATGGCATCAGTGCACAACTGGATCCACATGAAGCCATTCGGCAGTCTACTGCAAGCTCATTCTCAAAGTCTGCTCGCTGTTAAAAGGATTCTTCTTAGTCCACACACTTCCTGCTTTGACCTTCTAAGAATAAAATAATGGCGTTGGGATTGTCTGAAGAGCCCTTACCTTCTGGAAAGGCATTGTAATCGTTCAATTCCAATGGACAGTATGCGCTGGAAAACTGGCCTTCGCATGTTGCACTCCAATCAATGAAACTGCCACAAAAAACAAGTGGTCTAATCAGAAACAGGATGTCAAGACATCAAGTAAAGAAAATGGAAAATGATTTTACTGCCTAGCATCCTAATCACTGTGAATTCCCCAATTTTGGAAAATAAAAGATGTACTTTCTCAAGTCACAGAATCAAAGGCTTACTAAATGCTGATCACTAGTGACATGCCATCTGCAGGATGGACGGCTGGACTAGGAGCACACTTGTTTTTAACTATGCTTGTTAAGTCTAACTAGAGACAGAATAGAGAGCCGTGGCTTTATCAGCACTGTGAAAGAACAGCTGGAATACCTTTAAGTGTCTTTGTGCACATCTGAAGGACTTAAACATGTTCCATTAAAAACGTCCACTCAGAGCAAGACCAGCATTCATCTTAGACAAGCATAACTATAAAGACTATACTTCATTATACTTTGATCCCTATTGCAACCTAGATTCTTATTATAGAAATGAGATAGGAAATACTGTTGTAATAAGCTGAACCAAGAAAACCATCAAATGGATTCTGTGATTAAATATCTAACATTTTCTTAAGACTCCCTAATAGAATGACATATTAATGTCAAATAGCAAATTTGAGAAACTGCCATTGTGTAACTATTTTTCAATATTCAAATTATTTGATCTTTTAAAACTTTAAATTTGGGCCAGGTGTATTGGCTCATGCCTATAATACCAACACTTCGGGAGGTCAAGGCAGGAGGATAGCTTGAGACCAAGAGTTCAAGAGCAGCCTAGGCAACAAAGCAAGATCCTGTCTCTACAAAAAAAAAAAAAAAAAAATTAAAAATTAGACCAGCATGGTGGCACACACCTGTAGTCCCAGTTACTTGAGAGGCTGAGGCAGGAGAACCGCTTGAACCCAGGAGTTCAAGGCTGCAGTGAGCTATAATTGCACCACTGCGCTCCAGCCTGGGCGACAGAGCAAGACTCTGTCTCTAAAAAATAAATAAACAAACGAATAAATACAACGTTAAACGTGTTCAAGAATAATGCCACAGAAAAATGAACAGCTTTGCTCTGCTAGCAGTTAGGAATTATGAGTGTTTTTTTTTCAAATCTGCCTCTAATATATGAAAAAATCGTCTTTTTTAAAGACGTTTTTAAAAAATAACGACACTGTCACCAGCTTTCTTTCTTTTATTTCATGTTTCTCTCAATGCCTGGTTTAGTCCCAGTGCAACTCTAAAAGGCAGAAGGAAACGCACAGCTAAAGTACACCAAGGAAGAAGCCTAGCCTTCATTTTTGTAAGGAAACCCTAAGAAACTGAACTCAAATTCCAACTGCAAGCCCTTAGACTAAGCAAGGCACCAATCAGAGAAGTGAAGCTGTACCTATTATGAACCGGGGCCGACTCCTGAATCACACAAGGCACGCCGTTCTCCAGGGTGCAGTTTAAGCTGCTTGTCACACACACTGGCGGAGTGGGCCACAGGTCTCCAGGTGAGTAAAGACCTACGGAAGAGAACAAGGCCTGAGTCCACCCTATCCTCACCTGGCCCTCATCCTACCCTTCCTGCACCTGCCCTTCCCTCCAGAAAACACTCCCTAATGTCACCCACACATGCTGACTAACTCCTTTCGGAATATAATTTCAGGATATAATTCTGAAATACAGCATATTGTTTTGACCGTTTCTTCAGACAGTGTCCGATTGTCTCTTGACCTGGATGACAAGATGAGACTCACATAACAAATATTTGAGGAACTACTTTCTGCAAGGCCCCATTAAAGATACTGAGGATACAGCAGTGAACAAGCTACATTCAAGTGAGCAAAGACAAACAACAAACAAAGTGTAGCATGCCAGATAATGTGCGTGCCATGATGGCAAATACAGCATTTTTTTTTGGGTGGGGGGAGGGATGGTCTCACTCTGTTGCCCAGGCTGGAGTGCAGTGGTGGCATCTTGGTTCACTGCAACCTCTACCTCCCAGGTTCAAGTGATTCTCATGCCTCAGCCTCCTGCGTAACTGGGACTATAGGCACACACCACCATGCCCAGCTAATTTTTATATTTTTAGTAGAGACAGGGTTTCACCATGTTGACCAGGCTGCTCTCAAACTCCTGGCCTCAACTGATCCACTGCCTCGGCCTCCCAAAGTGTTGGGATTACAGGCGTGAGCCACCACGCCTGGCCAAATACAATGATTTAAGATAGGATGGTCAAAGGCCTCACTGAGAAAACAGCTCCTCAAAGACGTGATTGACGTGAGGAAGTGAGTCCAGTGGGTACAGGGAAGCACATTCCAGGCAGCAGAAACAGTACCACAAAAGCCCTGAAGCAAGGTGTGCCTGGGGAGTTCAAACAGCAAGGATATCAGTGTAGCCAGGAAGGAGAGGGGAAAGTGGAAGAGTAGGGGATGAGGCTATAGAGAGCGGATTGGGAGCAGAGAAGACAGAGCCTGTGGGCCCCTTGAAGAATTTAGGCATTTACTTTGAAGCTACTGGAAGGTTTTGAGCAGAGTTGACTTCTTGGACACAAGTCTCTAGGGATCTCTCCCATTTCTGCCAGAGGCACTGGCAACCTTTCTCCTGGACTATCTTTTCATAGATGTTTGCTAAGCAAAAGCCTCGGAACATATAGTGTCTCTTTCTGGAGCAAAGGGCAGGCATGCTTGTTGCCTATTATAAAAGCTTTGGGGTCCCAAAGCTCAGGGTTCTTCTCCTGTAGCACAACCCACTGTGTGTGGCATCCATCTAGGGCTGTCTGAGTCACCCCTATATTAGATATTAGATATTCTGTGATTAAATATCCCCATGGGGCTCAGGGGAACTCATGCAAAGAGGCTGGTGCTCATGCAGTGGGCTTGCCCCACCTATATTTCAGCTTTATGTGGAAAAATGGCAGGTACCCCTCTAGGGAAACTTTATCCCCCACTCTGCACCTGAAGTGAAGTTGTTGGCTCAGTGGGCCCTCAATTCCCAAGGGCTCCCTTAAATGCCTGGGCCTGGCTCACTGATGGCTGGATCAGGCTGAAATCAGACAGCATCTACTGGGAGGCTGCAGCTGTCCCACCTCAATGCCCACCATGCAGAACTGAAAAGGACCACAACCATTTTGATCAGTGGGCAGAACCCAAAGTGGTTCTCACAGCTCTGGCTAATTCTGCCCTGAAGAAACCCTGCTAGGTGTAAACAACTCTCAGGCTATTGCCAATGGTTTAGGTGCTTGGTCTGCCACTTGGGAAGCAACAGATGGGCAGATTGAAGACACTGTTCTCCAGGGCTCTGAAATGTGAAAATGGATCTTGGCTTCTGATTAAACCTTACAGCCAGTCAAGATAGAGGTCCTTGGTAAGGGTATGTTCTCCACTGCGGCCAGCTGGAATCAAGATACTGATCAGGTCTGCATCACCCAGGCTGCCATTGTTGTTGCCTGGGTGCATCATTGCCCCAGACATGGCAACACTTCCAGCATCACACAACGGGCACACAGTAGGCTTCCTGGAAGGATAACTGGTTCACGCACATCCTATGGGCAGTAATCACTAGGAAGGAGCTATCCAGTTAGAAATGGCTGGTATGGAATTTGCTGATACTAGCTGAAGTGACTGAAGACAGCACCTGGTCCCTGGAAGGCATTTGGATCAGCCTCAACTCACTGGCCGTGGTTGTTACAGATGACAGAATGGCTCCAGATGTTCTCCTTGCAGGCCAAGGTGCAGTCTATGCAATCACTAACACATCCTGCTGTACCTGGAGTAATGCCTCTGGCCAAGTGGAGAGATCAACACAGAAACTTAAAGAGAAAGCCATCTGGCTCTCTAAGGTAGACCCTGGTGGTCTGTGGGATTTGTTCAGCTGGTTGGGTCTGAGACTCTAGGGCATGGCTGAGGTCAATACTGCAAAGTGGCCTCATCCTGCTGCGTAGGCTCCTGTGGACAGCCGCTGTTAATAAATGTATGAGACAGACAAAGCAGATTGGTTCCACCTTCCCTAGGTCTGATTAAGAATTGCTTATGGAATGATGTACGCATGTGAAAATCTACCAGAAGCCAGGGCTACATAGAAATAAGGGGTGTGTATGTTGTGAGACAATTCTCCCTGGGTCTTTCAGGTTTCTGTGCTTCTTATGAGAAGCAACACTGGCTCCTTTATTCTGACCTATCTTTCCCAGGGCATTTGTTATGCAAAGTCTCAGAAGGAAGAGTGTCTCCCTTTGGGGCCAGGCACAAGTTTGCTTCAAGTACAACACAATAGAGTGAATGTCTCCTGCATATACATTTGGTAGTTGTCTGGGTCAAAGAAAGACTCAGACCTTTGAAAGTGGATGAGATCACCAAGAAAGTGTGCACAGACAGAGAAAAGCACAGCACCAAGGCCTGCTCTCTGGAGGGCTCCAGGGTCATGAGGTGGGGAGATGGGGAGAAGCTGGGTCAGGAACCTAAGGTCTACCAGCCAGAATAGAACGTCCAGTGTCTGTCACAGGCCAATATGGGGACTGAAAAGACTTAACCAAGCACTCAGCAATGTGCAAATCACCAGGGACCCCGACAGCACGGTTTCAAAAGAGCAATGGTGGCAAAAGCCAGATTACAGGGGTTTCCAGGGAGGAGAGGAATTTGAATGGGCAACTCACATAATTCTTCTAAGGAGTCTCCTAATGACAGGGGCAGAGAAACAGAGCAGCCACTGAAGAAGGCAGTCAAGAGAGAGCTTTGGCTATTGTTGAATTTTTAATGACGGGAAGTATTATAGTAGATTTGTGTGCTGATGAGAATGACCCATTAGAGAAAAACTGATGATGCAGAAGGGAAATCTGCAGTAATACCCTTGGAGAGAAGGGCTGCACTGACAATTCTTCAGGCTACAACAGGAGAGAGGCAGAGAATGGCATGACATGGTGGGCTGGTGGAGAGGGCAGTGGGAGCTTGCTGAAGGCCTGTAACCACTTCTCTCTCTTCTAGTAAAGCAAGAAGCAAGATCAAGTAAACGAGGCACGAGGCTTTGGAACTGTGGTGACAGAGGGGCAGGGCGGGAGGACACAGGCACTATGTGAAGTGGGTGGTGGGGAATCCACAGGGGCAGCTGGCATGGGGAATGCTGCTCTCCAGCTTCACTTGCCTGCACAGGAGCAGGTGGGGCACTAGGCAAAACCATGGCTGGGGCTTTGCAATAAAGGGAGAGGAGTCGAGGAAATGACTGTAACAATGGATCAGGCCATTTCAGCTGGGCAAGAAGGAAAACACGGCTGTGAGGGAGGTGAGGGAGTACAAAGGTGATGGGCCCACAGCTTTGCAGGCAACAGACTGCAGACAAGATGTACTCTGTCAGTGGGGCCAAGGTAAAGGCACTTGAAGTACACACACAAACCTGGGTTAGAACACCAAACCGCACGTATATCTCCAACTGATAGCAAAGCAGAACGGCACATGCTGAAGGGTAGATGCTCTGACAGTTTTTATTTTTCCACACCATTAAAATCCTACCTTTCTCTCACAGAAAAAAAGGTAGTACCATCTAAACCGCCCCCACATCTTGCCTTTGCAAACTATGGATTATTTAATTTTAGATTTTTTTAATTGAAAACACTTATTTTACTGGACTAGTCACTAGGTTCGCTATTTCTGTTGATAACTGGACAAGTCCAAAATTCATCCAAGGAACGACATAAAGTATTTCACCTTCAAGGGTTAAAATTCTCCAATGTGCAGAGCAGCTTTTAAATCCAGTGTTAAATTCTATGACCAAAAGCAAGTATGTGTATTAAAGACACAGAGAATAAAAATCAGGTTTATCCTGCCACAATTCCTGACCCACGTTAGGCAAGAAAGAAGCCCTAGAATCAAACAGAAAACAAAAGACAAAGAGAGGCAGAAGAGGAGGAAAAGAGAAGAAAAATGAGGGAGGACTGGAATTCACCTCCCATCAGAGCCCCCAGGCAGGAGAGGTTTCCTTCCCACCCATTCCTACTTCCATGCACCTAGGCAACTGCCTTCCCCGCAGGCAGAAGGTCTCAGCACTGATGCCTGAGCAAGGCGGGTCCCCAAGGCTGCTGAGGCTGAATTAGTAGGCTTCTAACACAAAGTGAGTTGGGGAGGAAGGGAAGCAGGCCAGGGAAAGTGGTAAGCAGGTGAGGTGCTGCACCCTCAGCCTAGGCACACTCCCCAATCAGCCTCCTTCCCTTGGGCCACGCATCTACCTTCTGTACTTTTCTGTCATCTCTGACTAGGGAAGGTGAACTAAATGAATCAGGAGTCTGCTGTGAGGGGCCTGGGATTATTCCAGGACATAGGGCATCTGTGCCTCAGCTGTAGGGAGGGGGCTCACTATTGATGCACAAGGTCAGCTGGGGCCCCAATGATGCCCGTCCACAGAGTAGGTGCCTTCCTGATGTATGAACGTGTGGCTTGCAGAAGGGGCTGGTGGGGAAATGGCCCTGTCCCACCCCGCCTGCTCTGTCTTCTCAAACTCATCAGCCAGGAATACAGACAGCACAGAACCCTTGGCTGATGTCTGCAGCAAGACGAATGCATCTCACCTTTATCTTCTTCAACACCTGTGGGCCCGGCAGGAAGGCTGGGACAGGAAGGCTCTGCGTATTGTGGGAGACTATTCACGGTCCTGTGGGGAAGAGGGCAAAGGAGGAACGACTCATTTTTTCTGCACGAGGAAATACTGATATTGTATAACCACGTCTGATTGAGTTTTCACTCAATTGAAGTCTTGGGGAAGAGTTTCTTGGGGAAGAAACATACAGATATAAAGGATGTAAAGTTACACAGCCAGAAAAGAATTGAGGAATATTAAATTCCCAAATCTAGCAAAGTCTTGTCATAACCAACAACAAAAAAAATTAACTAACATAACTATGAGGTAACCTGTGGTTTTAAATCTACCCGTCAGGTAGATTTTCAGACAGGTAGCCACCTGTCTGTATTTCCAGGTAGTTCACCTTCCCTAGTCAGAGATGACAGAAAAGTACAGAAGGGAGATGCGTGGCCCAAGGGAAGGAGGCTGACTGGGGAGTGTGCCTAGGCTAGCAGTTAGCAGCAACTCTTACTCCTTTGCTGACAACCTACCCCCAATAAACCCATGAAGAGCTTTCCTGTGCACTAGTCAAGTTTCCTTCCTCACAAACTCACCCTCTTAACTGCATCCTTTGTCCTCTTACCAAGAGGGAGGTACCTAAGAAACCAAGTTCATTTCTCACACTGAACTCTCCTCCTTCTTACCCACGCTCCTCGTCTCTCACTCAATAAATTGTACTTGTTTATTTTGTCCAGTGCTGCAGAAATCATCATAGGGCAGAACTGGAAACATGTATCTACTAGGTTCTTGCAAAATTTCCTCAATTATCAATGCTCAGTTTTATTTCAAGGCCTAGCAAAGGGTAAATGATTCCCATCTTTATAATAACTACTGCTTCCTCCTTCTATATTCAGAAATAAGGTGTTCTTTTCTGAGACAGGATCTCGCTCTGTTACCCAGGCTAGAGTGTAGTGGTGTGATCATAGCTCATTGCAGCCTCGATCTCCTGGGATCAAGGGATCCTCCCACCTTAGCCTCAGCGAGTAGCTGGAAATACAGGCATGCGCCGCTACGCCTAATTTAAAAAGAAAAAACGAAATTCTTTTTAGAGATGGAGTTTCATTATGTTACCCAGACTGGTCCTGAACTCCTGGACTCAAGAGATCCTCCCACCCTGGCCTCCCAAAGTGCTAGGATTACAAGTGTGAACCACCACGGCTGGCCTCAAAACTTAGGTATTTTCCAACGTGGCTACCTGTCTGAAAAAAAATAGCGATACCTGAGCCTCTCCCACATGAACCATGTTTACTTGCGCCACTCCTGAATTAATAAAATCAGATTTTACTTTCCTGCATCTTTAAAAAGTTTTCATATTTTAACCTGCAGAACCAAGTACAAAGAAGAAACACAATAATTGGTAGAAAAAGCAGTACACAAAACATACTGTAAAAGCTGGAAAATAAAAAACTTACATGGGATTGCAGATGTTATGAGAAAGATTCAAGGAGATGGGAGCTTCAGAAGGAAAATCATTTTGTGAAACACTGTCTCCTGCATTAAAAGAAACACATTATCACAAGTTTCAAAAAGTACACTTCAACTGTATATTCGGTATTAAAATGCATAGGTTATTAATATCATTAATGCATGACTGATTTTTCACTTTAAACTGATATTCTCACATTTTTTAATTAAACATTAAACATGAATCGTGCAATTATACTACAATTATGAACATTTAGGTATATTTCTTTACAATCTCTTTTTGTTGTTGTTGTTTTGTTTTTTTTGAGACAGAGTCTCACTCTGTTGCCCAGGATGGAGTGCAATGGTGTGATCTCGGCACACTGCAACTTCCACCTCCCGGGTTCAACCAATTCTCCTGCCTCAGCCTCCCAAGTAGGTGGGATTACAGGTGTGCACCACCATGCCCAGCTAATTTTTGTATTTTTAGTAGAGATGGGGTTTTGCCATGTTGGCCAGGGTGATCTTGAACTCCTGACCTCAGGTGATCCACCTGCCTCGGCCTCCCAAAGTTCTTTACAGTCTCCTTTATGTGTGTGTATATGTATAAAATTGGAATCATATTTCACATATACATTGTCTTTTGTTTTTTTACACCATTTATTACACTGGGGACATTTCCCTACTATTATATAACCTTCAAATGCAACTTGAAGACTGCATACTATGCTACTGTACAGCAACACCATTAATAATTTTCATCATTCTACTAATGTTAGCCTTTCCCTCAAGCAAAAGACACACTTGTAGTTTTTCTTAACTAATGTACCCCCTTTTTTTTTGTCGAGACAGAGTCTCGCTTTGTCACCCAGGCTGGAGTGCAGTGGCGATCTCGGCTCACTGCAACCTCCGCCTCCTGCCTCAGCCTCCCAGTGGCTGTAACTGCAGGCGCTCGTCACCACGCCCAGCTGGTTTTTGAATTTTTAGTAGAGATGGGGTTTTGCTACGTTGGCCAGCTGGTCTTGAACTCCTGACCTCAAGTGATCTGTCTGCTTCGGCCTCCCAAAGTGCTGGGATTGCAGGTGTGAGCCACTGCGCCCGGCCTCCATTTTTAAAATCCCACACTGGAATCATCAGGCAAACCTTCAGTCTTCTGTGGTAGATGCACATGCACAGAACGTTATCAGTGCTGTGAACATTTTATGCGGGGCCATTAAGACAACAATGTCTAAAAAGGCTGAGCGAGACAAGACAGGGAAAACTGAAAACGCGGAGAACTGCTGAGTGGAATCGCGTACACGTGGGCACTTCCTCTAGGTTTTCATGGCTGCTACTGCACTAGTCTCTCAGACAAGACTTTCTTTTAAGGTCTCACTGCTGGTGGGAGAGAGAAGAAATAGTACAGCTTGCAGGCTGCTGAAGGAAATTCTCTATGGCTTGTGTTCATCATGTAGAACAGCCCATGAGGAGAATAGGAGATGAGGTGGGAAGTGCACTGGGATCTGGGGGAAGAAGCCCGGGGTTCAAGACTCAGCTACTGACTGCATGGTGTCAAAGGATTCGGGCATCCTCTCTGAGGCTGAGTCTTCAGATGACAGTGAGAACAGGGACACCTGCCCTGCCCTTCTCACGGGGCGTGTGGGCACCCATGAGCATGCTTGACAAATGCAAGGTGCCATACAAACAGGAACTGCACAATCTCACCACCCTTTCTTTTTACTAAAGTTAAAAGTTTACTATGTTGAAAACAACAGTTAAAAGGAATGGAACTACATCTTCATATAGATGTAAAGGTAAAAATAACAATGCTGAGTAGGCCGGGCGCAGTGGCCCACGCCTGTAATCCCGGCACTTTGGGAGGCCAAGGCGGGCAGATCACTTGAGGCCAGGAGTTAGAGACCAGCCTGGGCAACATGATGAAACCCCGTCTCTACTAACAATACAAAAATTAGACGGGCATGGTGGCACATGCCTGTAACCCCAGCTACTTGGGAGGCTGAGGCACAAGAATCGCTTAAAACCGAGAGGCGGAGGTTGCAGTGAGCCGAGATCCCACCACTGCACTCCAGCCGGGGCAACAGAGCAACTCTCTCTCAAAAAAAAAATAAATAATTAAAAAAAAAAAAAAACTGAGTGAAAAGAGCAAGATGCAGAAGGCTACACTGAAGTATGATTTCATTTATGTAAGTTAAAGACTAACAGTCAATATTTTGTTGATGGATATATGAATGTAAAATTTAAAATGGACTAAAAGTACCCAGACCAAATTCATGACAGTAAACAGTGATTCTCTTGGGAAGGGAGAAGTGAACAGATGATTTAAAAAAAAAAAAGCAAATATGGCAAAATTAAGAGTTGTTAGTTCTGGGTAACTGAAACACAGATGCTTCTGTGACCTCTCCGACATCTTTAACTTTCTCAAACTTTCTCAAAAATAAGGGACAGCCAATGTTCACAGCAGCATTATTAGAACAAACCAAAAGGTGAAAGTTATCATCCAAGTGTCTGCACATACAATGGAGTATTACCCGGCAATAAAAGGGAAGGAAATGCTGACACATGCTACAATGTTTTTGAACATTGAAGACATTATGCTAACTGAAATGATCCAGTCACAAAAAGAAAACCATACTGTGTGATTCCACTTACATAAGATAGCCAGAGTAGGCAGATTTATAGACACAGAAAGTAGAAGAGGGGTGAGCAGGGGTTACAGGGAGGGAGCAATGCAGAGTTATTGTTTCATGGGTACAGTTTCAGTTTTGCAAGATAAAAAATACTGGAGATGGACAGTTGTGATGGCTGCACAATGTGATGCACTTAGTGCCATAGAAGTCCACACCTAAGAAACATCACAATGGCAAATGCGGTGTCATTAAGAATGTACAAATGACAAACTAAATACAGAAGCTCTCTGAACTATTTCCAAGACAGACACTAACAAACAATGATGATGATTATGACAAGGATGGAGGGGAAGGGGGAGGGAGGAAAGAAAAAGAAAGTGAGTAAGTCCAAAGCAAAGGTCAAGGCCACTGTCCCATCTGTCCTCTGCACTCCTGAAGGCAGATCGAGACTGTGTGGACTGGGTACGTGGGAGGGCAGAGGGAAGGGCCACCGAGAGTGCCTGGGGCTCTGCTCAGGACTCACCGGCCGGCAGGAAGTGCTGGGCGTCCACCATGGGCTTCTTATCCCCGTCGGAGCTGCTGGTGCTGCTCCAGCTCCCCCAGCTGCCCCGGCTGGCACGCACGCTGCCAGAGGAGCTCCCACAGTCAGAGCTGGAATCGGAGCAGAACTTGTCCACACATTTCTTCTCAGGCTTCTGGTAGTAACCTTCTGGAGGAAGTGAAAGGAGTCATGTTTCCCTGAAACAACTGTCAACCTCATGCATTTCTAACAGAAAGAGAGAGGTGACAGGAGGAGTAGGGCCAGGTTCACCTTCAGCTACCTCTGCTCATCTAGCAAGAAAGGAGGAGTTCATGGAAACTAATGGTTGCACTTTGAGAAATAATAGGGGATGGGCCGTCTACTCTGCCTATGGCAGGAGCAATTAGGGGCTAAGAGGGCCAACACCAACTACATAAGCATGATCTAATAATGATTCTAGAATTAACAAATAACTTATATCAAGAAGACTGAGGCTACTCTATTGCACCAGAGATTCATAGGTGATTTTCCCCCTCTCTTTTAATAAGATATCCACTAAGAGTTTCAAAATATTGATACATGAATGGGAAGACTCTTCAGTAAGACCAAAAGCAACACACACGTGTCAAGGGAATGAAAAAGAGAGGGTGGAGATAGAAACCAGCTAAGTGTGCTGGCCTGTGTCGGGACATGGGGCATGCGTCTGGAGAAAGTGGGTGTTGGTTGGGAGGGTTGCAACCCCCACCACCCCATACCCCACATGTACTGCCCTAGCCCCCACTATCCGGTACCAGACCCTGGACTCAGCACTGGGTGTCCCTCTGCCTACCACTCCCAGGGACACTGCCCAGCAGGCCTTGGGTGGGGCAGCAGCATGGCTCTGCAGAACTGCTGGACTCAGGCACGGGGGTAGCACTATCTCACTTGGCTACTCCCCCCTTTCACCAAAGGGGACCTATCTGCAGCAAGCAAGCATCATTCCTTCAGCAATATGCCTGAGGATAGTTGCGACTGGCCAGACTGGGGGGCTGGGGGGCAGCACTAGAGGCCTACTGAGACTCAACCAAATCTTAGTTTTCTGGTCTCACCCTGAAAGCTTTCCACTGGGGCTTTAGTTATTAGCTAAGTTGCCTGTAGAGATAAAATCACTGAGGTGTCATTTCTCTTATTAGATACTTCATTGAGGAAACAAAAATTCCCACAGAAGCACCATTTGTAGCTCAGTATCATTACATACCTGCCTCTCTCTGGGCAGCAGGTAAACTGCTTGCAATTTCGGCATCTGCTTTACAAACCTCCCTAGTGCTTTCCTGTATACACCAGCTTCTTACATTGATGTCACTGCTCAGCTCAGACCTCTCAAAGTCACTGCACACAAGCTTTAGATCACTCTGTTCAGGAGGCCTGGAAAAGACACACACACACAAAAAAACACATCTGTATTTTATCATGTACACATGCAGACTTCCTTTCCATGACACTTATTAGAGGTGAAAATATGAATCTGGGACAATAGGAGTCCTCCTCTCTTTGGGTCTGGTGGAAGAGTATGATGAGCAGAAAGGGATACCAATAAGAAAATGATTTTGTCAGGGAAATTAAGTGTCTCAAAGAAGCAAGGTTTCCAAGACAGAGTGCCACACTGCCTGGGTTCGAATTCTGGATCTGCCCCTTACCAGCTTGTCAAACCACATATTGTCTGGGTACCTCACTTCCTGCAGCTGTAAGAACCTACCTTCTGCAGGACTGAAGCAAGGGTGACCTGAGGGGTAACTATTCTGTTTCATTATTATGACCCCAGATAGCGCAGGTGGGTCAGTGGCTGAACAGGGAACAGCAGAGGCCTGCCTGTGCCCCGTGGTTTTCTCTAGTTCCTGCTCCACAAATGCCCCTGCCTCTCATAAGCAGAATGAAGGTCTCCACACGGAGGGATGGCTTATGCTTTTCCCCTAAAAACTACCAAATCTGTTAGCATTTTATAAAGGAAAGATACAAAATGGTCACTTTAAGGTATTTTTAACAAAATAAAAACATAATGGGAAAATGTTAATTTTACAAATGTATTTTAATCTTAAGAGATAAACATTTACACTCTCATATTATCGGTATCTAATATCACCGAAATAAGTTTAAAAGTGAATAGCCAAATGCAAAATTATAAAGTGAAAAATAGATCAAAATATTAGAGATAGTAAGAATTACGCACCTTGAGACTGGAGCAACACCCCTTTTCTTGTTCTTTCTACATGTTCGACTTTTACTCCAATTTAAATTTTGTAAATTTCCTTCTCTTTTCTCCTGAAGCTTTTTCTTCCTATAAGGATCTTCTTGCTAAAGAAGAGAAAGTAAATGTTTAATGGTTTAAACTAAATATGAATAAAAACATGTTTAAATGTTTGAAGACCAACTCCATCTGAATTCAGAATGTCCCAGTGCTGTTGAAAACTGAGAAGTATGTTGCTCAGCCTCTAGTTTGTTTTCATTTCCCCTCTTGCGCTACTTCCCTCAAGCTCCACAGAAAAAGAAGAAAAAAGAATTGTTGCCTATAAAATTCCTAAGAGGCTAAAAAGGAAAAACATCTGCTAGCAATTTATGACCAGCTTGCTGTTAACTTTGCAGCAATAAATCCTCCAACCTTCACCTGTTAATTTGGTATGTGCAACTCACATAAATTACTGTACTATGAAGAAAAATTAGGTAAAAACTCAACTTAGGATCAAGTTGTGTCTTTATGTTTTTGTTTATAGACGAACTTTAGGAGAACAGCCAAATCTCTATAGAATGCTCCAAACTAGTGTAAGCTTCTCAGGTAAATAGGCAAGAATATGCCTGATGTTTCAAAAATGTGGTTCTGAAAAGCATCAGCATGAGATGCATAAACATTATATACATAAGTATTAAATAAGTATAGTTTCCTCAATTGGAGCCTTTTCCTCTTTTCAATGTCAGGCATGGTCTATTAACAGACCCAACGGGAGAGGGATTCCCTTTGCCCTTTCAAACTATGAAGTAGCTCAAGTCTTTAACATATTCTAATCCTTATTATTCTTCTTCCTTCCACATGTTGCCCTCTTAAAACAGAGACACTGTCAGTGGGTGGGCGGTGGTGGTAGCTCACACACTGAGACCCAAGGGCTTAAAAGACACAACTCTTCAGTGTGTTAGGTCCTTTCAGGAGGAAGATAAATCTTCTCCAGGCACCTCACAGAGGCAAATTCCCTAGATCCAGAAGAGTCCCCTTCCTACTGACTGAAGGATTCACACTTCATGGAAAGCAAAGATTGGCTCATTTTACCTTCTCTTTCAGAAGGTTGGCCCAGCAATCAGAGTAGGAATTGTGAAGTTGAAACATACACTCAACTAACACGAATAACTTGGAAGGAGAAAAAGGTTTTAGGTAACCTGCAATACCTACAAGTTCTATGTCTGAGATATTAGAACCCTTATGCATCTATTAAAGCAATGTGCACACCACAGTAAATAAAAACTAGAAGCAAAATGGGATTTGTAACTGCGTAGGCAGTGGGATTATGACATTTTTTATTTCTCCTTTATACACCTTTGTTTCCCCCAATAAGTATGTATTAACCTTTTTCTGATTCTGAAGGTATTTTAAAAACCTGACAAGTTAAGCATACAAAGCCCTATTGTACAGGACCTTATGCTAATTGCTTAAGTTTGAAGCTAAACTGAAGGATATGCAGACTCGGGATTTAATGTTAAACAGACATGCACCACATTTCTTCATGTATTGTTCCTTTGTGTCTTTCTAACTTGGTGGGGAGGTTTCCCACCCCCGTCCACTCAAGGGCCAGCAAAGGCTTGTCGACACAGCAAGTACTTGAGCCTATCCATCCCTCCAAGGTCAGGTACAAATAAAAAATCAGTCTCTCAGTGGGGTCTGAGAAAGCGTGAGCTGGTAAGCAGTCACTGATACTTGGCTGCCTTTCTCAAATCCATCTGGTTGGAACTGTCATCCTGTGCAAGCGAAAGGGTGAGTACATTCAGGACTACTGAGAGGCGGGACTCGGTGACCAGAAGCATCAAAGAGTTCTCCGTGAGTATGACAAAGAAAAGGGGAATGCAGGACAAGCTAGATTCAGAGGCGTGAGACATATCCCAGAAAGAGTGGCAGGGAGCACCTTCTGAAGCACTGGGCAGTGAGGAGGGATGTGGCTGAGAAAGAACAGGCCTGCAATGGAGACAGCAGGTAGAACAGGGAGGGAAAGTGAGCCAGAGCACACAGCAACAGACTTGTCAAGAAATCCGAGGAAGAGCAAAGCACCACCTGCCTGCTTTCTGGTGCAGAGGATCCCAGAGAGAGAAGGACAGGACTAACCAGGAAACTGAAGAGTCACATGGAGCTGCAATTAGGAGTATATCTCGGAGGCTAAACTGCCTAGTTTCAATCTCGTGCCTTGATTACTGGCTGTGTAACCTTGGGCAAGTTACTTAGCCTCTCTGCCTCAGTTTCCCGAGTCATCCTCAAAGCATTGTGTGGACTAAATTACCTAGCATCTCATAAGCCATTTAAATGAGACTTAGTTATCGTCATCATTATTATTGAGTTATTTGGAGGTTTTTTTGGTGGGTTTTTTTTTTTTTTTTTTGGAGACAGGGTCTTGCTCTGTTGCTCAGGCTAGAGTGCAGTGAGGCAATCATTGTTCACTGCTGCCTCAACCTCCCAGGCTCAAGCAACCGCCTACCTCAGCCTCCTGAGTAGCTGACACTACAGGCAAGTGCCACCATGCCCAGCTATTTTTTTTTTATTTTCTGCAGAGATGGGGTCTTGCTGTGTTGCCCAGACTGGTCTTGAACTCCTGGGTTCAAGAGATTCTCCTGCGTCAGCTGAACTATTTGAACTAGTTACGTTTGCTGATCTCTCTGATAGAGGTGATGATTTCACAGATGGCAGTGTGGAGAAACATTTCCTAAGCTTTACTAAAAGCAAAGGAAGAAATCAAAGAAGAGAAATCACAAACTTACTGCAAAAGTCATTCTTAAAGCCACTCACTGTGTATAAGTAAAATCAAATAAGCAATAACTAAGTTTGCTTAGTTTCTTAGCAAACTAAGAAAAATCTCTGATACACAATATTTGATAGAGTTGATATCTTTAACACAGAAAGTGCTCTTACAGAGAATAAAACATTCAAAAGAAAAATGGGCAAAGGACATGAAATATAAATTCATGAAACAAATGCAAAAGCAAAAAAAAAAAAAACCACGAAGAGCTCGTCTAAAATATTCCATCATAAAATAATGTTTTTAGAAAAGGTGAATTATAGACTACCTTGTGTCTCCTCTTTCCATTTTGGTTTTAGAAAACACAAATGTGTTTATGATGCATAAGCACTAGGAAATGGCTGGGGAAGCAGGATCCTGTTCACTGTGTCTGCCTCTGAAGTGTGGAAGCAGAACTAGGTTAGACATTTACCTCTACATTTCCAGAACTTCTTTTCAGTGGTAGCATTTTGGATGGATAGTTTTTTTTGTGTTTTTCAGCCTTCTACAAAAAATGAAGGAAAATGCTCACCTTTCCCTAGTAAGAAAACCAAAACACAACTGCTCACCTATCACACTGACTAAGATTTTGCAAACAATTTTTGCCGCACAGAGGAGAATGAAAGTAGCATTCTCAGACATGACATGTGAACAAATTGTTACCAACTTTCTGGAAAGCAATCTGTCAGCACACATAGGAGCTTTACACAGTTGATCCCTGTATTAGTTCGTTTTCACGCTGCTGATAAAGACATACCTAAGACTGGGCAATTTACAAAAGAAAGAGGTTTACTGGACTCACAGTTCCATGTGGCTAGGGAGGCCTCACAATCATGGCAGAAGGTGAAAGGCAGGTCTCACATGGCAGCAGACAAGAGAAGGGAGCTTGTGCAGGGAAACTCCCATTTTTAAAACCATCAGATCTCGTGAGACTTACTATCACGAGAACAGCACAGGAAAATCCCACCCCCATAATTCAACCACCTCCCATAGGGTTCCTCCCATGACATGTGGGAATTGTAGAAGTTACAATTCAAGATGAGATTTGGGTAGGGACACAGACAAACCATATCAATACCCTTTCATTCTATTTTTTGACATCTATAACAAAGACTTACCAGGTACACAGGTAAGAGGAACAAAATTGTTCATCACAGACTTATTTATGAAAGTAAAAAGTTGGAAACAATCTTAATGTCCAACTGCAGGAGAATGGTTTAAATTATGGCACAGTTAAATGATGAAATGTTATGTAACCACTGAAAACAAAGCTCCCCATTTAATTTTTATAGAAAATTTAGTTATAATCTTATGGCAAAGCTACAGACAATAATAATTATCTTAACTATTTTAAGATAATAGTTTTTAAAAATCTGCATAGAAAAGAATACAAAAATGTTAAAAGTGGTTTATTCTGGATAGATCTTCTTCTACCTTATTCTTTATGCTTCTATAATAATCATGAATTACTTTTCTAAGGGAAAAAAGTCTGCTTAAAAGAAAATAAAAAGCCAAAGCTAGGGTTAAAATTTAGTTTGCGGATTCCAAACCTGGGCTTCAACCTTCCTTGCCAATAAATCCAGAGGAATGTTCCACGTGTATTATACAGACAGATTTATACAATTTTGTAAGCTGCAAAATTAGGCTCTAAGAATGTGCAAGAAAAACAAACACTGGGCACTGCACTTGAGAATGTACTTATTAAGAATGATTTTCGCCAAATGAACAATGAAATGGAAAGTATTAATACACTCAAGGGATTTTAAAGAACAGCTCTACAAAACAAGGAGTGAGTCACAGAGACAGGAAAGAAATGACAAACCACTGCCCGCAAATCTGCACCAGAGAATCCACCTTGGTTGACTTGGTTGGGGACAACCTTGGGCCACAAAGTACAGCCTATGCCATCCACATCCCTCAGATGGGCCTGTCTCCTGTGAACCCAATGCCACCATTAGATGCAGACGTCTGTCCTACACAGGTTTACAGACCAAACAAGGAGGGAGGGTCTTATATAACCACTGAGACCGACAGCAAGAACCGCCTTGAGCTCTAGGGACAGAGGTAAACGGCAAGACCCATGCCCTCAGGGATCTAATGGTAAAGACACACAGAAGAAAATAACTTGAAGAAATTAAGAAAACTGCCATAACCAAGGGCACAGCTAAGCCTGGCACAGAGAGCCAGGAAGACTTCAGTACTGGGAGGAGAGTTTGAAATAGGCGATGGCACCCATGCATGTGGCAGGTGGAGGCCAGTGGCAGCACCATTATTCCTTAGGGCCATCTTAGGTTGAAGGGACCTTGGGATAATCCATTCCAGCCTCTCCTCCCAGCACACAACGCTATGTATCTGCTGGAGTCAGTGCATGGCAGCATCAGTTTCTACTTCATTGCAGGGCAACAGGTAAGACTCCAAAGCCCATATCAAAAGGATGTTAAGTTCAACTCCTAACTTCATTCATTCCCACCTATCCCAAATTCAATGACTATTTCTGCTCCTGAAAGTGTGCCCTATCCTCACCTTTAGGCCTAGCTTTTTGTATACTTGCTATACCTGCACCCTCAGCCAGTCTGCAAATTCAACACTGCCTCCTCCCCAAAGTTTGAACTCAAGGCCCTCGCCTTTTCTCTGTGCACACCTCACAGACTCCATGTCCAACCACCACATGGGTAACGCCCAAACCTCAAGCTCCAGGCCTAACTTGTTGCCGAAGCTCTAGTTCCCCACCTCCCACTGTCTACTACACATCTCTCTTCAATGTTCAGCCATCCCTCTCTGTTGGTAGGAATCATTATTATACCTATCACTTTGAGACTTACTGCTTGTCAATACTTTGTAAGTGCTGCCATTCTAAGGTAATTCTCAATTAGCCCATTTAATCTTCACAACTCTTTGAGGTAGGTATACAATTATCATCCTTATTTTGCAGAAGGAGAAAAATGCAATGTTAAATAACTAACCGAATATTATAGAATGAATACATGATGATGCAGATTCAAACCCAGAAGAAGCCTGGCTGTAAAGTGCATGCTCTTAACGTGATAACAGCATTGCTTTGACAGACATAAAAATGAGCTCATCACCCCCATCAGAATTCCCCATTCTAGTCACCCAGGCTTGGAACCTTGGAGCTATCTTTTGTAAATGGCCATGTGAAAAAATGACTCCTCTCCTGTATGCATTTAGTGCTAAGAAGTCCTGATGGTTTTCTCTTCTAAAATGTCTCTTATCTACTTTCCTATCCTTTACTCCTGCTCAAATGTAAGCCTTGATTACATCATATCTCCCCGCAGAGTAACAGCCTCTTTGTTAGAAAAGAGCTGGTATCCACTTCTTCCCTCTCTAATTCAATTGCCAAAACATTGAGAATGATCTTCCAATAATGTCTTATATTCACATTCATTCAAGCATTTATTCAACTACACTGATTCTACGTAACAGGCATCCTGACAGTCTTTATAAAAATGAATTGAACAACATCCAATTATTACCTTCATTCAGGAAGATCACAGTCCACAGGTTGCTTTCAATTTGTTAACCACTGTCCACCCCGCCGCCCCCCACCAACTCAGAAACCTTCAATAGCTCCCCCAAATCTGCAGAAAGGTGCCAAAGCAGCAATCGTCAGGCCAAATCCTCCAAAACAACTTTTTGTTTGGCCAAATGTGCTTTTAACAAATTTGATTCTGAAATTCCTTAGCAGGCAACAATTCAGTTCTCTACGGATACCACCACCTTCCTATTGCTTTCACTTAGCCTATGTCACCATTTGTGCTTCCCATCAAGACCTAGGGAAGAAAGTCTGAACTTTCAATCAGCATTCAATGGCCTTCCGACCTAGGAGGACTCTGACCCCTCCCTCCCATTACTTCCCCAAAGGTAGCTTCTTCCAAGTCGGATGGCTCCCTAACTGCACCCAATTATGCCTCAATGGTTCCTCTACCTGCAGGGCTCAGTGCTGCCCGCTGCCCATCTTCCCTTCCCTGTTCTTCCACATGCTACCTGCACAAGTTTCCACCTCCTCTGGGAGCTTTCCACGGCACCCTGGCCTACACAGACTTTTCAATCTCTGAAGTCCCCTCTACTATGAATCTTGGTGTTTGGTTACACAGAAACCTCTTGTCTTTCCAAACAGACTGTAAATTCGTAGTTTGGACTGCTTGCAACATACTTATTTTGTATCATTTCTACTTTATTTGAATCAAAAAACTCATGCTTGTTATAAAGTTTTAATAAAAGAGAAGAAAATAAAGAAGGAAAAAGAAATAATCCAAAATCCCACCACTCAGAAATAACTAGGGTCTCCCATTAATTACTTTGCAAACCTCATTTGTGAGTATTTTTCTATGAGCCTACACACATGAAAGAACGGCAGTACAGATGATGGGAATAATTTATAACACTAGGAATATATATAATTTTTAACTAAAAATGTAAGGGTCAATTTTATATAAATTTAACATAAGAAAAATAAACCAAAGTAGAACCAAGGGAACTGTCAAGTTTCAAATAATTATTTCTTCAATACATACAATATTAATTCCCTAAGGATCTCTCTAAGGTTAAGAAAAAGACTGTAAAAATGTTTTCTTAAGTTATCACCCTTTTAAACTACACGTTTCATGTTTTCATAGAACTGGCTCTCTACTGAGAAAGATTAAAATTAAAATTTATTTTCACCTACCTCTCAATCCCACCTCCTGGTTTTTGCAGATTATATTACTATTTTTACTTGGTTAAAATTTCAATTTTCCAATCTGTTCTGTGGTTATAATTGCCAAATTTTTAGTCTTCATTCTGGATATAAAATGGATTGAAACCTCAACAAGAGACCTTTATTATGCCTTCTTCCATCTGCGTGTTTATTTGAACTTCTATCTTGCTTGGATAAATTTCGTTAACTTGATTTTACAAGAACAGCTTATGATTTCATTTGTATTTAAGGATGTCTGCCTGTTGCCTTTGTACTTGAGTATTAACTTGGCTGGATGCAATATTCTTTGTTTACATTTCCATTCTCTCAATGATACTGCTCCACTGTTTCCTGGTGTTAGATGTTCCTATTGAAAAGTCTGAGGCAAGCTTAAGTTTGTACTTCTTGATTTTTCTGTCTATGCACAACTCTTTATATTTGAAGTTCAATTAATTTAACTAAGTGCCTATTCCCATTATGATGTATCAATTTTTCCTGTTGTACACATTGTCCCCTTTTGATCTGCAAAGTTAGTTCTTCCCTCATATCAGGAAAATTTTCTTCTATTATATCATGAATCCTTTTCTCATCTTTTAGACAGAAGACGATAATAGATATGAGGACAAAGACAGACAAAAAGCAATACAACTCAGCAAGAGTATGCCCTAAAATATAGATGTTCAGTAATAACTAGATAGAAGGAATATGTTAGTCAAGTTCTACTCTGCCATCATTACCTAGGAATGACCCATTTGCTTAAGAACAGATTCTCTTCAGAGTAAAAGCTATCTGGTTTCTCTAAAAATTACTGTAGTAACGTCTATATAATTAGAAGGTAAATAAAATTCTCTGAACACACACACATCAAACTCACCAGTTATTAATATGGATTCAAATGCAGTGAAACATATGAAATACACATATTCACTTAATACACAGTCCTAAAAATGGATTTTGTTTTTAATAGGCAAGAAAAAAAATACAGACCTCTACGAAAGGTATGTCCTGTTTCTCAGAAAACATGTCTTCTCTAGATGTTTTGTGAATCTTCTTTTCTGAAGAAGGCTTTGTGTCCACCTTCTTCAAATTTTCACAATGATCTACTTCATTCTTGACAGGTACTTGCTGGTTATTCCCTTTAATAAACAAAAACAATTCAATTTCTAGCTAATAGTTTCCACTCACATTCCCCATCTTCTTTCCTACACCAAACATCTAATTTGACTTCATGAGAGTTAAATTAAATTTAGCATTGTTTTTAACATCCATGATGCTCTAGAAATTTATTTTGTTCATAGATGAAAGTATACTTATATTAAGAGTTCTACAAAAAGTCTTTAAAAGAGGTCAAGGGAAAAAGGTGGGGGGGGACACCAATATTCACAGCATCATTATTCATAATAACCAGAAGGTGGGAAAATGCCAAGTGTCCATTGACGGATAAATGGATAAACAAAATATGGTATATACATACAACAGAATACCATTCAGCATGACTCATTGCACAACAATGTGAAATACTTAAAACTACTGAACTGTACGGTTAAGATGGTCAAGATGGTTTTTTCAAAAAAGGAATGAAAGTCTGGCACATGCTACAACATGGATGAACCTTGAAGACATCATGCTAAGTGAACTTAGCCAGATATGAAAGGACAAATGTTTTATGATTCCACCCATGAGGGAGCTAGAGTAATCGAATTCATAGAGACAGAAAGTAGACTGGTGGTTAACAGGGGCTGGGGAAAGGAGATAATGGGTATTTATTATGTAATGGGTGCAGATTTACTGTCTGAGATTATTAAAACTTCTGGAAATGGAAAAGGATATGGACAGTGGTGATGGCTGCACAACTATGTGAATATACTTAATGCCACTGCATTTGATAATTTAAAATGGTTAAAATAAGTTTTCTGTGATGTATATTTTATATATACATGTTTTTAAGCTGGCAAAGAGGCAGAGAAGGATAAAGACTTGGATTCTGGTCACGACAGCCACTAATTAGTTTTACAGTCAAAGTTAAGTCTCTTAAGCTGCCTGTGCCTTAGTTTTCTTATTTATAAAATGAACACAACCCCAGCTTCCTTGCCTCTCTTGTTTGACAGTTGTAAAGATGAAAACAGAACAGATACAAACGTAAAGCATCCCCACCAAAGGACACATGACTGTTTCATGGAAGGTCCTCCCTGCTACAGTGAATGCCCGCCCTGCCCCTGTGGAGCAGCCAATCGGCAGAGGAGCCAACAGCTGATTAATCAGATGGCAAAAGTGGGTGCTGGGAGGAACCTTTTCTGAAAATATGTTTTCTTCCATTTTTCTTTTAAGTGATTTCATAAGTATACTTCTTCTATCTCTTATCCCACAATAAAGGCAAATGAACTTCAACCCCACAATAACTGGCCTGTTTTCTAATTTGAAACGATGTATTTCAGTACCTTCTTCTTTTTTCTTGAACTAAGAATCCCTAACAATACCTTTGAAATTTGAGACGTCTAGATGACCATAGGGCAGAGCAAATATTTCCCAGCAAAGCAGACTGCAGGCTCTGGTAGGATGGACATCTAACCAGATTACCAGCAGAGGCTCCAATCCAGCCCTTCTGTGGGACTTGAGGCAGGGCAGGTCTCTCACCCACAGAAGGAAAGGAGCAGTCAAGTCCCCTCTGATTCTGAAATTCTGAGGCTACAAATTAAACTCACTCAAAGCAAGATACATAAAGTTTTCAAATAACACTTACCAGGTAAACATACTTTTATTTGGTTAACAGAAAATTATATAAATATTATGTAACCATAAAAATGCCAGGCAAGCAAATGGCACACACCTTGTAAAGTAATGCAGGCTTTTACGGTTTAAGTACAACCAGGACATATTAGGTCTTATACTTTCAGAAAAAGGGGCTCTATCCCAAAATTAAGGTTATATTCTCCAAATGTCACAAAATGAATACAGAAAATAATCCTTTGGCCAGACTCATTACATAAATAAAATAAAGCATCATGGCATGTTTTTAATGCTTTTGGCTGTGATGGAAATACAATGGCCAAAGTCATATCCAGAGACAAAGCTGATCACTATCAACTGCTTCCTTTAATAACCGGGAATAACTTAGAATTAGTGAAGATCTGAATCAAAGGCTACTAATGCTATTTCCCGGGAATTTCTGTCTCTATAGGACAGTCAACTATTTGCCTAGAGGGTTTAGATCAACTTCATTTAGAGGACTGCTGGGACACAACTTTCAGATCCCTTTCAAACCTGTGCATTTCCGAACCAAGAGCATCTAACAGCAGCCCTGTGGAATCATCATTACCCTCCATTTCCTACCTTGTCAAAATTAAAAGTCATTCTTTAGGACAGATCACCTTTGAAATTTAATTCCTTCTAAAACACAAACTGGCGGTTAGATATCCACAAAGGAAAACATCAAGCACTATGAAACAGTAAAGCAGACAGCCAAAAGCAAGGCAGACAGGGTCCGTACCAGAAAAAGAAAGCATAAGAAGAATATCCCTTTGGATTCTGGAAGCCATAAGTATGAAATACAATACAGATATTTGCCTCAAAAAAATAGGTGCCATTACTCTCCTGGTGTCCTAATTTGTGAGAAAATGGATTTCCTTAAGTTTTCTTCAGGCCAAGAATATAGTACTAAAAGTATTAGTCATCAAAGTTTCTTAGGAAGGATCCAAATTTAATAGCCAGTACAAAACCATCCCCAAAAAGTAATAATGTGCAGACTTTTAGAAAATCAGTAATGCCTTCTATGGGGCCAAGAATCAGGACAAACAATAAAATGAATGTTAACAACAAGTTCTGCAGTGACTCTGAGAAATTCTAACATGAAAGCATTCAAGAATATGGGATACCAAACACATACGTCATTTACAAATGGGGTCAATCCATGCAATATGGTTTGGTTCTGTGTCCCCACCCAAATCTCATGTCAAATTGTAATCCTCAATGTTGGAGGAGGGGCCTGGTGGGAGGTGACTGGATCATGGGGGCTGACTTCTCCCTGGCTGTTCTCATGATAGTGAGAGAGTTCTCACGAGATTTAGTTGTTTAAAAGTGTGTAGCACTTCCCCCTTCACTCTCTCTTCCTCCTGCTCCCACCATGCAAGACGTGCTTGCTTCCCCTTTACCCCTCCACCATAACTGTGTTTCCTAAGGTCTCCCCAGAAGCAGAAGCCTGTACAGCCCACAGAACTGTGAGCCAATTAAACCTCTTTATAAATTATCCAGTCTCTGGTATTTCTTTATGGCAGTGAAAAACAGCCTAATACACCAAGTCATCCTATTAAGTGTGCAACTTCCCCATGACCTCACTGAGTAAGAGTGTACCACAGTTAAAAATCAAAAACAAATGGAAAGAACACTAATAATAATAAAGGGGGCAGGAGAAGACGTTGGGAGGTGCACATGTTAATGCCCTTCACGGTGGTAATGGTTTCACGATGTACACTTATTCCCAAACTCATCAAGATGCATACATTAAGTATGTACAGCTTTATAGGTCAGTAATTCCTTTTAAAAGTGGTTAAAAAACAGAAACAAATGGAAGAACAAGACACAAGTGATCTCCTCAGTAACCTGCTTAAAGTTGTACTGTCTCAAATCTAATCACAATCACGTGGTCTGTTTTGAATAAACCATTAAATCTTCATTTCAAGTTAATAGTATCTGTAAGTAAATAGGAACATTTTTGGAATTTCTGCAAATACCAATAATTTCAGAAAGGTGAGGAATGTAATTCAGTGAAAACTTTCAGGTACTGTTAAGCTCAAGGCTTGAGCTATTATCAAATTTAATTATACCTTTACATTATTACAGGTAGAAACCCGTGAAATAATTTGCTCACTATTTCTCCTTGGTAGTGCTGCGGCCAACCATAGCTTGTCTTTAGCCATAACTCTAATCTACATTATTTTGATCAGACAGTGAAAATGGTTACAAACATTTAAAAAGAGCTATATTCACAAGATCATTTACATTACACATAAAGCCCCACTCTTGTCAGATGACCAAGAGGTTCTGGAACGTATAACGAATGTTTGACAAGTTTAACTGTTTGATAGTTGTTTGACAAGTTGATGCCAAAAAACAAGTGTAGAAAAACAGAGCCCTAAAGAATGTCAGCAGACTTTATTTCTATTGAGAATTTTAATTAATTATTTACTACAGGCCTCTCCGAAGCAGGCAGGGGAAATGGAGTAGAAAAGGGACACATTTTTTTTTTCATTTTTTGTTTTTGCTTTTATTTTTGAGACAGGGTCTCACTCATTGCCCAGGCTGGAGTGCGGTGGCACAATCACAGCTCACTGCAGCCTTGACCTCCTGGGTTCAAGTGATTCTCCCACCTCAGCCTCCCAAGTAGCTGGGACCACAGGCCCATGCTCATGTACCACCATGCCTGGCTACATTTGGCTACTATACATATACATATACTTCTTTGGGTAGAGATGGAGTTTCACCAGGTTGCCCAGGCTGGCCTGGAACTCCTGGGCTCAAGTGATCTGCCCATCACGGCCTCCCAAATATGACACATTTTCTATTACTTACAAAATATTATGTTTCTTGATGGCAAGTATGTAGTCAAAGCCATTCATACATACCCTAGAACATTTTCTTCTCACACAATAAGCTACACCCGGGGGTGGGGGGAAGCCTCAGAATAGGAGAAGGCAGATTATTCAGGTGCCTCCAGGAGTTCTGATAGTTAGGAAAATCACTTAAGGTATTCTTAAGAGGCGGGACTGTCCCCACCTTTCCCTTTTTCCCTTTAAAGGCAATCTTATGACTAGAATGGTTTCTACAGACCATTTGTATACTTTGGGAGAAATGGCTAAAATGTGGCAAACACACTGAGTGAGTTCCCATTCTGCTGGAATCCTAACTGCCAGTCACACAGGAGACAACGTGACTGGCACTTAGGATTCTCAGCTATCAGGCAGGTTGAGTCCAGCTCAAAGACCAAGCTGTTTTCTTCAGATTCTAGAAAAGATCTTACAATGGAAACAGCACACATTTCACAAAGTAAAATACTTTTCAAAGCTAGCAAAGAACTAATGCTCAAAGCTGGAAGTAAAAACTTAAAGGTTCTTATATATATGCTTTTCTCATTCTCAAGCATTCTTTGCACTTGTGACTTACCTGTCAATTATACGCGTTTATCATTTGCCAAGTTATTGCAATGCTTTCCTCTGAAATTCAACAGAGCCCCAAACCCTTAATATTACTAAAAAAACTCCAAACCCTCCCTTCAGACTATAATTATCTTTCCCTAGATTTTTCAGTCCTTTCTTATTTTTAATATTTAAAATTCTTGAACAATTTTAAATTGTACATGGATAGCAGGCAATTTATTCACTTTTTAACATCTCGGATATTTTCCCAGGACAGTGCTGTGAACATAAAACAGTCAGAACAAAATGCATGTCCATGTACAAACTTCCCTGGGAGGAATCTCCTGCTAACATATAACTTCTGCAGACACGTAGAGGACTGTGAATTAGCACCTCTGAATTTGCTGGTCTGAACATGGTGGAAAGCAAAAGTTCTTTCCTCAGCTCTTACTTGATCTGATCAACAATCACTCTGGTACCACTTAACATGCTGCTGATCCAGCCAAACAGTATTTTTAAATTCTGGCAGTGAAAGATTTGTTGCCATTTAAAACATTATAAGCATACTAGTAATCTGTACAGGAAGGAAAGATTCTGGGCAGGTTTACCATCTACAATGATACAGGCAAACTCTATGTTTCCAGACTCCCATATTAAATTTACTCACGCTTATTAAAGTGTTATTACCTGCTCATCTTGGCTCAGCTATTGGCATTGAATGTCAAGTACTAGACAGGAGGATCCTGAAGAAGAATTCAAATCCTCTGACCTACTCTGACACTACATTTCTCATCCATGCCTTTATATTTCAACTGCTTTAAAGTATTAAGATATAGAAGGTCCCTCCCATCCATCTACCACACTGCCACGGGCATTGCATCTTGCAGGCACATATCTCTTGTGGGCACAAGCGATCACAGAAGAAGCACTTCTGGAGGGAGGATTCCCTCAACTCTAATTTCAAGTGTGTGCAAAGTCATCCTATGTCAAAGACTGTGCTCAAGCCTAAAAGACTCACGTAACAGGGGAAATGTCCAACAGGACTCACTCCATAATTCACCTTTTCACAAATGTTTTGTATTCTAGACCCCAGAGAGTGTCTGGGAGAGAAACAGAATAAGACACCCAATCACCCCATCATAATACATCCACAGACAAGGTATGCCATGGTTTGATTTGAAGATCTGGGTGAACTGCATTACCAGGGGGCATACTCACACGCCAGGTGGAGGAGACAGGGCACAGTGTCCACCCTGCAGACATAAGTCCACTTCAGGCGTGTGCACCACTGCCAGGGGAAACGGTACAAACGGGTTGGACTAAATGCACCAAGAATGCATGTGTGCAGCTGCCTAGACCACATTCCCCTCAGAGGACTCCAACTTTCTTTTAAATTAGAAATGTCCTTATACAGAACATTTAAAATTCAGTTGAGGATTTTCACCAAATGCATAAAAGCTCATCAGAAGTAGTCAATCCATAATATTTCTGTACCTCTTCTCCAATATCAAGAAGTGAAAAAGATGAAGTTATATTTAGATGCTTCAAATAAGACAAAAGGTGACTGAGTTTTCCAGATTAAAAATTGTCAAAAATCTGACCATAGGCTGGGAGCAGTGGCTCACGCTTGTAATCCCAGCATTTTAGGAGGCCAAGGCAGGCAGATTGCTCGAGCTCAGCCTGGCTAACATGGTGAAACCCCATCTCTACAAAACAGTACAAAAATTAGTTGGGCATGATGGCATGTGCCCGTAGTCCCAGCTACTCAGGAGGCTGGGATGGGAAAATGGCTTGAGCCCCGGAGGTGGAGGTTGCAGTGAGCCAAGATTGCGCCACTGCAGTCCAACCTGGGTGATAGAGCCAGACCTTATTTCAAACAAAATAAAACAAATCTGACTATAACAGGTACAGAAATACGTATATTCAAATGGTCAGGGTGGACAAAAAAAGAAAATAAATAAGCACAGGCCCTTATGCTAGAGGCCAAAGGGATCTATTAAAGGATAATGACAATTCCCAATGGAGGTCATCCTCCTAGTCTACTTTGGCTTGTATTTTCCTTAACTGTTTTTGGTACATGAGAACATCTGTCTTCTTTTAACCAAGGAATACAATTAGAGAAGAACCAGGGCCAGGCAACCTGAGATGGTGGCAGCTGTTAAATAAAATAGCTGAAGTTTTGTTCAGTCAGAAACATTTCATGGGCTGATTAATTTTTACAGATAGTCTGAAAATCTGAGCTAAAAAAAATAATTTAGGCCAGGTTCGGTGGCTCACGCCTATAATCCCAGCACTTCTGGAGGCCAAAGGGGTGGATCACTTGAGGTCGGAGTCTGAGCCCAGCCTGGCCAACATGGTGAAACTTCGTCTCTACTAAAATTACAAAAATTAGCCAGGTGTGGTGGCACACACCTGTAATCCCAGCTACTCGAGAGACTGAGGCAAGAGAATCACTTGAACCCAGGAGGCGGAGGTCACAGTGAGCCAAGATCACACCACTGCACTCTAGCCTGGACGACAGAGCAAGACTCCATCTCAAATAAATAAATAAATAAAATTAGAAAAAGGTGTCCATGTCCATCCCAACAAGAAAATATGATATTCATAGTCTTCTAAACTTATGTACTAAAATTTAAACCTCTTAGTCACAACATTTTAAAAGCTTGATGTCTTGTCTTGAACTTTTCATTTTGTCTTTTTTCAATATTTAAACCTTTGCTAAAACTCAGCATCCACAATTAAAACTAACGGTCACAGGTGAGAACAATTCCATTAAAAACAGACTGGGTACAAACAGGAGAGAATTATCAAAGGGGATGAAAAGATTACCATTATTTTTCCTGGAAATTTCTGGCAAGTCTGGCTGGTGGTACTGAGGTGAGTTTCTTGGTAAATGGTTTTCAGGTAGTTTCTTGGAGGTCTTCAGTGGACAGAGCTCCCGTTCCTTGAACTCGGCTGTGTTCTCTGAAGTTTTAATGTCAGTTTCCTTAGGAAACATACATGTCTGTATTCCCTCCTTCATACTACATTCTGAAGAAGGATTACTGAAAACAATTGTGTTTTTCAGTGTGTTTTCTTCTTTATTCAGTAAGTTTTTGGGAAGGGTTAAATTCTTCTGCAGGTTGACATTTATGCCACTTGCATATCTGAGGCTGATCCAGTTCTCACGCATGGCATCAGTGCAAATGTCCTCTTTAGCAGCAGGCAGTGAGCTGCCCAGGGGTGAAGTCTGTTTTTCCTCAGTAGTCGTGCTGGTGCTGCTGGCCGCAGCTGTGCTGGTTTTGTGTTTACTGTAATACACTGAGCATTTGTGCTTCTTCTGAGAATGACCATAGGTGGCTGGGCTCCTCTTTGCAGCATTCTGGATCCTGCTTTGGGGAGTGTTCACTGGAAGGCAGTTCTTCCCCCTGCCTTTATCAGAGGGGCCATATGTATCGAGAAAGTTCTTGCAATTGCTTCTGAATTTAAGAAGAAAAACATTTAGCATAGAGGCAAATCAAATCAAACTCTACTTGTCTGCTTCCATATCCATGAGAAAAGGGTAGCAATCAGTACTGAGTGTAAGTTTTACCTTCCCTTCTTCCAAAGCTCCAAGAGTTTTCTGCCAATGAGAATACCCATCAACTAAGTCCTTGCATGGAGACTATCTCATAATAATAATGGGGCAGCTGTTCACATAATGACTTAAAATTTTATGAAAGCAAATGTAGAATCAAAATTTATGTTTACTTAAAATTAAATCAGAAATGAGTAATATCAAAAGTGAGAAACCGCCCCCGCTCCCAACCACACTATAAGAATTCTTACTTGTAAGAATGGGGGCTGATTACATCCATAGGACCATTGTTTTGCTGTGAAGAGGAGCTAGCATTTTGCCTCTGTCTTGTTTTCATGAATTCCATGAGAATGTACTGTGCTTGTTGGAAGGCTATTAAAATCACACCCAACAGGGACAAACTGAGGAAGAAAGCAACAAGGTTCAGTATTGCATGGTTCTGACTGGCATTCAAAAGACTAGTTTCATTACAGAAGAGTGGGGAATGATTTACGAAAAACATCTGAAGATGCAGTATTAAAATTCCCTAAGATTTATCACATAATTTCTGATGTTCCTTAAACACACACACAAAAGTTTCCAAAATTGTGCATATTTATAAATTTGACATTACAATTCCATTTTTATGAAATCACTCAAAAAGGGTCATTCCAGCCTCCTAATCTCAAATCATCACTGCATGAGCTAACACAAGTAATTAACATTCATATCATCCACCATGACTGCCTATGAACACACTATATATGGAGCACAACTGTCTATGATACTTCTAGGTCCTATGACTCTCTTACGATTAGTTTACTATAACCTTAAAGTGTACCAGTGAATACTTCATGGATGTCACAGTTCTTGAAGCAGTAACAATTCCACTCAATTCATATACTTTGACTACACTCGGGCAGTTCACGTTTTCACACAACTTGCCTGGATGACTTCTCTACTCAGTGAGAGAACAAGGGAGACAGTAGTGGTTTACCTGACAAAGAAGACCGTGAGCCTCCAAAATGACTCCTCCCAGCTGGGTCCTGGAACCACGTCTGCACACAAGGGCAACAGGTGATGAGGGAGAGTCACATTGAGAGTGAAGCGAAATTCTAGGTCCGCTGCGGTTACAAGACTTAGGTCCCGAATTACCCAGGAGGAGGTAAAGTCTGGAGTGAACCTGAAAATAAAAGAGTCATCTTTATGAACTTTTAATTGTTTTGATTTTAGCCACAAGGCAAAATAATGACAACACATCATACTCCTACAAAAGAAATATTTACATTAAAACAACATAAGATGTCTTAACAATAGAAAAAGTTTTCCTCCTCACATTGTTAAACGCACCACAAAACTGAAATCAAGTTAAAGCCCAATGCTTACACAATGCTGATATCGCGGGATGTGTTTGGGTCCAGGGAAAACTGATGACAATCCAGCACCTCGAATCCATAACCTTGGCAGTTATACCCATTAATTTTCAGAGACGAAACAGTTATAGGAAGAGGTCCAATATTCTCAACTTTAAAGTTCTTTGTAATAGATAAAATTTGCTTACTGTCTTTCAGTTCTAATGGGAACCAAAAAAAGATATTTAGTATATGTGAACTATAAAATTTATTTAAAATAATTTATTGGATCGATATTTATTGAATAAACCAAACCATGATCTACATTACTAAAATGCGAAAAAAATCCAACATAAGCTCAAAGAATGATTTCTACCTAATTTCTAGAACAATTATAGATTCTGTTCTAGGATATAACAGAGATACTTAAGTAGGCAAGACTTTTCTTACATGAAATGCTCTACCAAGATACAAAAAGTAACTAAAATCTCTTCTTTGGTCCCTTTACTTGTTAAAGGTTAAGGTTAAAAGTTGGTTCTTCTCAAAAGTCAAATAGTTTGATTTACTTACTATAAGCCACCATATGCCCCATGCCCTGTAATTCTCACTCACATTGAACCAGGCACCAGTTAAGAGGATGTATAAGTGCTTCTGTATAAATCCATCACAGCTGCTAGAAACACAGTTCAAACATGTGCTATACTATTATGAGAACACATTTTATACTGAGTTTGAAAAAAGAAAGATTATGACAATTTTTAAATATCCTTGTGAATTTATAACACACAATCTATCCCACATAAGGACTAATATTTTATCTGGTTCTACAGGTGTTTGTTTGTTTTAGACACAGGGTCTCACTCTGTTGCCCAGGCTGGAGTATAGTGGTGAGATCATAGCTCACTGCAGCCTTGAACTCCTGGACTCCAACAATCCTCTGACCTTAGCCTCCCAAGTAGCTAGGACTACAGGCACACTCCACCACAGCCAGGTAATTAATTTTTTGTAGAGATGGGGCTCACTATGTTGCCCAGGCTGGCCTTGAACTCCTGGGCTCAAGCAATCCTCCAACCTCAGAAACCTAAAGTGCTGGGATTACAGGCATGAGCTATGGCGACAGGTCTGGTTCTATAGTTTTTATATTACTTCTTAATTCTATCATTCAAAGTCAATTCTAAATAACTGAATGAATAAATGGAATAATAAATATTGTAAAGAAGAATTCGGAATGTAAAATTACTAACAAATCTTTTTTTTTTTTTTTTGAGACAGTCTTGTTCTGTCACCCAGGCTGGAGTGCAGTGATACAATCTCAGCTCACTGCAAACTCTACCTTCCAGTTTCAAGCAATTCTCTTGCCTCAGCCTCCCAAGTAGCTGGGATTACAGGCATGTGCCACCACGCCCAGCTAATTTTGTATTTTTAGTAGAGACAGGGCTTCACCACGTTGGCCAGGCTGGCCTCAAACTTCTGGTCACAAGTGATCCGTCTGCCTCATGCTCCCAAAGTGCTGGGATTATAGGCATAAGCCACCATGCCTGGCCTCTAATAAATCTTTTCAAACTCAGTGCCCATTTAGTATAGTTTTCTAAAACAAACAAACAAAAATCTGCTCAGCCATTAAAATAGTCCTGCAAATTATCCAATGGTTTCACCAGCCAGGTTTCTCTGTAGAAAACATAGTTACACTAAAATGCTTTCTGTGTTTTTATAAAATTAAAAATAGTAATAGGAAAATAAGAATTCACTAAAAGCATTTTACATTGTTTATTTCTGTTTCAGTTCCTGAGGAAGTTGCTGAAACTAACATAAGTAGTTTAAAGGCATTTCGTTTAAATACATGCATAATTTTAAAATTTTCCAGTGCAACATGTTAATGTATTTCTAAATCTGCACTGTCTGTTACAGTAGCCATTAGACACATGCAGCTATTTAAACTAAATTTCAAATCAATTTCATCAGTCACACCAGTTATTTTTATTTTTGATGTTTTTTTTTTTTTTTCTGAGACAGGGTCTCACTCTGTCACCCACGCTGGAGTGCAGTGGCATGATCGTAGCTCACTGCAGACCAGCTCTCCTGGGCTCAATCAATCCTCCCACCTCTGCCTCCTGACTAACTGGGACTACAGGCATCTGCCACCATGCCTAGCTAATTTTCTCTTATTCTTAGCAGAGATGAGGTCTTGCTTTGTTGCCCAGGCTGGTCTCAAATTCCTGAGCTCAAGAAATCTTTCCACCTTGGACTCCCAAAGTGCTGGGATTATAGGCGTGAGCCACCACACCCAGCAACTAGTTATTTTTAAAGATTTATTTTTTTCTTTTTCCTTTTTTGAGACGAAGTCTTCACTCTTGTCGTCCAGGCTGGAGTACACCGGCACGATCTTGGCTCACTGCAACCTCCGCCTCCTGGGTTCAAGAGATTCTCCTCTCTCAGCCTCCCAAGTGACACCATGCCTGACTAATTTTTGTATTTTTAGTAGAGAAGGGGTTTCACCATGCTGGCCAGGCTGGTCTCGAACTCCTGACCTCAGGTGATCCACCTGCCTCAACCTCCCATAGTGCTGGGATTACAGGCATAAGCCACCATGCTCGGCCATTTTAAAAGACTTCTTAACCACATGTGGCTAGTGGCTGTCTTGGAGGACACAGATACAGAATATTTTCATCATCACAAAAAGTGCTATTGGTTAGCACACTTTTGATGTTTTCTCCAGTCATCATTTCAGTGATTTTCTGTGGTTAAGTAACTGACAGCCAAATTAACTGCTTCATGTATTTATTTTAAATATTTAACAGTACTCTGATAATTTAGCAATTACACAATCTTTTTTCCCTCTGTATCTTTTTTGTTTGTTTTAGAGAAGGGGTCTTGCTGTGTTGCTCAGGTTGGCCTAAAACTCCTAAGCTCAAGTGATTCTCCCACCCTAGCCTCTTGAGTAGCTGGGACTACAGGTGCTGATATGGTTTGGATCTGCGTCCTCACCAAAATCTCATGTTCAATTCTAATCCCCAATGTTGGAGGTGGGACCTGATGGGAGGTCAATGGATCATGGCGGTGGTCTCTCATGGTTTAGCACCCTCCCCCGACTCCCGCAATGCTGTCACTGTGATAGTGAGTTGTCGTGAGATCTGGTTGTTTAAAAGTGTGTGACACCTTCTCCCCTCTCGTGCTCCTGCTTTAGCTATGTAAGATGTGCCTGCTTTCCCTTCATCATCTGTCATAATTGTAAGTTTCCTGAGGCTTCCTCAGAAGCTGAGCGGATGCCAGCATCATGCTTCCTACACAACCTGCAGAGCCATGAGCCAATTAAAACTCTTGTTCATAAATTACCCAGTTTCAGGAATTTCTTTACAGCAATATGAGAACAGACTAATAAAGGCCTGCACCACTATCTAACTTATGTCTATTATCTAAGTTGAGTTAAATATCTAAAGATACCACTCTAATCCAGGGGTACCAGCCTATATATGCACAAATGTTTGCCTAATTATTTGCATCAATACAATGAATTTACTATAAATTTTTAGAATTTAAAAATTTAAAATTTTAGAATTTAAAATTTAGAATTTATAGAATCCTTTCACTCTCAGCTTTAATGCCAACCTCCCCTGTCAGAGTGCCACACATATGAACTCACGTCTACGGCAGTCCATCAGCGTGGACTCGGGCACCTTAAATCGGAGTGAGCCTCCTGCACCAGGAAGTCTTCCACCCACTTTTAATAACTCTCTTGCTCCAAATCCTTCCACGCCAATCATGTCAATAACAGTCAAGTTATTCCTGTAGTGAAAGGAAATAGATATAAAAAGGCATTACATGGAGTCACAAGGTACAATGTACTTAAATTTAAATATTCCCAGTTATCAAGAATATTTTTAAACTTTTTTGAAGTTTTAAAAAAGAAAATCAATTTAAATAGTGTGGTATCTTCTTCCATCTCACAGAATAAGGGTGCAGCCACAGGCAAGAAAAGCTGCCACTGCCAAGTACCAAAGTGAGCTGACTGCAGCAAGAACATGTAAACAATGATGACCCCCTTCCAACCACAGCCCACACATGTAGCCTCATATATTTTTCTAATAACTAGAAACCAGGGTAGTGATCAGACATTCAAGAAAAAAAAAAACTGAAGAAATAAACTGGGGGACACAGACAAACACTAACAAATTTAGACAAAATGATAAAACTTATTTACAGGGTGAATTAAGGTGTTTTCATAGTAATCGTAAGAAATTCTGCCTTAGGGATGATACTAGACGTAAAATTCTACTGTTTCTTTTGAAGTGAAGATTTAAAATATTACCCCATAAATAACATGTATCTAGTCAGGTTTTTATCAAATAGTAATTCAGACTAGCATGTGTCTTTTCATTAGTTGAAATTCCAGGACAAAAAGGTGGAAATTATTTTTTTTTAAATTTTTATTTATTTACCTAGGAGATAGGATGTTGCTCTGCCACTCAGGCTGGGGTGCAGTGGCATGATCACGGCTCACTGCAGCCTCAACCTCCCAGGCTCACGCAATCCTCCTACCTCAGCCTCCCAAGTAGCTGGGACAACAGGCAAGCATCACCATGCCCAGCTAATACTTTGTATTTTTGTAGGGACGAGGTTTCACCACATTGCCCAGGCTGGTCTCGAACTCCTGGGCTCAGGTGATCTGTCCACCTCAGCCTCCCAAAGTGCTGAGATTCCAGGCATAAGCCACTACACCTGGCCTGGAAATGATTTTTAAATGATGCATATTGGAGTGAAAGCCACTCCTCATAATGTAAATACTATAGAAGCAGCAAGATAATTCATTTTACTTTTGTAATTATATAGAATACACTGAAATAGCTTTACATCTTTAAAGGATTAAAAAGCCTTTATTAACCATTTAAAAACCTTTAAGTGCTGGGGCAATAGATGACTGATGTTATTTACAGGACAGAAACCACCGAAAGTAAATTAATTTCTACAAAAAATTTAGACTTTCTTTTCAAGCCTGAGATAGTTCAACCTGGGATGAAATAAAGTTTGTCTCTGTACTTCCTAGGACCTTAGTTCTTCAAAGAAGAGTCGGTTTAAATGAAACACTAAATCAAAAAAAAAAATTAATTAAAAAAAGAAAAAAATTAATAAACAAAAAAAGAAACACTAAGTCAACAGGGCATTAAGTATTTTTAGTTAAAATGCTTAATGAATAAACTCTGAAGAACTTTAACTTTTTTTAGTATCATTCATTTGCAAAAGAACAAACTTATATATTAAAGAAAATTCTGAATAATAAATTTTTTGCCAGGTGATCTGATACTACAAGTTTTGAAAAAATAACTCAAATGTCATTTATTAAAAATTAAATTTGTGTTGGACTTCTCACTGATGAGGAGAGCTTCAAGATACATCTGTATTTACTGTAAATTTTTAAAAGACTCTCAAGACTACCTAAAGATGAAAACAATTAAAAAATAAACACATTAAGCATGCTTAAATCAGTCAGCAGTAACTCACTTCAAAGGAAGAAAAGGAATAAAAAGAGCCAATGGGCTCAATGAAACACCTTTTCTATTGTCCTTTGGGCTACTGAGAATTCCAGGAGCAAAAAAGAGATGAAAGTGATATAAGTTTGTTCAAATACTAAAGACTGAAAATATCTACAGCAGTCCTTTAACGATCTTTCTATGCTAAGGACAGAGGAGTAGATCTGCATGAGTGTGTTCTGCCTTTTGAGACAGCACAGACGAGAAGCTGTGTGGAAAGCACTACCTCTCCTGGAGACATGCACGCACACTCCCTATTGGAGAAGAGAGGAGACTGAGGCCTTGGGGATTACTTGTCAAGCCTCCAGTGACCTCTTTCTCAGCTTCCACTTCTTCCTACCCCGCAACACAGCCTTCATCCTGAAGGTCTGACTGAGAAGTGAACGTCAACTATCAGCTAAAGAGATTTACACAGATGAGTCATTGAGAAAGAAACAGATTCTACAACAGGAACACACCTACCGGATTAGTATGAGTGAGGTAACTTTTCCATAGTCAGCAGGTGTGAAAACTACGCCAACCCTTTTCATTTCCAAAGGCTGCAGATGTAAGTGGAGGATGCCAAACCTGGATTCCTCAGAATGCGTACCCTGCAAATTAACAAATTAAACCATGTCATACTCCTAGAAAGCAAGCTTCCATTGTCATTAAGTGCATCCTAGAGTTTAAACACGATTGCTTCTCTTTTAATGTCCAGATTTGATCCTCCTAATCAACCTGTTAGAACTTGCTTATCCTGAGAGTTCACTCCAATAAACAGCTTCTGAGCCATAGCTAAGAAATATAGGCAGAGACTACAAGACAACCTCACACAGATGCTGGAGAGGGGATTTGCTTCCTGGTTTGAATGGAAGTTGGGGCTAGAAGCTTTCTACACAAAGATGCTTTGAATGTACAACATCAATCAGAAAACAGACCCAACAGCCTCTGCTTGAATGCTAGAGCAATCTGACAAGACCACTCACCCACCACTGGACAACCCAAAGATCTCTTTATATAAATTCTTTATACTGAATTTAAGTTTATATAGAAATCATCTTTATTATATTTAGTATCTCCAGTCAGAAGAAAGATCTTTATTTATTCACATCTTCCTCTATTTTCTCCAAGATGTCGTGTTTTTTTTTTTTTTTGGCATAAAACTTGTGCTCTAAGTTTAGTATCCAAGGTTTAATTCTTTTTATCTTTTTGGTAAGTGGACTTTCCCTCTTTCCACTGCTTTTTCTAGCTCCATCTCACTAAAAACAATGCAATGTATCACTTCTTAGAGCTAATATATAATCCTGAAGAATATTATTTCTCTTTGTTTTTAACTTTTAATTTTATGTTTCAGTTATTGCTAGTGTTACCCATGCCATCTGAAAAAGAGAATAGTAATAGTATTTGATTATTTGATTCATTTTTATTAGAATTATAAACTCCATGAAGGAAGAAACCCTGCTTTACGCAGGTAATATGAATACTGAATTTAAAAGCTGCTGACTTTTGGTGTTAAACTTATAGTAAAAACAGCACCTCTATTAAATGGTTCTTATATGCCAGGCACTGACATTTTTAGGGTATATAAAAAACTCCAATGTTCTTAACCCAAGGAACTATATTTCTAAAAGCAAATCAGCAAAATCAAAATGCAGGAAGCCTTTCTTTACATGATGAAGAATTCTAATAACAATTCTGAGTTAAATTTTAACTCAGTGTTTTCAAGGCACTGATATTAACTATTCTTTTCATCAATGTAATAAATTAACAATAGTAATAATTTCTCTTATCCCAAAATATATAATATTTCTTGGGAAAAACAGTCATAGATAAAAACTTCTTCCAAATGAGTTACATCATTTGTTCACATCTAAATAGAATATTTAGATTTAAAATAAACGGGCATTATTTTTGGAATTTCAAGCTATACATGATTCAATACCAGTGAGGCAAGATATCACTTAGTATTTTGGACTAATTATCCTGAATAGCCTTGAAGACCTCCTGGTGGAGAAAATGAGAAGGAGAGAGAGGGGCAGACTCGCTAACAAGAATAAAACCACACCTGGGTGCACGGCTTCACCACTCCCCCCAACTCGCCCAGTGCTGCCTCAACACTTAAGAAAAGAAAGGAGAGTCTGTGGTAATGGGTTATCTGTGGTCTCCCTCCTTCTGTTATTGAAAGTAATCTAGAGCCAACAGTATATTTTTGGAGGGATAAAGATAAAGAAAGAAGAAAATACCCAAGGCGCTTAAATATAGTGTAGTAAAAATAGAGTTATCCGCATATGTGAGTTTACATGTGTATGTATGTATTTTTTGTCAACAGATGCTCCACTTTTGAATTGATCTCAAACACAGAATACCTGTAAGGCCAACACTCAGCTGTATATAAATAGCCACGGAATGACTGAGTGGAAACTGAGAAGTAAGGCTGCCAAGTCCCCAGGCAAATAGCATCTTCACCACATGACATGTTTACTCCTACTCCTAAGTATTTGGGCAAGACCTCATGACTGCCCACAGGCTTAAGAATTTTAGAGTAGTCCTTTTTTATAGATAAGGTAAACATCACAGAAATTGGGTGACTTGCTAAAAACAGGAACACAGTTTAGTAAGAGAAGATTTTTTTTAATGTATTTGTTTTTCCTTATCTTGCCCTAAAAAAGAATTTGAGGGCCAAGGAATCTTAAGAGAATTATAAATTCTGGGGTCTCAAGTTTCATGGTTTTCTACAAAGCTCTGTTCAACTGTTATTTCTTTACTCACATGATTCTAAATAATCAAATTAAAATGATTTAGAGCTAACATAAACCCAGCTCCTACCGCACTAGTTAACTGGAAAAATCTGCTATGTATCGTTAATGCCCAGAGAATCAAAATAAAAGAGCCATATATAGTAAATAAAAGACATTTTAAACATAAATCAATGAGGCCCGTATGCTCATGTGTCTAGTTTGTCGGCATTCTTTTTTCTGTTTTAGGATAACATCCTACCAGGTAAGGGCAAGCTTCGGTGAGCTGGAATTCACCAGTTGTGAAATTAATCATCTGCATATCAGTGCCAAACCTATAAGGAAAAAAGCAAATGTTTAAAACAGCACTCACATCTGCCAGTAAAGAAAGATTTAATAAGTGTGTGCACATATATACATTTATACATAGGTGAGTACATTTGCACACACATACACACAAAATTCATCCCATCCTGTCCACCCGACATTCCACCCCACATTCCCACCCAGCTCCACCCCACATTCCCACACCCATATCTGCCATATTGTCAATGATCAATAAATATTGCTAAATGAATGACTTTGGCATCACAGGATGTAAGGAAGCATATGGTGACAGAAGCTCTAAATATAAAGCAACTTTTTTGAAAAAAAAAGTGACTCTCAACCAAAGGCAATTTTATCCCACGGGAAACACTGGGCTACGTCTGGAGACATTTTTGGTTGTCACAGCTGGGGAGTTCCTACTGGCATCTAGTGGGAGAAGCCAGGAATGCTGCTAAACATCCTTCAACACACAAGATGGCTCCTCCCACCCCCACCAAACAGAATGGTAGAACCATCTGGTCCAAAATACCAATACTGCGAAAGCTGAGAAACCCTGGGATAAGGGTCGATCTTACTAAACGAGAAGCTGGAAACATTCTAAGTAAAACTGTGATTGTGTGAAAATAAGATATAACAGACATGAACTAATTATCATCTCTTCCTGTTTAATGCTAGACAAGAATATACATTCAGCCCTCTGCATCTGCAGGTTCCAAACCTGCAGGTTCAACCAACCGCAGGTGGAGAACCCTCAAATAAGGAGGGCCAATTTTTCCATCAATGGTTTTAAAGGACTTGAACATCCTTGAGATTTTAGTATCCGAGGGGGTCCTGCGACCAATTCCCCTGCAGATATGGAGGGCCAATTGGACTAAAACACTAAACTTATTTATGCTGCCTAGAAATCACCATGATTGTGAGTCTAAATATTAGGAGTATATGTGAAAAAAACATGATAAAGGTTCCCTAGCTAAAGAAAAGGATCTGTTGGTTAGTGGACTTCGCATAGTAACACTGAAGATGCCACATAACACACAGAGCCAGGTAGTTCCATCAAATCACATGCACCAAGGGGCAGGATGCCCAAGGTCCATGAGCTAATCGGTTAATACTGTGTCCACATCCACACACAGGTCCTGGTTGAAAAAGTGTAGGACATTAAGTAATTCTAAGTCTTCCCAAGTACTTCCCAAACTGCCTCTCAGAAAAAAAGTCTTCATACCATCTGTGGAGCAGGTGCACTAGGGCTTCGGGTTTAGGGTACAAGGAGAGAGGCAGGAGCTGCAAGGAGACCGGCCAAGAGGACGGGTTCTGCACCACAAAGTACTTGATCTAGGTGTGAGGAAAGAAAAGTTAAAACCCCGAGAGGGACACAGCATCCCTCCTGAGATATTCTGGCCAAAAAGCATAACCTAATCATGAGGAAATATCATGTAACTCCAATCAAGAAACATCATAGGAAATAAATGGCCAGCACGCTTCAAAAATGTCTATGTCATAAAAGGCAAAGAACAGCTGGGGAAGATTAAAGGAGACTAAAAAGACCTGCCAATGAAATGAGAAATCCTGGACTGGATTCTGAACCAGAAAAAAAAAAATGCTGGAAAGTATGACAGTGGGATCTCTGAAAACACTTGATCTACATATACTGTATATATGTAGTATATATACATATATGCTGTATATATTTACTGTAGATTAAATAACAGCATCATGATTGTTGCATTTTCTGATTTTGATCATTATACTATGGTTCAGAAAAAAGCCCTCGTTCTTAAATAATTCACACTGAAAGTTAGAGGTAAGAGGGCGTAACGTCTGACACTCAGATGGCTCACAAAGATACATGTATGCAGAAAGAGAATGTTCAAGCAAGTGTGGCAAACATTAAAAATTGATGAATCTTTGCAAAAAGATTCTTTTCTTTTTGCAAGCTCCTGATTTTCTTTTTGGGAGCTCCTGATATACTACTCTTGAAACTTTTCTCTAAGTTGAAATCATTTAAAAATAAAAAGTTAAAAAACAGCCTAAGGATGTCATCCCTAAGAAAATCTATGAGCACCTGATAAGTCATACATTATAATTCATGTCACGTGTGGTATAGAGTTCTTAGCCATGAGACTTATGAGACATAAATGGAAGTCTGCTGGAGGCACGTCCTTCCCTTTGCCCAGTCTTCCCGCCACCGGAGCTGGACGAGAGAGGCACAGACAAGCACCGAAGTCAACACGCTAAGGATGGACAGTAGACAGGGAGGGGAGCCTCAGTCCCTGATGGCATCACAGAGAGCACAACCTGACTCGCTCTGGACTTCTCCCCTTTGAGCTTCTTGTTATAAAATGACTCCTAGTTAAGCTAGTCAAGATTTTCTCTGCTGTTTGCAGTTGAGTACTTTCTTAACTGACACATTTATGGAGGGTACACTCAATTCAAAGTCTATTTGTTTCCTGCATTTTCAGTCTGTTTAGAGTTTTACTGCTCATCTAGTTCTTTTGACATCGCCTTAATTTTGGCTTTGAAATGGTAGCTAAAGGTGGACACAATCTGGTACTTTGAAAACCCAAGCACTGGGGAGTCACTGACAAAGAAATGAAAAGACACACTGTCCTCACCATCCTGCTCCTAAGGGCAGTTGCGCTGAAGTTTAACATGAGGCCAGGCTCTGCGATCAAACGAGGCAAAAAGAAAACAAAGGACTCTGACTCCTTGGATTTCTTCAAGTGAGCAAATCGAGTTGTTCCCAAAACATTCCTCCTGTTTAATTGATAAAGAAACTATTATGAAAAATATTTTGATATTTAAAAATTTAATATTTAATAATTTTGTTATTTAGGGAAATCACTAAATACTATTCCCACTTAAAGGAAAAGGGCTCTTGGGGAAATGGTTTATTCTAGGTCTGGGGATGGGAAAGTACAAGATTGATCCTAGAAGGCCCTGTTTTACTAGAAAGCAAGGAAGCACTCAAACAACAGAACATGTCAAAGGGCCACACAAGCCAGCCGAAGGGCTCCTACCAGCCAAATTTGGAACAATTTATCATCAAAAATAATAGTGATGGTAAGAGAGTACAACACTGCAACTAAAGAATCAGAGTGATGCTTAAAAGCAAGAGAAACACTCTTTTAGAAAAAAAAAATCTGCCAATAAATGTAGAATGAACAAAATAATCAGAAACATCATTTTGCAGCCATTAGTCTAACAATTGATTCTGGCAAGGATTATCAATAGATACTAAAACCATGGGATAAAACATCCTTAGGGAACAGGGCGTTTATACCGTAATTTATCAAATTATCACAGCACAGATTTATTAATTACACAAGGAAAAAGGTATGTACAATGGAGAGTTCTGTCACTCATCACCTAAACCAAGCGACTCAACTCAGCAATGCCAATAATGGAACAAACTGACATTTACGTACTTCCTGATGAGATGAAATAATACAGACACAAGTTCAACCAGATAACTCATATTCTTGCCAGAAACATTTAACCAGAACATGAACTTGAGGAAACAATCAGAAAAATCCAGAGTGTGGAATGTTTTATAAAACAACTGGCCTGAACTTTTAAAAAGTATCAACATGATGAAAGATGATGAAAGGTAGGAACACTAGTCTAAAGAAAACTAAGAAAACAAGACAACCAAATGCAATGCATGGCCTTTAAATGGATTCTGGGTTAAAAGAAAAGATAAAAAAGCAGCTATAATGAACACTACTGGATCAACTAGGGAAAATTTTAACATAGACTGTATATTAAACAATATAATTACATGAATGTCAAGTTTGTTGGGTATGCAATGGTAGTATAGTTATACATAAGAAAATATTCTCTTTAGGAAATAAAGAATTTCCTAATAAAGTATTGAGAGTTGAAGTATGACATCTACAGCTCACTTTTGATGACTCGGCCAAAAGTCTGTGCGTGTATGTGTTTCTATGTGTGTGTGTACACATAGAGAAATAAAGCAAAAGTGATAAAATGTGAACATCTGGTGAACAAAATCTAGATGAGGAATATTTGAGAATTCACTGCACTACCCTCAACTTCTGAGGTTTGAAATTTGTCAAAATTAAAAGCTGGAGAGAAGTATCGATCACTAGAAACTACGGACTGTAATGTCAATAAAATACTGTGTGCAGTCGTTGGCCCTTATGCAGTTTTGCTTTCCAAAGTTTCAGTTACCTGTGGTCAACTGGGGTCTGAAAATATTAAGTGAAAAATTCCAGAAATAATTCATAACTTTTATATTACACACAGTACTGAGTAGCATGATGAAAGTTCAAGCCGCCCCACTCCATCTTGTCTGGGACATGCAAATCATCCCTCTGCCCAGCATATCCACATGGATCCCCTACCTGCCTGCTAGTCACTTAGTAGCCATCTCAGTCATCAGGTCAACTGTCCTGGCGTCACAGTGCTTTTGTTCAAGTAGCCCTTATTTGACTTAATAATGGCTTTAAAGTGCAAGAAGAGTGATGCTGACAATTCAGATATGCCAAAGAGAAGCCATAAAGTGCTTCCTTTTACCCAAAAAGGTGAAAGTTGTCGACTTAATAGAAAAAAATTGTATGCTGAGACTGCTAAGATTTACAGTAAGAATGAATCTTCTATTTGTGAAATTATGATGAAGGAAAAATAAATTCATGCATAGTATATAGGGTCTGCTACAGTTTCAGGCATCTACGGTGGGGTGAGAGGGGGGTCTTAGAATGTGTCCCCGCAGGTAAGGAGGGACTACTGTAACAGTGTCTCCCCACCACCGAACAAAAAAGAAGACAGTGGAGACGTACTTGCAGACGTCACCATTTTTATATTTCTTCCATCTTTCATACAATTTATTTGCAAGTTCAGAATCCACATTCCAGGTAGATTGATCCAGAGAAAGGCTCCCATTCCAATTAGGATTTCCTAAAAGTTAGATCAGATTCCATATTTAGATTTACAGAAAACATAATTCAATTAGTAAATAATGCCAAGGGCTTAATATTAAACTTCTTAAACTGAGAGGACTGTAGAGTTAATAAATGCCACCTCTGTCTCTGCTGCTTATTTATTAAAAGTCCCTCTAACTCAATGGCAAATGATATCAAATTAAACAAACATGTCATAAAACAAAACTAAATCGAATTATGTAAAGGTAATAACGTAAAAGACACATGGCTCATGAATACAGCCTGAAACAAAATTATACTTGGAACATTTTTAACAGCTTTAAATCTAAAATGCGAAACTCCTTCCACACACATGCTAATCATCAACGAGTCTTCCAGGTCACTATCTAGAGTGCCGAGGGAAAACAGTAGTTCTTGAAAGGGGGCACAGACCAGGAGCCGATCCTAGAGAAGATGCATGTTTATAACTGGTCTATTGTTCACCTCATTCTACCAACAGATTTGTTCTGTCTTGCTAAGGAGGGTATCAGGAAGGAGAGGTGGGAATCTTTAAAAAAAAAAAAAAAAACTATACTTTAAAACTCTCCCTAAATATCTCTATAAATCAAAAGACAAAAAAAACAAAAAAAAAAACTCAAAACAAGAAACAGCTTGTACATCAACACTAAGGCCCTTCAGTCTCAAATCACAACTAGCACCATCTGCAAGATGTTTACACTCCTATAACTTAAGTCCTCAAATACAATTCCAAGTTATTTTTACTAACTTCTAGTCAGTTCTTTCATAAAAGAATCAGAATCTTCCAATTTTTCCTATGGGTGCTGTGATGATCGAACAATGTTATTTGAAAAAAAAAAAAAAAAACCCTTGCGGAAGTACAAGCTACTAGATAATAAAGGGGCATTATTTACAGTACCCCAGGTGTTTCTGGAGGGTTCTTAACAATTTTAAGTCATTCTGTTAATGATCATCCTCTCTATAGAATATGATGCCTTTACAGAACTAATTATTCCATTGACAAATGCTAATTTTCCTCACTATTTCCCATCCCCCAAACTAGAGATCTACAGAAAGCCTAAGGGCAAAATACTTACCTGCTTTTGATTTTCCCATGAAATAATGCATGCCACAATGTGCTATCACTTCAAAACCCAGACTCCCTTCCTAGATTGAAAAGTAATATATGAATAACTTAAAACACAGCACTAAACATAAAAATTCTAATGCACTAAAATTCAAAGCAGACATTGGTCTGCACCTCAGTGAACTTCCCTTTAACCACGAGCCAAAAATTACTTTCTAATTGTTAAGGAATTTTCAGAGAAATCTGAACTGTCTCTCCCTAGGAGGGTCACTGAGTGGCTTCTGCAGGCACAATAATCAATGACAATAATGACCCTTGGGCCCACAAGACACCAAACTGCCATCTGAATTAAATAAAGATTATGATCACATGGCTGCACTGAAGCCTGGGCAACAGAGTGAGACCCTAACTGTAAAAAAAATTAAAAATTAAAAAAAAAAGATTAGATTAGTCTCAGGACATTCTCAGTGGTCAGAAGTTTTGTTTTTTTTTAATTGAACTCTAATCCTCTGGGAAACAGTATGCCAATCTATAACAACTCCTAGCTATTCAGGACATTTAATTTCCCATTTCCTACAGGTATACCTGAAACCTGCCTGCTCCTCCCACACTCTGCTGACATGCATCTCTTGAATAGAAAAAAAATTTCTAAGAAACCACCCCTGCTCAAAATATGGATAAATGGAATTAACCTTACATTGTTTAATTTTAGAATTCCTATCTGTACGCTTACAGCTAGTTAAGCATGAGGCATTTCTAACTATGAAAGATCCACACTATAAGTGAGAAAAAAAATAAAGATGGTTGCATGAATGTTGCATAGAAAAACCAGAACCCAGAGTTATACAAAATAGCTTGGAGCAAAAAGAAGCAAAAATAATAACCAAATGAAAAGAAATAAATATTAAAGAAAGAGACATATTTAAGACGGTCTAAATTAAATATAATTTACCCAGATTTTAGAAAGCATTTTCTTAACTGTGAATCTTTTCAGGCTTTATACTTGGCCCACTAAGCAAATTCAAGGATTACGAGCAACTAAGAGTCACTTAGAAGAGATCCAAATAAAGCATTTAACAATTTAATTTATTAAGTCATTGCAAGTATGTACTAAAAGCCAACCTGTGTTTTCTATAGCAAACACATACTGGTTGCTCTACAAATTTTGGAAATAAATGAAAATGACATCTATTAATCTATTGGTCATGCCTTATTTCATTCAAGAACTTCAAATTACTTTATAAAAAAGAAAACTCTTTCCAAATAAAGATTTTTATGTCTGAACAATTTATCATCCAAGACTGGCCTGGTAATATCCTTCAGTTTCTTAGCCTTAAAGAACGTGAGCTTAACCCAGTTAATAAAACTCAAGCACTAAAGGTTAATAAAAAGCAACAGTAATTAAGAAAACTGTAACACACATATAGTATTGTAGAAAATACCTTGGTTGGTGCTGAATAAATCTGTAGAGGTATTGCAAAAATGGCACCTATGTTTGTAGTCAAAAATACATTGGTGAATAGATTTATGGCAATGTCTTTAACAGCAAGTTTCAAAGAAAATATATTCCAACAGCCTGGAGGTAGAAATAAAGGGCCAGTGAAATTCAGAATCTAAAAAGAAAAGAAGCAAGAGAAATTACTTTTCCTAACACTAATTATGATTAAAATCATTATAAAGTATGATGCTAACATTCTTCTATACTTCAGAAAGTATGATTTTACTCAGTTATTTCCAGATCAAAAGTTGGAATATTTTTATAGAAATGATAGGTTACAAATAATGCTTAAGATGACACTGTTTTAAATTTCACAAAAGTAATCTTGAAATTTCAGTAAGTGATATTTTGCAAAAAACCTACTATTTTATCATGAACCAGGCTCATTTTTACTAATCTTTTTAGAACAATACATATACATAATATTTTTGAATAATGGTAAGAGCAAATAATTTTGAAAGGCTATATCCTGGTCCCTTTGAGCTCTTTTAAAAACAGTTTTTTAAAAAGAGAGAAAGAGAAGTCTCCTAAAAGTAATTCTGAAAATGTTAAAAGAAAAATACATGTTTTAAAAATCATAAAATTTTATATAAATAATAACTTCATAGCATTTGGAATATTTTTTATTATTTTATAGAAATAATTTCACAGCATCTGACCTTAAACAAAGCTTAAAATAAGCTAAAACTTGGGGAAAAAATACTATATGTACCTTTAACATGTGCTTGGTCTCCTTGGAAAGAAACACATCATTTAATACAACACTACGGTCAAAATGGTTGCGGTACCATATTGACCAAAGTCCTGATGTGTTCTCATGAGTCTCTATGTGAAACTGGGTTGCAGAAGAGTCCATTCTAAAATACCTGTGAACAGACGACATGCATGCTATCAGGCCTGAGTGTGGGACAACAGTCAGCCCTCTTATGAGCCTCTAATTGCAAAAACAGGAGCATCATAAAACGTTACTAAATGAAAGCTAGCGCCAGAGACAACCTCGGCAATCGCCTCCTTCAACCTTCTGGCTCACATAGGGAGCAACTGGAAGCCCGAGGGGAAGCAACCAGGCTGCGGCCAGCACAGCTCACAGAGGCCGCCAGGACCAAACCAGAACCTGAAGCCAACTCAGAAACACCATGTGAATATGTACTCTTTTCACACATCTGGATGCCTGATGCTGAACCTATTTCATAAACTGAATTATTTCACTTCCTTTTCCCCACTCAGCTAATATCCCTTTCACTGCCTGTTAGCAATGCTAAGGCAAGGGGAGGCAAGGCCAGTGAGAGAGAGAATCACACAAATCATATCACTATATTTTTAAACCATTTCTAGAGGGGAAAACAACAACAACAACCATACAAGATTTCAGGGAAAGTGGAAGTAACCTACCCCTGAGCCACAGAAGAGAAGAGGCATGCTTTTAGTGTTGGAGTGTGTGTTGTTTTCTTCACATCTTCTATAATTCCACTGTCACATGATGTAGCTGCTTTGTGGTATAAAGAAATAAATGTGAAGCTTAAGTACCTTTTCTTTCATTAAGCCTGAACAAAAGATATATGTCTTATTTATAAATTTTTATTCACTTTTCTGTCTCCATTAAAATAGTGAATCAGACATAAAAGGTAACTACTTTCTCAAATGTTCCTGTCATCTTCTTTGTTGCCAATTATCCAGAAGTCCATACTTTTAAAAACCAACTTCTCTACCAGAAATGACAAAAGTGAAACAAGAAGCTCACTTGGCAGAGTAAAATGTGTGGAGGCACGAGCAAGAAAGGAATAAAACCTAAAGAGCAAAAGGGAGCTGACCAGCAAAAAGTGGGCTGCATTTGAAAGCAGTGCTGATTGATCAAAATAATACTTTTAAGCTCTCCTTGATTAGGTTATAATATTGAGTCGCTTGTGTTCAATTCTTAACTCTCTGATGCTAATAACCAACTTTTTTAAAGTTATATATATGGTTTTTAAAAATTCAAACACTAACAAAAAAATGTGAAAATAAAATCTACCTTTCTTCACCCTGACTCCCAATTATCTTGGAGGAGGCAGCTGTTAGCAGTTTCTGCAACATCCTTCCAGGTGTTCTGTGCATGTATAAGTACACAGATATCCTCTAAAAAAAAATTAAATGTACACACACTGCTCGCATCGCTGTCCATGCATGTTTCTGAACACTCTCTCACATCTGAACACAGATGATCAGCTGTTCTGTCCTAACAAACACACATTTCTTATAGGTACAGTTTTGAATACATACATATCTGGAGGATAAACTCTTAAAACTAGAATTAAGGATCAAAGAGTAAATATGTGCATTTTAAATTTTCATAGAGATTTGCCAATTTTCCCTCAAAAACAGCCTGCATAGACTCCTGTCAAAAACCTAACAGTGCTTTCCTTCCTAATCGTTATCAACACAGAATATTAAGCTTTAAACTCAAAATTCTACATATGTGGCAGAATAAAAGTGGCATCAACAATAGTTTCTACATCATACTATCTTAGAACTACTAAGGCTGGGACTTCTTGAAATCAAACGCATTCCCTTCACTTTTTTGAAACCATGCCTAATCTGTAGTTGTAGAAAGAGTTGCCATCATGACAACCAGATAACAAAAGTCAAATGACAATCTGTTTAAAAATCTGTACCTTTGCAGGTAAAAGAAGCAATTTTTGTAAAGTTTGTTGTAGAAGTAGGTAGTAGTACTGGTTCAAACTGCAGAGACAGAGCATCTCTCTGTGAGAAATGGCGTATATCCTGAAATAAAAGAAAAGTCCCATGTGACTACTCTCAGCTGGGAGAGTATTTATCCAGTTTGAATGAACCGTTAGAATAAATAGCACAGACCAGCCATACATAGCAACTGCTCAGCATCTGTGCCATAACCATATGGAGGGGATGCTGACAATCTTCATACAAACAGAGGTTCAAGCAAGGGCAAATGGGCTTAAATTAAAGCAAAAAAGAATAAAGATAGTGCTTCTGTCTCTGTTCCTGAAAAACCCTCATATTCTACAATTAAATGCACACTTGCAATTTTAAAAGTTACTTTAGGTAAGCATTTACAATTACCTGTATCCATATAAGGCTGTTTCCTGAATGTAATATATACATATTTACTGCTGAATCATCTGTCCAAAAGAATCAGAGTATTAAAGCAGAGTATTTAATCAGAGATTAAAACAGAGCCATCTCATTCTCACACCTTCATATAATCATTAAAATACCACATTACACATTTCTATAAAAAATGTTAACTTGTTTCTCAAAACTGAAATCAAAACTAGGAGGTGTTTTCTTTTTTTTTTTCTTTTTTAATCACAAGAAAAAAGATCCTCATAAAAATGCCTACCAACCTAAGCCCTCTAAATGATGAGGAACTACCAGGAGCAAAATTCTGAGTTTAGGGTCACACAATGCTCTTCTGAATGAAACTAACCAACTGGACGACTTCAAATAAAGCTATGTTCTCCTGTTGATTAGAAAGCTCCTCATTTCCTCATTTGGATAACCACATTTGGAAAGAAGAAAATCCTGAGATCTCAGGTTTCAGGCTTCCTTTTAGCCCTCACCCACAGAAGTGGTCCCCATGGGTCAGGGATCTGCCCTCATAGATGTTCACTGGCCACTATGAGAATCACCAAGCACTGAGGACAGGAGAGCTCTCCTGCTGATCCAGCACTACCACAGCCAGCTCTGAAGACTGAAAGGTAAAGGCTGTTTAACCAATTAAGACTGCCAAAGCAGGGCACGGTGGCTCATGCTTGCAATCCCAGCACTTTGGGAGGCCAAGCGGGGAGGAATGCTTGAGCCCAGGAGTTCAAGACCATCCTGAGCAACACAGGGAGAACCTGTCTCTACAAAAAAAAAAAAAAAAAAAAAAAAAACAACAAAAAAAAACGGTTTAAATTAGCCAGGCATAGTGGTGTGCGCCTGTGGTCCCAGCTACTTGGGAGGCCAAGGTGGCAGGATCGCTTGAGCCCAGGAGGCTGAGGTTGCAGTGAGCCGAGATCACATCTCTGTGCTCCCACCTGGGCTACACAGCAAAATCCTGTCTAAAAAAAACAAAAACAGAAACAAAACCAAAAAACAAACAAAAAAACCCAAAGAATAAAAACCATACTTTCTTGAATATGAATACAAATATACAGTCACATTCAGAAGTCTTGATAACCAAAAGATACTAGTATACTCTACGTTAGGAATTTCATGGATCACAGAATGTGTCTCTGAAAAAAGTTCTTAGGAAGTTAAACAGATGAATGCATTTATTTCTGATAAGTAGGACACACATTTCCAAAGATAAAATTCATAAAACTGAACACTAAAATTCTACCTAACTTGTCAAGCATCCAGGAACAACCGCAACCTATTAGCTATTTAAAATACAAAACAGCATGATGTGGTTAAATGAGCTTAGGCAAATCATTAAAAGTGGAACAAGAAACCCAAGACTTCAAATACTTTGTAAATATTTATATTAAACTGTCATGCCCATTTAATTTCCTTACTGTCTCCAAACATGAAGAAAAATTATTCCTAAGGAAACTCAGAATAGTTTGCAGTTGTCACTTCTCCCCAAAATAATACAGCCTTCTTAGCAGTTGTAGGTTGAGAACCAGTTACTACTACAATCACTTAATAATTAAAGCAAAGGCTATTTGTCTTGGTTTGCTATGATACAATCTGTTCATAAATGCTATAGAATGATGATGCAGACTGATGAAAATATAATAAAATTTTTAAACATTCCACCTTACCTGAGGTCTCAGATTCATCTGTAGCTACGTAAACAATAGAGAGATGATCTAACAAATGTTGTGTGTTTTCTTCAAATTCTTTTGAAAAGTTTTCCATTGTTACCATTATGCTCATTTGTAGACGCAAAACATCATCAGATTCCAGATAACAACCCTATGGTTGGAAGGAGGAGGAAAAAAGGAAAAAAAAAATCATCTCAACTTTGTGGTTTCAAACTATGGAGGAAAGGAGAAGCATTTAACGTAATGGGACGTGTGTGAGAACAGAATATGCTGTTTTGTGTTTTATTTTATTTTATTTTATTTTGAGACGGAGTCTCACTCTGTCACCCAGGCTGGAGTGCAGTGGTGCGATCTCGGCTCACTGCAAGCTCCGCCTCCCAGGTTCACGCCATTCTCCTGCCTCAGCCTCCCAAGTAGCTGGGACTACGGGCACCCGCCAGCACGCCTGGCTAATTTTTTTGTATTTTTAGTAGAGACGGAGTTTCACCGTGTTAGCCAGGATGGTCTCAATCTCCTGACCTCGTGATCCACTCGCCTCGGCCTCCCAAAGTGCTGGGATTACAGGCATGAGCCACAGCGCCCAGCCTTGTGTTTTATTTTTAAGCAAAGAGGCAGGAGGAAAGCAGAGAGAAAACACTACACATTTTATTTTACCTTTAATTGCTGACACACTTTATTATGTAAACTGCATTCCAGTTGCACCTGCAAGAGGCTAGTATTAGTGGTTTCTGCCTAAAAGAAGAAAAAAGGAGGAAAAGAACTTTAAGTAAAAGGCTCAATCTCACACTAATAATAAACAATTTATCAAGTATTCAGAAACTACACTTTTTCATTTATTCAATAAATATCTGAGTATCTGCTAAATGCTGGGCATTATTCTTTTTAGTGGATACACAACAGTAAGCTAAACAGAGAAATCTGTTCTCAGGACTGTCACTGAGCTTACATTCTAATGAAAATCATAAGTTCTCCCTCGGGCAACATGAAAATTCCTTATTACACCTATAAGCAGGTGAATATGTTCTAAATATACACAGGAACACTGGAGTTTGGTGTTTCTGATGTTTGTTGAAAATGTTATTTAAACACAGGAATCTATTGTTATTTTAAAGTAGGTTTACAAAGTAACAAAATTCTAAGTGTGCCTTCCATCAGTACAATGACCTAGAAACCATGACCCTCAAGTTAGACCAAAAAAACAAAAAATAAAAAAAAAGAGATGTCCAAAATTCAACTGACTATCATTTTTAACAGGGAAGAGTTATGGATGAAAGAGACAAAAGCATATAAAAAGAATGCAAGACTCTGTCAAATTTAAAGATCTTAACAGCCCCTGGGATGATGTCAACACATATTTAAGAAAAGGAAAATGAAAAATCAAATCAAGGGATACAACCTTGGGTAGGAGGGTGGGGGCTACAGGCATGTGAATACAGCAAAAAGTTACTCAGTGCAGTATGTGAATCTAAAAGACATGGGCTATGAGACTTCCTCTTTCATTAAGTTTAATGTCTCTGGCATAGTGATTAGAAAAAGGTACTCCACCCGGGAGCCACAGTCCTAACATCAAATCTTGGCAAGGTAAGAAGGCATTCTCCAAAGCCTAGGCTGGCTTAATAGGGAGTACCTATTTAAAAACCCAGGAAAGATGCATTACTAAGAAGAATCACTACAATTATGTTTGTTAGATTTATAAAACTTACCCAAGTACATTATAAAAGAATACATTTTAAACTACTTCAATTGTCATTCAGGCAATTAAAATACAGAAAAAAAAGAATAGGTCAGGCACAGTAGTGGTTCACATCTGTAATCCCAGCACTTTGGGAGGCCAAGGCAGTGGATCACTGGAGCCCAGGAGTTGCAGACCAGCTAGGAGACATGGCAAAACCCCGTCTCTACTAGAAAAAATACCAGAATTAGCCAGGCGTGGTGATGTGCGCTTATAGTCCCAGCTACTAGGAAGGCTGAGGTGGGATGATTGATTGAGCCCAAGAGGTCAAGGCTGTAGTGAACCGTGACTCTTTTAATCTTTTTTTAAGAAAAAGAATAAAATATATTTTTAATGCAGTAAAAATATTTAAGGAGTTTAAGTTTGTAAATGGGACCAAACATTAAACACTCTTTTAAAGAAATCATTGTTCATATCTGCTAGTATTCTTAAATAGAATAATATGATTTGTAAAATGAATCTAAAATCTTAAACTAGATTTTTTTGTTTTTTGAGACAGGGTCTCACTCTGTTTCCCAGGCTGGAGTCGGGTAGTGCAATCTTGGCTCATGCAACCTCCACCTCAGCCTCCCAAGTAGCTGGGACTACAGGCACACACCACCACACATGGCTAATTTGTGTATTTTTTATAGAGACGGAGCTTCACCATATTTCCCAGGCTGGTTTTGAACTCCTGGGCTCAAGCAATCCACCCACCTCAGCCTCCCAAAGTGCTAGGATTACAGGTGTGCACCAATACACCAGCCTGAAGAACTAGATTTTTAAATTTGTCTATGAACAAATCCCAACATCAAACAGAAAAAGCCCACTTTCTGAAACTGATTTTTAATTTTTAAAATTTATCTTTAAAATTAAAAGAGACTTGTTAGGCTGGGTGCAGTGGCTCATGCCTGTAATCCCAGCACTTTGGGAGGCCGAGGTGGGTGGATCATCTGAGGTCAGCAGTTGGAGACTAGCCTGGCCAAAATGGTGAAACCCCGTCTCTACTAAAAATACAAAAAAAAATGGCCAGGCATTGTGGCTCACGCCTGTAATCTCAGCACTTTGGGAGGCCGAGGCGGGTGGATCACGGGGTCAGGAGATCAAGACCATCCTGGATAACATGGTGAAACCCCGTCTCTACTAAAAATACAAAAAATTAGCTGGGTGTGGTGGCGGGTGCCTGTAGTCCCAGCTACTCGGGAGGCTGAGGCAGGAGAATGGCGTGAACCTGAGAGGCAGAGCTTGCAGTGTGCCGAGATCGCGCCACTGCACTCCAGCCTGGGCGACAGAACGAGACTCCGTCAAAAAAAAAAAAAAAAAACTAGCTGGGCATAGTGGCGCACACCTGTAGTCCCAGCTACTTGGGAGGCTGAGGCAGGAGAATCACTTGAACCCAGGAGGTGGAGGTTTCAGTGAGCTGAGATCATGCCATTGCACTCCAGCCTGGGTGACAAGAGTGAAACTCCGTCTCAAAAAAAAATAAAATACTTGTTATACTGCCCAGGCTGAAGCACAGTGGCAATTCACAGGCACAATCATAGCGCAATGCAGCCTCAAACTCCTGGCCTCAAGCGATCCTCCCACCTCAGCCTCCTGAGTAGCTGGGACTACAAGCGTGCACTACCATGCCCAGCTCTGAAACTGCTTTAACTAAGGTTACAAATGATCCTCACACGGCCAAATCCAACAGAAACTTCTCCTTTTGTTCACCACTCTCCCTGCTGCCACCAGCCCCCTGTCCTGTTACAGCCTGAACCACTTGTCCCTCTCGGTTTTTCTTTCTCTCTGGTTCCTCTGCCAGCTGTTGCTCCTTTAACCATCAGACACTGAGTTATGCTGGATGCTGCCTATGCCCTCTTCACTCTCTCCCAGGGGAGCTTGTTGGCATGCTGAACCCTCCCACATCGATTCCCCTAGCTTAGTCCTCTCCATACCTATATGTCCAACCAGTGACTGGGCATCCACCTGAATCTTCACACACCCCAACCTGGCCACCTTTGCTGTGTGCCTCATCTTAGCACCATTATTCATCAACCCTATCATTATTTATCCAGTTGTTTAAGCCAGAAACCTGAAAACCCCTTTCACTTCAGCTTCTCATACTCTCCTCAAACAAATCCATAACCAAGTCATACTGATTGTACCTCCTTCATGAGCCCTTAAACCCACTCACTTCTCCTCTTTCTTAATAAATACCCCAGATATCAGGGGTTAGCAAACTATGCCCACAGGTTAAATCCAGTTTGCTGCTTATTTTTGTCAGCAAAGTTTTATTGGAACACAGCCATGCCCGTTCCTTTATGGACTGTCTACTATTGCCTTCGTGCTATGATAGCAGAGTTGAGTACTTGCAACAGAGACTGTACAGCCTACAAAGTCAAAATAAATACTCTAACACCACAAAACTACACAAAAAAATGATGGTGCAGTAACTTCCTCTTAGTCTCCCTGCATCCACCTCTGCCCTTTCCACTCCATTCTCCACACTGCACCAAGAGTGAATTTACCCATATACAAATCTGGTCATGCCACTATTTGCTTAAAACTCTTCAAAGACTTCTCACTTGGCAAAAGTCCCAAATCCTCTGCTGTCGCTATAAAACTCCGGCACCTGCCTAGTCTCGACCTCCCTGCGCATGCTCCAACCTCACTGGTCTCGTTTCTGCTCTGCTTGCCTCAACACCTTTGAATTTTCTGTCCCTTTGCCTTGCACCCACTCCTCCAACCCACCCACCTCTCCACCTAGCTAAATCTGATTTATGCTTCATGTCCTGGCTTAAATACCCTCTCAGACACCACAGCAACTTCTACCTGACCTTTTGTAACACTTCTCACAACAACATGGTCAAGGTCTACCTACGCCAGGAGATTCTAAGCATCTCGTGCTTCGAATGCACAATGCCTATCACTTCATCAGCACTCAATAAACAGCTGATGAGTGGATAGAGGTGGGCATACAGCCACAGATGCTAGGGAATCAGCTTGAAAAGGGCAAGAGAAGCTTGAAAAGGGCAAGAAACAGAAAATAGTAAACGGTGCCTACAAAATAAAAGAATAAAAACCTAACAGTGTGTATTTCTGATCTGAAACTTTCAAAAAATGTTTAAAGAAAAAAATCATATTAACACACTTTTAAAGTACACATTTATAAGTTTTTTTTTTTTTTTTAAGAAATCTACAACAATTTAACTATGTTAAGGTCTTAACCTGACAAGGCAATTCTCTACCCTACAATATTTCTTCAAATGAAAAGATGTTAAAAGTTCACACTCATATTAACAGTTTTTGACACAATTAACAACCCTATTTCGCAGAGTAATTTGCTATGATTTAAAGCCTAATATTTTGTCATTCTTAGTAAATCTCTGGACGGATATATTTATAACTTGCCATTTTAATTAAGATTCTTCTATTAGCGAGAGGCATTTTAAAAATCACTATTTTGTTTCTTTTGTTGTAGGACATATTTCAGAATCCCACAAGGGGGAGTTCTAGCACCTCCAAACTGCCCTTCAGAAGTATGCTAATTTTTCTAAAAGAAAAAGTTTCAAGTCCATATCTTTCTCAAAAGAACAAAACAATTGGGCCGGGCGCGGTGGCCAACGCCTGTAATCCCAGCACTCTGGGAGGCCGAGGCAGGCAGATCACGAGGTCAGGAGATCAAGACCATCCTGGCTAACATGGTGAAACCCTGTCTCTACTAAAAAATACAAAAAATCAGCCGGGCATGGTGGCGGGCGCCTGTAGTCCCAGCTACTCGGGAGGCTGAGGCAGGAGAATGGCGTGAACCTGGGAGGCAGAGCTTGCAGTGAGCCGAGATCGGGCCACTGCACTCCAACCTGGGCAACAGCGTGAGACTTCATCTCAAAAAAAAAAAAAGAACAAAACAATAGCAATATTAACTTGATAAAAAAGAAACTCTAACCAAAATGTTAGCCAGGGGGCAACCACATACTAGGGTTACAAGTTCCCCAACTGTCCCCAACTGAGCACACTGTGTGACAACAGGACACGCCCTCATCCAGAGTGAGCCTGGGCTGATTAGACAGGAAAAACAAATAAAAACGTAATTCTCTAGTTTTGAAACCTCCCATACTCCTTTAACAAATCAGATCAGATATTTTATAGAAAAAAGAAAAAGTAACTCTATAAACAACTTTTTCTTAAGTAGTCTTCATTGAAAGTATTAATATAGTTTATATATTTCATATTATTTCATATAAAGTATTATCCCCTTTTAGAAGATGGGGGAAATTGTGGCTTGGAGGGGTTAAGAGACTTATCAAAGATCTTGGGGCTAGGTAGTAGAAAAACAGAAAAAAAAATCAGGTTTTTCAACTGCAGTCAGTACTTTTTTAACAAATTAAAATAGATCAAATCTGTTTCTCCTAGGTACCTAAAGGCCTAAAAATCCATCAACACAGGGATATATATTAGAAAACCATACCAAGATAAAATGCAAAGGTCAAGAAAATAGAAATGTTAAAACTCCTTTTGTATGTCATGTATTTCCACAGTTTTGTGGTGAAGAAGTATGAATTTAGGGAACTGGATACTAGAGAGAAAGGAATCATCTCCCTTCACTTGCTAAGGAATTGCTGGTGCCCTGGGCCACAAGAAGGGTGTGATTTGGGGGGACTGTGTGCAATTAAACAGGAAAGGAAATAACAGACTTAAAGTATTAAGTCATTCTGATGTCTTATCAACAAGAGTAAAGCACAGCCTAATAAATAAATATATTTGAGAATCTATATTAATCCAGACAGAATGAACAAGAGGCTTGATGTTCCTGGTAATAACCACATGAAACCTTTTTATTTAAGGACTACAACTTATGAAATATGAAAGAATTACTTAGACAAATCCCAATCTTAGATTCTGTATTTCTCAGACATCTTTCTCCCCTTTCACAATTTTGAATGCTAAATATTAGAAGTCATTATAAAAGTAAATCTCGGCCGGGCGCAGTGGCTCACACCTGTAATCTCGGCACTTTGGGAGGCCAAGGAGGGCGGATCACTCGAGGTCAAGAATTTGAGACCAGCCTGTCCAACATGGTGAAACCCTGTCTCTAGTAAAAATACAAAAATTTGCTGGGCATGGTGGCACACGCCTGTAATCTCAGCTTCTCGGGAGGCTGAAGCTGGGGAATTGCTTGAACCCGGGAGGCGGAGCTGCAACTGCACCATTGCACTCCAGCCTGGGTAACAGAGTCCATCTCAAAAAGACAAGAAAAAGTAAATCTCTTATGCCAACATATGCATCTGGAACACTGATTCTGTATAAGCCATCTGACTGCTCCAGCAGGTGGCCCCCACACACAGTATTATGCACATGGCAAATGATCTTGTATAAAATGAGAGCTATCTTGGGTGCCTTCCACATAACACTCAGATTCTATAACCACACTCCTAATTTAGTGTTTCCTGCATAACAGCAGGCTCAGCTGAGTTATTAATAAGTACTGTACAGCTATTTTTCCCTGATATTAAATAGCAATTGTGTTTCAACCCCCACCACCACCACCACTACCCTTTTATTCCTCAGATATTAACCACTAAAACAAAATCTAACTATACTGCCAGACCCACTCATGCAAACATTTGCAAAAACCTAGGAAGTGGCTGAAATTAGTTTGCTTTGAGGAAAAAAGAGGCTACTGCATATGGATAGCATTTTTCCTTATCCACATCATTTTAGAAAAGGCAGTGTGGCCAAGTGCTTAGCCAACACAGATTTGAGATCAAACCCCAGCCATAAAAGCCTGGGGACATTCCCCACCCACTCTAAGACTCAGCTTCCTCTTCTATGAAATCAAGTTATTGAATTCACAGCAATATGATGGGTGCTAAATGAGATACATATGCAAACCACTGGGTACACAGTAGGCCTCAAAGGGGAGATTATATTGATTTGCTCATTCACAATTAATGCATTTATTTAATAAAATTCCACAACAAATAATTTAGATGCTTGGGGGAAGCATTTTTCCCACATTAAAGCTTTTAGAAGATAACTCTTTACCACACTCCTTTGGTTTCTAAGAGATTTTTTTTCCCCTAAAACACTTCAAGTTCTTTTTATTTCATGATTGGAACAGAACTCAAGAAAAAAAGAAGTGTCATTTACTGGACACTACCTCCCACTCCCTGAAATGTGCCAGAAACCCTGAAAGACAGACAAAAAACAATTGGGAGACTAAGATAACCCCTGTACTATCTAAACTTTTGGTTTGGCCAAGTGGAAGTCATCTGTGTTGGGCAACACCTTGGTTTTTACACCTGGATAACTAGCTTTTAACTATTACAACCTGGGCTGGCAGCTTCAGCAGAGCCATGTGGGATTTTCACCTTGATAGGTCAGGCAGCGTATGTTGGCTCTGTCCAAAGGCAAGTAACTATTTTTATACAATTGGATGATGCTGGGCCTCAAACAAATGACAAGTAGGCCCTGCATGTCTGGCACAGGCCCTGAAACAAGATCCAGGCTCGGCAAAAGTTTAAGCTTTGTGATGCAGGCTGCCGTCGCTTGACCTTGAGTAGCATGGGCACAGCTTATACTTAAGCAGGCATCGCTGTGGCGAGAATTAGGCTATAAAAGAAAGGACGCTGTGGTGGTTCCTCAAAAAACTTGAACAGAATTACCAATTCCATTTCTAGGCATACACTCAAAAGTGACAGCAGGGACTCAGATACTTATACACCCATCTTCATGGCAAGACTACTCATAAATGCCACAAGGTGGATAAACAAAACATGATATATATGTGCAACAGAAAATTATTCAGCCTTAAAAAGGAATAAAATTCTGATACATGCTATATAACATGGGAGAACCTTGAAGACATTATGCAAAATGAAATAAACCAAACACAAAGGGACAAATACTGTATAATCCCACTTCTATGAGGGACCTAGAATAGTCCAATTCATAGAGACAGAAAGTAGAATAGTGGTTGCCAGGGAGAATAATGGTGGCTGAGGGAAGGTGTTTAATGGGTATGGAGTTTCCCCTTGGGGTGATGAAAGGGTCCTGGAGATGGATGGAGGTGATGACTGTACAACACTGTGAATGTACTTACTGCCAGTGAACTGTACGCATACAAATGGTGAAAATGGTAAATTTTGTGTTAAGTATATTTTACCCCATATATATAGGGAAAGGGGAAGGCAAGAGCTAGACACAGCTGAAATGGTTTAAAATAACCAAACTGGGCCGGGTGCGGTGGCTCATGCCTGAAATACCAGCACTTTGGGAGGCTGAGGCAGGTGGATTACCTGAGTTCAGGAGTTCAAGACCAGCCTGACCAACATGGTGAAACCCCATCTCTACTAAAATTACAAAAATTAGCTGGGCGTGGTCATGGGCACCTGTAATCCCAGCTACTTGGGAGGCTGAGGCAAGGGAATCACTTGAACCCGGGAGGCAGAGGTTGCAGTGAGCCGAGATCACGCCACTGCACACCAGCCTGGGCAACAAGAGCGAAACTCTGTCTCAAAAAACAAAACAAAACAAAAAAGAAATAACCAAACCTTGCTGGGTAACCAACACAAAGTTACAGCTAGACAGACAGAATGAGTTCTGGTGTTCTACAGCACTACAGGGTGACTGCAGTTGACTACAATAAAGCCAGAAGGGAGGATTTTGAATGTTCACAACATAATGAAATGATAAATGTCTGAGGTGATAATACGCTAATTACCCTGAGTGGATCGTTACACATTGTATACAGTATCAAAACAGCACTCTCTATCCCATACCTAAGTACAATTATTACATGCCAACTAAAAAGGAAAAAAAAAAGAAAACAACATCTAGAAAGTCAGGTTAAACAGATATAAAAAGAGAAGTGGAGATACTTTGAGATCTCATTGTGCAGGTATTCAAAATGAAATATATCTGTGCTAAATGGAGCTTTTAAAAGACTCTAATAAAGGAAGACAGGCAAGATCTCAGCAGACTGGAATTGTTCCTCAAAAAATAGGCCAGTCATGGTGGCTCACACCTGTCATCCTAGCACTTTGGTAGACCGAGGCAGGTGGATCACTTGAGCTCAGGAGTTTGAAACCAGCCTGGGCAACATGGTGAAACCCTGTCTCCACAAAAAAATATAAAACTTAGCTGGGCATGGTGGTACATGCCTGTAGTCCCAGCTACTCAGGAGGCTGAGGAGGGAGGATCACCTGAGCTCGGGAGGCCAAGGTTGTAATAACTGTAACTGCACCACTGCATTCTAGCTTGGGCAACAGAGCAAGACCCTGTCTTAAAACAAAAGTAAAAATAAAAATAATTAAGAAACCATGATTGAGTTCTAGGAACTGTGAAGAAATACACTTAAATCCCCCATAGTAAACAATTAAGGAGCTCTACCATCAAAGACTGAGGCGGCTACACCAAGCCTTACACAAACCTGGACAGGTGAAAGGAAACCAGGAAGGTGAGTGTGGAATGCTCAGTGCATTTTTCAATGGAGATACAATTACTGCTTGTGCCCTGAGGGAATATGCTTGAGAAGTTTATGGCATTTAGGACTCAATCAAAAGAAGGCACAGCAAAGAGGAAACCATTAAAGGAGAACCAGGCAGGACAAGATAAACCGAGCCTGGGCCTGACTGGGATACTGGGCTGACAGGAGAGTATCTCTTATGTAAGATTATGCAACGCAACAAACAGAAAAAAGATTTGTTTGAACTATAGATGTTTTTAGTAGACCCAGAACTTGATTTTATCTCTTTTGCTTTGGGAGAACACACCGAAAAAAATCTAGAGAAAGATCTAAAGGGAAAATAAATATCTAGACCAAAAAGTTAAAAAAAAATTAAAGGAATGTACTAATTTAAAAAGAAAGAGAGCAACACAAAAAGCTGGTTAAATTGAACAGTGGAGAACAAGCAAGTCCTGGGGGAACAGCCGACTAACACAGAAAAAGAAGGAACTATCACCACTAGGCCCTGATGGACTCACACTTCCAAAGTGTCAACAACTGCTCACCTCAGGGCATCTGCTGAGAACACCACTCCAGTTGAAATAAGTGGACAAAAAGGAAACAAACTTCCCTAAGAAGCAGGTTTCAGAAGCCCCCGCAAGTCCACAGTGAGAGGCAATGGAAACCACCCTGTGCACAGATCTCAACGTCACTGCCCACAGACTGCAGAAGCTCTGCTCCTAACACAGCTTCCATACCACTAGCACAAAAGTGCCGGGAGATGCCAGAAACAAGGGCCCAAGGAAGAAACAGAAATCCACACATGGAAAACAGAAGGAAGGCAGGCCGAGTATGTCGGCTACCGCCAGGCAAATTTATAAACTCTGAGGGAAGGCCAGAGCATCTCAGGTGCCCCTTCCTGAGTAGAGCAGTGGTATGCACAGGTGGCTCCTCTCTAACCCCCAAAGTACCCAGATTAGCCTCCTGACTAATGGTGATCTCTCCCTGCCAAGCGTTAAGTGCAAAGGTCTGAGACTCCACAACCAGCATGAATTCAAGCGGAAACCAAGGTGAGGCTCTCTCCAACTTCCTTCCCTCTCTTTGGTAAATCGAAGTACTAGGGACGATTCTGCTTAAAATTAGTGCTTGGAGGGCTGGGAAGTGGGGGGACACGTTTTCCAATTTTTTTGGATGTGAAGTTAATAATCTGTTATTCTTGTGCGTTTCATTAAGATTGCAGATTCAAGTGAGGCTCAAATGACTTACTATTGAACCACTATAAATTCTGAAACCGTGGGGAAACCACGCACATTCTAGCAAGAACAAATCCAGCCTGTAGCTACTAAAAGTTCCCCAGCTGCACAGAGGCATGGAGAACTTCTGATTAAAATAAAAATAAAATAAAATAAAATAAAAACAAGAAATTGAAGAGGACTTCAAATTCTTTGAATGTTAACTCACAGGCCAAGATAACTGGATACACTACCATAGCCTTGAACTTTCATGTCCCGTTGGGGGTTCTAATCTCTGAATATTAAAGTTCTCCCGGAGTTTCATAATAGAAGAGGGTTTATATTCAGAAGGTTCTTTTTAAAAGTTAAGTGATTAAGGCATTTCAGCTATGTGCCAGAGACTAGTTCTAAGCTCTTTAAATAAATTGGTTGATTCAATTGCTACACCAACCCTATCCGAAAGGGCTATTATTACATATTTTACAGATAAACTGAGACACAGGGAGATTAGGTAACTTGGCTACAGTCACTCAGAACCAAGATTTTTAGCCAGGTGGTCTGGTTTGGAATTCACCCTCTTATTCACTCCCACTATGCATCTCTATGACAGGCATTTTATATGGCTGATATTTTCTACTGCCATATTTTAACACTGTTATTTAATCGCATCACAAAAGCTCTGATAAACTGTACCGGATATTGCAGTTGAAAAGAATTTGGGATGGGGAAACAGAGGAAGATGTGAACTTTCAACCCTGGTTACAGTGTGGCCTTGGGGCAGATTATTAGTGAATTTATCTAATCCATCTCAAAGCTGTCTAGGGGCAAACTCAACAGCAGACCCCAGCAGTCCGAGGAGGGTCAACAAAGAAATCAGGGGAGGGGTTGGCTCTCAGGGGAAGGAGGAACAGGTCCAAGAAGGTGAAAGCACAGGGCTGGAAATCGGCTGATCTCAGGCTTAACAGGTAATTCCAAAGGGTCAAGAGCACAGAAACCAAGGACGTCACAATGAGAGGCTTCTCTTTCCCTAAACACTACTGTCCTTTTATCCCAAGCCTTCCTCTCTCCTTGGAGGTCAAGGAATTACCTAATTGGTGGGCAACAGAGAAGCATCCTGTGCTGTAGGAAGGGGTGAGAAGGGCAGGGGCTCTTGGAGGAGTTGGTTTCTTTCCTCCTCCTCTCTACACTTTGGGAAGCATCTGTCCTTCAGACCCAAACTTCCCCTCCAGTGGGCCACCCCAAAGTCTACCCTAGGGGAGAAGGAGTTAGTAACTCCTGGCTCTCTTACCCTGGCTGATACAGGAGAATATGTCTTATCAGTAATACAAAGCCGGTTTTAGTTCTCTAACTCCAGATTCTTAAATATCCAATGATTCAGAACTTGGTCAGGAAGAGAGGTGTTATTTATTAGGTATCTCTAAGTCTTCTAACAAAAGTTTCTAAAGTACTCTAATAGAATAAATGAAGGAAGTCAAAGGAAAGTCTGTGTGTCATATCTTCATAAATAGCTTATTATAATGTTTTCCTTTTTAAGATTCATTTATCCAGTTGTCAATCATTGATTTACTACATGTTATATTGCCAGGTAATAGGAAAACAAAGATTAGGGCATAATTCTTGCTCTTAAGGGGTTAAATCTAGTACAGAAAAATTCATAAAAACAAAAGCTTTTGAGTATTATAGCTGCTACAGCAGGGATCTCTTAGGGTTTTCAGTAAGGAACTAGTCAATTCTCCTGGGAGGCAAAAAAATAAAAAGAGACAAGGTAAACATTGAGTTAAAAGAGGGACCAGGAAACTGTGTCCTCACAGTAGCCAAGAAAGCCGAGATTTTAAAGCACAAACAAGGAGGAAGACGGAGCGTGAAGACACTCCACTGAGTCTGAAACAAAAGTGAGGGGAGGGAGAACACCCCCACTCACACATCTTGGTATTCTTTCTAGAGTCTTCATGACGCGCCCCTCCTTTCTTCCAGTCACTAACCCTCCTCTACCTCCCCTCTTCCCAAGTTCCCATTCCACAGAAGCATTCTCACTTGAAACTTAAGAAAATTTTTAGAAGTTTAAGCAATTCCTTTTAAAACAAACAAACAAAAAAGCTATATTCAGAAGTAGGTAGATAAGTAAATGTACAACATCACTTAATTTCCCCTTAACATATAATCATTTTCCAGAGATTGACAGCCTATCATTTTTATGTAAAAAAGATCAAACAACTTTTATCACTCAAAGAAACTGAAAGGAGTGCTAGCTTGCCTTAGGTAGATAGCAAGGGAAGGATTTCCAGAGAGCCCCCAGTTCAAAGTTTGGTGCCTTATTCCCACATAACATAAAAAGCAGCCTGGGGGCTGGGCTTGGTGACTCACACCTGTAATCCCAGCACTTTGGGAGGCCCAGGCAGTAGGATCACCTGAGGTCAGAAGTTCGAGACCAGCCAGGCCAACGTGGTGAAACCCCATCTCTACTAAATACAAAAATTAGCTGGGTGTGGTGGTGCGTGCCTGTAATCCCAGCTACTCAGGAGGCTGAGACAGGAGAATTGCTTGAACACTGGAGGCGGAGGTTGCAGTGAGCCGAGATCGTGCCATTGCACTCCAGCCTGGGTGACAAGAGCCAAAGTCTGTCTCAAAAAAAAAAAAAAGCCTGGGGGAAAAAAAAAATCTAGCTTTCTTGCTTCACTTACTAAACTTTCACTCTAACCTCACCTTCATGTGGTGCTCCTTAATCCTCTTGGAGGTAGGACAAAAAACTCCAGGTGTTCTCTCAAACAACAAAAAACAGTTACATCTTGGTGTACTGCTAAAACTACAACAAAATGTTACTAAATACATTATGTTTACACAGGTATTTGTAGGAATTCTCAGCTATCACAATACTGTTTATTCCATTTAACTAATTATGTAAGACTATCAGGAAAATGGGACAGCTCTAAAGACCCTTAACCTTTCTCTGTTATCTCTTTTTCCATCTTCAAATCCTAGATCAGGTATTTTGTAACTTGTTAGGGAGAAATGTGCCCCTTTCCATTTCCTCATCAAACTGTGATTGAAAGGCTTTCCACGTTCTCCTCCTTACCCTGATTTTACAGCTTCCCTTCTAGATTGCCACGTTAATTGACAGGGATCAGCACCTTAGAAGGCAAGTAGCAGGTAACAACTTGAGGCACCCACCCCAGGCCAAATCTAGCAGGCACCACGCTGTAGGCAGCCCGGGACCGCAACCTTTGCCCAGCACCTGTCCCTGGCAGGCGGGCACGAGGGTTTGACACCACACGCTGAAAGCAAGGGCTGTGCCAGTTTTAAAAGGTTAGGAATTCCTGGTCTGAAATGTATTAGATATCACACAGAATATCCAGAGATAATCTCTCCTGTACACAATCCAGCAACATGTTGCCATGGCAGGGGAGAAAATCTCTCATCCACACATAAACTTAGAAAAAACACTGCAAGGAGACAACCAACTATTAATTGTGATGATCATTGCCAAGTATGACTGTGGTCTTAAGGTTTATTTCTAATGTTTCATTTCTCTGGGTTTCCCATGTTTTCTTATAATCACATTATACCTTCTGATAATCCCAAAATATCCTTAAGAGAAAATCTCTTAGACAATTCAATAATTTGATACTATGTTGAGACACACACACACACACACACACACACACACACACTCACACTCACACACAAAGACAAAACTACCTTTATTTGGCAGAACTCTGTGTCAGGGTTTTCCTCTAACTTTAAAACCAAGTTTCAGCCGGACACAGTGGCTCATGCCTGTAATCCCGGCACTTTGAGAGGCTGAGGCGGGCGGATCACGAGGTCAGGAGATCAAGACCATCCTGGCTAACATGGTGAAACCCCGTCTCTACTAAAAATACAAAAAATTATCTGGGCGTGCTTGCGGGCGCCTGTGGTCCCAGCTACTCGGGAGGCTGAGGCAGGAGAATGGCGTGAACCTGGGAGGCGGAGCTTGCAGTGAGCCGAGATTGCGCCACTGCACTCCAGCCTGGGCGACAGAGTGAGACTCTTGTCTCAAAAAAAAAAAAAAAGTTTCCCACATTGTCTTATAATCACATTTTTAACAACAACATTATTTACAATGATTCCAATAATAATAATTTAAGTTCTTTTCAATCTTTCAGACAAAGTATATGGCTAATGATCCTAAATGCCAGATTCTGAGACAATGCCAATTTCAAATATTCTGTTTTGCCCAAATAAGTCACTGAAACACTCCCCAAATCTCAATGGCTTGAATCCAATACATTACTGGAGAAAACATTTAAATAATAAAATTTCTTGCCTTCTCATGAGCCTAACACAACATAAACCTCGCCATATATTTAGTTACAATCGCAGTCTAATTTTAATACTTGTCACACATTCCCAAATAGGTATCATAATTATAATTCAAAGAACTACTTAATATTCTACTATGTTAATATACGTAAATTTATCAAATTCTTTTTCTACTGTTGGGACTTTAAGTTGCATCTTCTTTTTAGCCATAATAAAAATGCTTCAGAGAACACTGTATTTGCATTTATCTTTTCTGGATCATGGATTACTAAAGCAATAGATATGAAAATCAATATAGCATTTACTAAATTTGGGAAAAATTTAAAGCATACTGAGCTGGCACTGCCAAGGACCAAAATGTGCCCTTATTACAAAAATTACAAAAAGTTAATAATCATTCACTGGCTCTACTCTCAACCTTCACCAAGTAACTTAAACTCTAAGTCCATTCTATAATTTCTAAAATAAGAATAATACCACCTGCCCCGGTAGTAAATCTGCTGAAGGTCAAACTGGTTGATGTGGTGAAAAGGTGAAGTTATACAAATCTTAGATGTTATGACTAGTAGATATGCTATTTGGGGATCTCAACTCAGATGCCCATTGACTCATTTATCTATTAAAAACTCTGGGAGTCCTCAATGCACTAAACACGAAATTGATAGAGATTATAATAATGAAAAAGCAGGCCCTGTCCCTCCTGCAGAGCTTCATGGAAGAGCAGGAGAGAGACATCCAAGACTCTAAGCATTAAGGCAGGGTGTGGACCAAGCGGCATGCAGACCTCGAGCACAGGCTGCCTGGGAACCTGGAGAGGTGCCAGAGAGGCGATATCTGAACTGGGTCTTGAAGGATGGAATTAGAAGAATAATTAGAATGGGATAAAAGCTTATGAGGCTAAGAGAGCTTGTGGAAAAGGGATGGCATGTTCCGGGAATGATGAAAGGTCTGTGAGGCCAGAGTTCAGAAAAGAGGGGTAGAAGCTCTGAGCCTGGAGGGAGAAGCTGGTCCCAGGTTATCAAGGACCTTGTATGCCAAGCAAAGGAGCTTGGACTTTATCCTGTAAACAAGAGAGGGCTCAGCTAATCCAGTGGCCAGGGAATTAACAAACAGTTTTGTGTAACATGACATCACCAGCAGCAGAGTGACATGTGAACTGGAGCAGAAAGAGAATGACTGGAAGAAAACCAAGTGACAAACAACAAGAAGAATGCAACAAAAGGAGGAGAGCCTCAGCCTGTCATTCAGACCCACCACGACAGTGACTTTCATCACTAGGAATTCTCTCTGCATGAAGGTCAAAACAATAAAAAAGAAGGACCAAATGACAAGGTTTAAAAAAGCAATCTTAACTCCATGTTTTCCTATTATCTTGGTCCACATGGTCAACCATTAAAAAATGCCTCAAACTAGGTAGTTTATAAACAACAGAAATTTATTGCTCACAGTTCTGGGAAGTCCAGGATCAAGGTACCAAGAGATTCTAGTGAGGGCTGGTTCCTCCTAGATGGCACCTGCTATGTGCCATCTATGTCCTCAAATGGCAGAAGGGGCATACAAGCTCCCTTGGGCCTTTTTTTTTTTTTTTTTTTTTTTTTTTGAGACGGAGTTTTGCTCGTCTCCCAGGCTGGAGTGCAATAAGATGATCTCAGCTGACTGCAACCTCCGCCTCCCGGGTTCAAGCAATTCTCCTGCCTCACCCTCCCCAGTAGCTAGGATTACAGGCATGCATCACCACACACAGCTAATTTTTGTATTTTTAGTAGAGACGGGGTTTCACCATGTTGGCCAGACTGGTCTTGAACTCCTGACCTCAGGTAATCTGCCCACCTCGGCCTCCCAAAGTGCTGGGATTACAGGTGTGAGCCACCGCATCTGGCTGGGCCTCTTTTATTAAAGGTACCAATCCTATTCATGAAGGCCCCTCCTCATGACCTGGTCACCTCGCAAGGGCCCCACCTCTTAATACTATTGCATTGAGGATTCAACTCAGCATATGAATTGGGAGGAATAAGAAAAACTGAATGCATATCTTTGTGTGCAGTGTTGTAATAAATGTGAAGAGAAATACCACACGTGGTTCGTGTATATCACAACGCTGCACACAAAATCACACATCCAGGCCAGGCGTGGTGGTTTACACCTGTAATCCCAGCACTTTGAAAAGCCGAGGTGGGTGGATCAATGAGTCCAAGAGTTTGAGACCAGGCAGGGCAACATGGCAAAATCTTGTCTCTACAAAAAATACAAAAATTAGCTGGGCGTGGTAGCATGCACCTGTGATCTCACCTACTCGGGAGGCTGAGGCAGGAGGACGGGTCGAGCTCAGGAGGCTGAAGTCGCAGTGAGCTGAGACAGTAGCACTGTACTCCAGCCTAGGTGACAGAGCGAGACCCTGTCTCAAAAAAAAAAAAAAAAAAAAAAAAAAAAAGGGTACATATCCGTTTTCTCACTGCTTTCCTTTCTCATGATTGAATTTTGCTAAGTTTGCAGCAGCAAAAGATCAGTTACCTTCTGAGATTATTCTGGCAACCCAAATTTCAAGTTTTGCAACAGATAACTCATAACGATCTTTTAAATGCCATTTGAATTATGTGTCCTCAACATACTACATCAAGCACATCTCCCATTTTACAATCCATGCTCCACAGTTTTATAAAATATTCCTGCTGTTTTTCCTTCTCTGATCAGCATTTCACAGATGGATGAGTCAAGCAGTACCTGCAAATTTTGGAACCTTCACCTTCCAGACTATTTATGTTCAGGGATCCTTGGGTACATGCCTTTCTACCCTCTGCCTATGCTGAAGCCAGATAATTTTTTAAATATTCAATGAATTATACTAAAATCCATATTTAGACCCATATGTAAGGCAGACCCAAACATATAATCAGCCTGTACTTTTTACCCACTCACATATAAAAATCTAAAAATTAGATGGCCCTATTGTTTCAGTGAAAATACTTTTAAATTACTACTATCATCTTAGTCTCAGTTTTCTTTTTCATAATGATTCAACTGACGTACATAAAACAACAGTATTTCTTCTCTCAATTTCAAATTTTATTCCTAAACCAAACAGAGTTATTTTCTCTTCACATGGCACTAAGGGAACAAGTTAAAGAAAAGCTGATGACATATTTCTGTCTAAACCTTCTTGCTTAGCTTTCTATCAGATATACTTTCTAGCTCTATACTGGAGAAGAGGCAATTATGCCTTTGGTACCTTCCACACCCTCTTATCCTCTTTGAAGTCTGACCTCCTCAATCCACTAACTCCCCAACCCTGGACAATGGGCTCTTGACAACAGGCAGAGAGTAAAAAACATAAAACCCGTAGAATATCAAAATAAAGACATTCCTTTCTAAGAACAGTTGACAACTTTATAGCCACTTAAAATACAAGAAATAACTCACATAATGTATGCAATTTAGATGCAGAAATATTATAGTCAAGATTTTTTTCTTCTAGAGGAATGCCACAATTATTTCTTAGGTTTAAATTTTTTAAGTTTTTGTTTTTAGGTATAGCAAGCCTTAAAAAATACTTTAGGCTGGGTGCGGTGGCTCATGCCTGTAATTCCAGCACTTTAGGAGGCCGAGGTGGGCGGATCACGAGGTCAGGAGTTTGAGACCAGCCTGATCAACATGGTGAAACCCTGTCTCTACTAAAAATACAAAAATTAGCTGGGCTTGGTGGTGCATGCCTGTAGTCCCAGCTACTCAGGAGGCTGAGGCAGCAGAATTGCTTGAACCCAGGAGGCGGAGGTTGCAGTGAGCTGAGATCGCACCACTGCACTCTAGCCTAGGCAATAGAGCAAGACTCTGCCTCAAAAAAAAAAAAAATTTAAAATTTATTTTCTTAAATCACAGTAAAAGTGAAAGAAATTAAAATAACTGACTTTTAAGAGGTTTTTTTTTTTTGATATTCAGATTTTTAAATACTGGTTTCTAAGAAAAGACCAGCCAAAAAAATTAAGTTTCATCTACAAACTCTGAAGTATTTTATACCGTAACACCACAAGAGTAGGGACACTGTGTGTGTTCATTGCCCTATCATTTACTGGAACACTCAATAAATAATGTTCAATAACTATTTTTGACTAATGGGAGAGAACTATGGGCAAAAGGAGCAGCCTTAGAAAGTGACTTAACTAAACTCACAGATCCTTGGATAAATGAAAAATGAAGGAGAGAATCTAGAGCCAGGAATGGGGCCACAGATGAGAGGTCAACAAGGATACCAAGACAATTCAATGTACAAAGAACTGTCTTTTCAACAAATGGTACTGGAACTACCAGACATCTACATGCAAAAGAATGAAAATGAATCCCTTCCTCACACCATATGCTAAAACTTAAAGTGAGGATGGGTCATAAACCTAAATGTAAACTATAAAACTTTAGAAGAAAACATAGGAGTAAAGCTTCACAACATTAGGCCTTTTTAGATATAATATTAAAATCATAAAGTGAAAAAAGAAAAACAGAAAAACTTGACTTCATCAAAATTTAAATCTTTTGTACTTCAAAGGGCATCATCAAGAAAATGAAAAGACAACCTATAGAAAGGGAGAAAATATTTGCAAACCATGTACCTGATAAAGGTCCAATGTCCAGAATTTAATACATTTACTACTCAACAATAAAAAGACAAACACAATTTTAAAATGTGCAAAGGATATGAACAACCACTTCCCCAAAGACGATATACAAATGGCCACTGAGCACATGAAAAGATGCTCCATGTCATTAGTCATTACAAAAATGCAAATCAAAACCACATGAGATACCACTTCATGCTCAGTAAGATGGCTATTTAAAAAACAAACAAAAATGGAAGACAAGTGTTGGCAAAGTTGTAGAAGACTGGAATCCTCATTGCTAGTGGGATTGTAAAATGATGCAACCACTTTAGAAAACAGTTTTACAGTTCCTCAAAATGTTAAACATGGAATTACCATATGACCCAGCAAAATTCCACTCCTAAATATACACCTAAGAGAAAAGATATGAAAGATATGTCCACCCAAACTTACACAAGAATGTCATTCATAATAGCCAGAGTAGAAACAACGCAAATGTCCACCAATTGATGAATGGTTATGCAAAATGTGGCATATCCTACAATGTGTATTATTTGCAATAAAAAGGAATGAAATACATGGATGAAACTGAAAACATGCTAAGGGAAAGATGCCAATCACAAAAGACCATACATTTCATTTATATAAGATGTTCAAAATAGACAAATCTTTAGAGACAGAAAGTAAGAGACTGAGGCAATGAAAATGTTCTAAAATTAGACAGTGATCGTGAGGGCTGCACAACTTTGGATATACTAAAACCCACTGAATGGTACACTTTAAGTGGGCAGATTTTGTGGTATGTGAATTATATTTCATAACACTGTTTACAAAATACATTTTAAAAATACAAAAAAGAAAAGAAACAGAGTTTGGGTATCTTCTGAAGCAGAAACAAAGACCAAGAAAAGCCAAGGCACTGCCAAGGTAGGCTACAGTGCAGGGAGAGACAGAGACGTGGCCTGTGAGGACAGCCCCAGAGCTACCTCAGGCCAAAACTCCACTCAACCACTGCTTCCCAGGTGAGGTGCAGGGAGTACAACGGGAAGCTCAATCAGATGGTCCCTGTTCTCATGGAGCTTCCATTCCATGGGTGATGAAAAGAATAGTGAAGCAATTACATCATGTGGGCATGTGATTATTTAATGGATATAAGTATGGGAGCGGAAGTCTAGATAAATATGGGAGCAGAAATTAGGATGGGGAGAGACGCAAAAGTCCCTGAAGAGCTCAAGTGTGAGTTGAAAAAGGAAGGATGAAATAAGGGTTAATTTGGAGAAAATTGGAGGTGGAGGTTGAGAACATTGCAGACACAAGGGACCTGTGGCAGGAGGGAAAACGGCATTGCACAAGTGAGCGGGGGAAGGCTCTTGTGGCCATGAACTAGAGACCAAGAACAGGTGGTGAGCACTGGGGCTGAAGAGAGACAGCAGCCACACCACGCAGGTCTTACAGCCATAAGCGGGATTTGGTTTAAATTCTAAGACCTATGGGAATGCACTGAAGGGTTTCAAGCAGGGGACTAATGGGGTCCAACTTGAATTTTTTGGAAAGAGGTAGGAAGGGACTAAAGTAGATCCTGGCAGTTAATGGGATACTATCAGTTGGCCATCAGAGAGATGAGGATGTCCTGGGTGTGGTAAAGGGCAGTGGGCATCATGAGAAGTACGCAGGATCTGCCAGGCCAGGGGGATGAGAGAATGGGTACGCTGTTCTAGCTCTCTAGGAGGCCTGCAGAGTCAGTTTCCTCTCTCCCTTCATTCCACTTATCCTTACATTAACCCCCAATAACTAAGGTATTCTGAATACCTGTCTCTATTCCAATATTTAGATCTCCACTGATGAGGCATCTGGCCCTCCAAAAATGCAAGCCACAGCACATCAGTATCAGTCTCCTGCTTAAAACCTTTCAACACATGCCCCCTGGTTTTAGGATTTAAACCAAATATAAATTTGCAAATTAAAAGAAGTCTTCCTTAAAATTCTGCAAGGAGGGGCTTTTCCATTTTATAAAAATAAAAATATGATTTAAGATCCCTAAGAATTATGTACTTGGTGATAAAGATTCCAGATATAATCCTAGAGGTAAATTAATTTGGTTCTTCTCCCCAACTGGAATGTAGGCTCTACGCAGATACAAACTCTAGACCAAGGCCTGGCACAAAGCAGAGGCTCAGGAAAACCGCTGAATGAATGAAAGCCCCAGGTACTAATGGTACTGACTACAAATTCTAAGCAATGTTCTTTATTTACCAATCAGAAAGAAGAGGTAAGTTTCATAATATATTGGTTCAAGAGCTTTTCTCAATTATAAAATTATCCAGTTACAAGGAAATATGGATAATCAAAGGGAAAAAGTAGCCAACCCTATAAAATGATTCATGAAATGTATATTAAAAGAATTTAAACTTATCATTATACATCTACTATAACATCAGAAATAGTTCTTCCCACCAAGCCCCATCCGGGCAGGGCTAAAAGCAGGACATCCTTAGGGGCCTGTTATTACTTGTGACCATGGGGGCTGCCTCCCTGAAAAGCAAGCTGGTAAGATTTAACAAGCTCTACAAAATCGTTCACAGTCTTTAACTAAAGAATCTCTCCTCTTTATGAAACATGCCCCAAGGAAACAGAGGATTCAGAAGGAAAATTAAAGAAACTTATAAAATAGGTATATGGCCTAACGGTAATAACAGTGAAAAACAGGAAACATTTCAAAAGACCAACAATAAGATTAAGCAAACTCTGGAATATCAACACTGTGAACTCCACAGCCATTAAAAAGAAGTTAGGTGGAATCCACTGATATTTTATATATGTATATTACTTCTATATAATTTTTTCAAAAAGCAGAAAATAGTAAAATAACCAATTCTGAGAAGGTTACAAAGTTTGGTGGCCACCAGCATTCAAAGTAAATCTATTAAAATGACCTGCATTTGAGACAGCTGAATGCTCTGGACCTTTGGAAGCAGAAAATAAGCATTTGGTAGCTGCTTTGCAGACCCTTCTGTAGAGATTCTACGAGTGCCAATTCCAGATACCTGCGGAAAAAGAGAGAGAATTGCTCCTCTGTTAAGAGTTTTAAAACACATTTGCCATAATGCTAAAGCACGTCTCCAAAGGAAATCTGTATTCATCAGCATGGCCTTCAAGACTCTACTAATCCAATTATTTTATTTATCTTTGTCTACAAAAAACACAATGAATGTTTCAGAAATGCAGAATGCTGGCTGAGCACGGTGGCTCACGCCTGTAATCCCAACACTTTGGGAGGCCCAGGGAGGTGGATCATTTGAGGACAGGAGTTTGAGACCAGCCTGGCCAACATGGTGAAAGCCTGTTTCTGCTAAAAATACAAAAATTAGCCAGGCAGTGGTGGGAGGCTGAGGCAGGAGAATCGCTTGTGCCTGGGAGGTGGCTGCAGTCAGCCTGATCACACCACTGCACTCCAGCCTGGGCAACAAAGTGAGACCCTGCCTCAAAAACTAAAAAATAAAAAATGAAACAGATTAGAATGCTGTATTTAAGCTGAATGTTCCTCACTGTAGCAAATCTGTTCACAAGTAGGCAACTCTTCTGATATGGGACCTCTTTAATGGAATCCAGTAAGAAATAACCACAAAAATTACTGATCTTGGAACTTAAATTACTTGATGCCAGATCTTGTTAAATGCCATATCAGGTACCATTTAAGGTAAAGATTCCTATTTCTGAGAATAGCAACAAGATTCTTCAAGCTCCCTTCCTGGTACCTTGATATGAATAGTGAGCTCCCTTGGAACCAGCCTCCAAGCACACAATCAATGTCTCCTAATTAGAAATATTCCTGAGCCAAAGAGGGAAGGTAGGCAAAATCACTAGAGACTGTCCTTAGAGCACCTCCTTCTGAACGCCCGTGAGGTGAGAGCCATGAGTTTTGAAAGCCTTCTGTATTTTATGATGGGAAACTGTGTGACAGATTGCTTTGCTTTGTTCTAGTATCCTCCAAAGACCCACAGTAGGACTATAGCTCCGTCATCAGTAGGAAAGCCAGCCAACTGTGGCATGTCAGGCAGAAAAGGGTGAATGCTGATGATTTTAACATCACTAACAGTCTTGTATTTTAACGACATAAACCAGGTGACAACATTTCCAAAAGTCTTTTTAAAAATATACACACACACCCCTACAGTTAAGTCACCAACCAAAGTTGTGACAAAAGGAAAAAGTTACTCACATGATAGGAAAGGACTCCATACGAAGAGGTATTAATAAATAAGGAACTTTCAATGCTTCCTTCTTCAGTAGGTAAGAAAATAATTCTGAAGGAAGTTTTCCCCATTGCTGGAATTACCTGAAAGAAAGGTCCCCAGTCAGCCACTTGGAATGGCCTCCTTTGATAAACTGTCTTTCACAGACTTTCTTTTTTTGACAATTTCTGTTAACAGACATTTGTATATTGTGCACCCTTATCAGTATTATGAATCCCTAAGAATCCCCAAACTGATCAGCATCCAATTATCTGCTCTTAGATATAGCAAATATTACCACTAACTTAGGATGAATCCTTTCGCTTCAGACTGGAGCTGTGAGTCTCACATCTTTCCTTCCCCTCCTCTTCCACCTCCACAGGTCCAACTGTCTTTAGCTAACACAGTTCTATCTCTACTTAAATATAGACAATAACCAACGTGCAAACATGTTGATATGTAATAAAAATCAGGAACAACGTTTACCCAGACAGACTGTCATAAACCAAATATTGGGCTTCCCCTTACAACATATCCTTAGTCCTAGTTTTTTTTTTAAGTACATAATATCAGGCAGACATAGTAAGCAAAATAAATAAAAGCCTACTAGCAATTAGGATCTTCACTAAATGTTAAAGACCACTGAAATTAAAACTATTAGAAGACTAAGTTTGAGCTCTGTGTTATGGTGCCAATCAGCTTTACAAGGAGCCATTCACTATACCTTGCAGTTCTGGATTTAGAAAGGAGACCTAACTTTCCTAGTAGGCTTGAGAGATGGAAGAGGTCTCAACCATAAACTTGTATTAGTTACTAAATGCCTCAGAATTTGGAGTCATTTCAAGACAAGTAATATAAACTTTCCTTAGTCACAATAGAGCCATGTTAAATATACATACATTACTACACAGCTGAGAGCCTTCAAACTCTCCCCCAACCCCCCACCTCCCCCCGGCCCCAGTAGATATCAAGAGCCACCAAAATTATAAAAATGAGCAACTGGAAAAGTAAATGCTAAGGTAAACACACAGAAGGAAAAGGTTTGGGTACCAGAAAAAGCGGGAGACAGGGAGCAGAAAGTAAAAACTTCAGGCCAAAGAAAGCAAGAAAACCTGGCTGCCTGCCACGGCATAGTTTCCAGGAGTCCATCAACACCCACCCTGCAGGGAACTGGCGGTACATGGAAATGTCCAGCAGCTGCAAACACTGAATTCACCACAACCTCGCTGTCCCTACTAGGGTTGTAAGCATGGAGAATCTTTGCTACAGGATGTCCCAGGAACCTAGGAGGAGAAACAAAGAGAAAAATCAATGTATTGTGTGGTTATAAATATTACCATACATATATATGTATTATTATATATATACACACAGATTTTTAAACCCAGAAAGCTGTTGCTGTTCATCACAAAGTTAAATTATCCAATCGTGTTGGTAATAAAGCATTCAATTCACAACAGTCAAAAGTCATAAAACAAAAAACAACTTTATTTTATAAGGCTTAGGCCAACCCACAGTAGCACTCCATTGGTTTCAGTGTTAGAAAAATTTAACCCATCTAGGCCATTAAAATGCTTGCAAAAAAACAAAACAAAACACATGTAGGCACTCACTGGCACTTCTCGGACCTGGGTCTCTAATTCAATGAAAATATGTTGAATAATTCAATGAAAGTATGAATGAAAATTCACTGAAATATTCATTCGAAAATATTGAAACAAACGAAAATATGTTTAGGTAAGAAACTGTACTCACAGAAAAACCCAATTTTTCTTAGGGTTATGTTTTCTGAGTAAAAGAGACTTTTTGGGGAGGTATGTATTTTCAGCTCACAAAGAGATGTTATTTTATTAGGTCTTAGAAAAGGAAAACTTAATTATGGCTAAAGGCTATTCTTTTGAGAAAACTGAAAATCCGGCAGCACTTTGCAGCAGAGGTTCTCATCCATTTAAATTATGAGCCTTTCCAAAAACTCTGATGAAAGCTCTGGCTCTTCCCTCCACAAACATACACTTACGAAAAGTTTCATACACAGCTTCAAAACCTTCCACAAACCTCAGAGTAAGAATCCCTGCTCCGTGGCAAATACACTAATTCATGAAGGGTTTGATACCCATTCTTTTCAGCAGCACTCTCCACCTCCAATGTCTCGGCTCTGATAAAGGAATTGCCAAGAGGAAAGGAGCTGGGCTCAGGCCCACCTACCTGGAGCCACCTACAATGCTCCCTCTAATCACTTAACTCTGATTCCTACTGCTCAAGACCAAATTCAGTCTTGTTCAATTATGTTGCAATGAACAGGGAGCCAGCAAAAATTTCACTAAAGTCATTTCTTCAGTTTTAATAGCCTCAGTGGCAGAGAGAGCCAAATATACAGCTGTCATTCGGATGGCCTAGAAATAAAATTATATTCTAATTTAAGCTGAATGAATTATATCTATAATTGGAATAAAATTGGAAAAATATCAGCATAATGAATGAATTCCGTAAAATTAGGTAAAATCTTTGATATTAAAAATGTATCCTTTAGGAAACATGAAATGGATGTTGCTTCTCTTATATACAATGAGATTTCCAAAATACTGTATTACTACCATCAAATCCTTGGAATTTTTCTTTTGGCTTTCACCCTTCCTTTTAATCACTAGTCTTAACGAAAGGTTTAATATATCCAATGTGTATTTCAAAACGTAGTTCTTCACATCCCATTACAAATAAAATACCAACATCAATGTGATTAAAATCCTGATTTTTCAAAGTGTTCTTAAGTAATACCATTTTTTTAAAAAATGTTCAACACTACCATACACATAAAGGGTCACTTCAGAAAAGCCTTACCTCAGAGCAGTGGGCTTGTATCTGCCTTTCTTCCCACAATTAAAATTAAATAAATAAGGACTTCTGAGGTTTTGGGTTTCAAGTAAATAATATCAATCATCAAAGTTATTAATACTTATCCTCAAAGCTTTATATCCCATGTACATAATTGAAATACAAGGTTTCTAAGAATACAAATGTCTATCAGAGAAATACATGAGAAAATAAGAATGCAAAACAGCAATGCTACAGAGCCAGTGACTGCACCACCAGAAATCTCTCCAGACCTAACAGAGAATGCCAGCTGAAGCCTAGTCACCACTGCTATTTTTATTCTATTTTTTAGATTCTATTTTTAAAAGTGTTATGAGGATATAAATTTCCTTCACTAGTGACAACTGGAAGATACTCTGTTAATTTAACACTACAAAAGAATGATTAAAATCTCTATGAATGATTAGCACTTTTTATCTCAGGACCAACAGAATATTAACCCTTCACATAAGCCCTAAGAAGTAGGCAGAAGGCAACCGAGTAACAAGATCCCGATTTTACAACCCCCCAGGAAAATCAAAGCTATGAAGAGGGTTGGGATTTGCTCGAGGCCAACATCAAAATAAACCATAGCAAAAGCTGAACTGGGACAGCGAAGAAATCAGGAGGAGAACCCTCAGGCTAAAGTTTTACTCTAATGTCTATATATTAGACCATTTGTCAGACATAAGGTAAAACTCAACTAATCTTAAATGTGTTCTAATTTAGGCTAAAGTTTGTTCTGAGGTTTTTTTTTTTTTTAACTTCAGCAAAATGACTAATTCTCATAATCATATTCCAGATCTCACTAACAAGAAAAATAGCATTATGAGTGCTCTTAGAAATCAGAAGATTTATTCTACCACTTGTAGTGAAATGACCTTGAGCAAATGGCATTCCTTCTCAGCAACAAATGTATGAACACATTTGTAGTACATGCTCAAACAAAGAGATATTTGAAAACGATACACACAGACTCAGATAATGCCTGTCTTCACTGGACTGATATAAAACTCAAATGACAACGGACATGATTACACTTTGGGAACCATAAAGTATTATATAAACGTAACTAAGTCCTCCAAAGGTGATTCCATCTAAAAATCAGAAATCCTTTCAAATCAAAGACTTTCAGCATTCTCTCAGCATGCGACTATTAGGACCAGAGATTAATGTATATTGCTAATTAACAAAAGTGTATCATATACAGTTGGCTCTCCATATCTGCAGATTCAACCAACCTTGATTGAAAGTGTTTGAGGGAAAAAAAAAAACACAAAAAATAACAACACAAGAAAAAAGAGATACAGTATAACTATTTACATAGTATTTACACTATATTAGTCATTATAAGTAAACTAGAGTTTTTTTTGTTTTTGTTTTTTTGAGACAAGGTCTCACTCTGTCATCTAGGCTGGAGTGCAGTGGCATGATCATAGCTCACAGTAACCTTGAACTCCTGGACTCAAGTGATCCTCCTGCCTCAGCCTCATGAGTAGCTGGAAGTACAGGTGTGCACCACCATGCTTAGCTAATTTTTAAAAAAAATTTTATGGAGACAGGGTCTCACAGTGTTGCGCAGGCTGGTCTTGAACTCTTGGCCTCAAGTGATCCTCCTGCCTCAGTCTCCCAAAGTGCTGGGATTACAGGCATAAACCACCGTGCCCGGCCTCTAGAGATAATCTAAAGTATATGGGAGGTTGTGTGTAAATACTATGCCAAGGACTTGAGCATCCTTAGCTTTTGGTATCCATGGGGGTCCTGGATCCAATCCCATGTGGATAACGAGGGACAACTGTAAACATACCCCCATGTGCATCGACTATAGGATTTTTTTACGTTACTGAAGAGTAAATATTTTAGACAGCCAGGAACCTATGAACTGGAATTATTATCCTAATAGCTATACTTACTACTACTATTATTCTATCTACCAATCTATAACATATATTCTTTAAAGTAGGTCCTGAATCAAAATTTCTTTTCACAATAAAGACTCTTTTTTTTGAGACAGAGTCTCCCTCTGTCGCCCAGGCTAGAACTCGGTGGCATGATGATCTTGGCTCACTGCAACCTCTGCCTCTCAGGCTCAAGCAACTCTTGTGCCTCAACCTCCCAAGTAACTGGGATTACAGATGCTCACCACCATGTCCGGCTAATTTTTGTATTTTTATTAGAGTCACGGGTTTTGCCATGTTGGCCACGCTGGTCTCGAACTCCTGAGCTCAAGTGATCCGCCCAGCCCGGGCTCCCAGAGTGCTGGGATTACAGGTGTGAGCCACCGCGCTCAGCCTCACAATAAAGATTTTTCACAAAATTATAGCACCCTCTCAGAATGTAAAATCAATGAGGTTATGATAAATTCAGCTTATTTATATTATCAACTAAACTACTAAGCATTCAGCTTCTATTAAACTTTCTTTACATAAGAGTAAAAATATAAAAACTCAAAAAAACAGACACCTAGAATTTTATAAAGTCGGCAAACTCCCAGTTTTCTCTTCTTCCCTTTATAGAATCTTTTTCTAAAAAGCTCAACATGGTCCTTTTAAATTCCAAGTTCAGGCTGGGTGCGGTGGCTCATGCCTGTAATCCCAGCACTCTGAGAGGCCAAGGAGGGCGTATCACTTGAGGTCAGGAGTTTGAGACTAGCCTGGCCAACATGGCAAAACACTGTCTCTACTAAAAATACAAAAATTACAGGCGTGGTGGCGGGCACCCATAGTCCCACCTATTCAGGAGGCTGAGGCAGGAGAATCGTTTGAACCCAACAGGCGGAGGCTGCAGTGAGCCGACACTGTGCCCCTGCACTCCAGCCTAAGTGACAGTGCAAGACTCCGTCTCAAAAAAAAAAAAAAAATTCCAAGTTCATTCTCCTTCACTGCAGCTCTAACATTTTGATGATTAGAAGGGAATGTAAAGCAATCCAGATGCATAAAGGAGGGCACACCAGGAGCCCACCCTAACCCAGCCCAGATGCTCTCCTACGGCCATGGTTATTTCATTCACAAAACTTTGCTTGTCACTCAAAAGGCTCTCCATGAAATTGAAGTGTTATTTGCCAGCCCCGGAAACAAGCAGTGCTTTTACCTCTCGCTCTTGAAACTACTAATTAGAAGTTCTTTTCAATGCGCTATATTCTGCATCCAGGAAGCTTAACACTTGAAGATCCAAACTTTATCACGGACAACAAGAGTCCTTATGTTGCTTTCATCTCCACAGCGTCACCCTTCCTTAATTTTTCCAGGTTCCCAAGTTAGGCCCTCAACTGACACTCATATCACACTGTCTTCATCTTGCGGTTCTTTACATGATACTGTAAAGTCATTACAGTTTATGCACTGCCTTCCCCATCTTGAGTCTCCAAAGTCTTAATCCTAACAACTGTAAGCATGGTGCAATTTTGAATCCAGAAGGCACAGCAAGAAGTAAAACCAAGTGAGCAAATGAATCTAGTGTACAAAAATTCAGAGACCATCAATATTTAGTTTTTCATTATAAAATAACCGGATTTGTTTTGGAAAAACAACATTGACTTATTAAATTTCAATCACTACAAAATATTAAAAGGTATACTTATTAAAAATTAAAGAAGGCCAGGAGTGGTGGCTCGCGCCTGTAATCCCAGCACTTTGGGAGGCCGAGGCGGGCGGATCACGAAGTCAGGAGATCAAGACCATCCTGGCGAACACGGTGAAACCCCGTCTCTACTAAAAACACAAAAAATTAGCCGGGCGTGGTGGCGGGTGCCTGTAGTCCCAGCTACTCGGGAGGCTGAGGTAGGAGAATGGCGTAAACCCGGGAGGCAGAGCTTGCAGTGAGCAGAGATCACGCCACTGCACTCCAGCCTGGTGGACAGAGCAGGAGTCTGTCTCAAAAAAAGAAAAAATTAAAGAAAGGGCTGAAACAATTCTTGTACTCTCCTTTTCACAAAAATATTTCTCTTAAGTCCCAGGATCAATATCCCTTCATATTATCAATATACCTAAAATTTAACATTGTACATATATGTAAAAAAAATTCTGAAAATAAATAGTATAAATAAAATGAGTTTTAATTATAAAGAAAAGATACTTACTGTATTCCAAAATCTAAAACTGATGGCTGAAAATGTAAGCCTTTTCCACTAAATAGTTTGTCCGAGAAGCTAAAAAAAGAAAAGAGAGGTTGATTTTGTTGTAGTTTTAACATTTAAATGCTGAGATATAACGTACTTAGACTAATGACTCTCAATGCATGACATATAATTTTACTCCCTCATAGATTTTAAATGATAAAATTGAACTATTAGAAGTCTGGTATAATTCTAGAGTTGTAAACTTAAGATAATTTAAGATTACGGTTAGTAGAACTTCATATCAAATGTACAGATTTTTTAAGCATTCAGACAGAAATAGAGATGGATTTAATTTGTAATAGCCTTCATTTCTGGGTGAATTTGGATGACATGGCTATTTTCATAAACCCTAAATCAGGAAATGATATACAAGTAAAGTTGGCCTGGGGGACTGTGGCCTCTGACTTTGTTAAGACTTCTTATAACAAGGCAAGGACAGTGTCGCATAGCTGGTGAGGCTACAACCATCACAAGCCTGCATAAGAATAACAATCATACACAATCTCACATGGCAGGTCACATTTCAGTTATTAATCATCACTATGATTTCATTTTCCTTCATAGTCAAAAGGCACAAATCAATATAGCAGAAAAACATATCAAAACATATTTTTAAAAACATGTAAAAGAAAACCATAATAAAGATACATGACATATAAACATACTTAAAAACATAAAATACAAAATACACATATGAGTATGAAAAACCATCAACTTCCATATGACATTTTAAAAGCTCTATTAATCTAAAGAGGTTTAACTGAAGAAGCTCCTAAAGGTAATACGAACAACTGTTTTCAAAGACTGGAACAAGCTTTCCAAAATAGAATCTTTTTGGCTGAAGATGGTGGCTCATGCTTGTAATTCCAGCACTTTGAGAGGCCAAGGCAGGCAGATCACTTGAGCCCAGGAGTTTGAGAGCAGCCTGGGCAACACAGTGAGACCCTATCTCTACTAAAAAATTTTAAAAATTAGCCAGGCATGGTGGCATGCGCCTGTAATCCCAGCTACTCTGGAGGCTGAGGCAGGAGGATTGCTTGAGCCCAGGAGTTTGAGCTTGCAGTAAGCTATGATAGCATCACTGCACTCCAGACTGGGCGACAGAGCAAGACCATTTTTGAGACCTGACTCAAAAATAAATAAGTAAATAGAATCTTTCCATTTTCTCCTCCCACCGAGCAGCCATCAACCAAGCTGGTTCAAAGGCTGGTCCAGGAATGGAAATTTGACTTTTAAACCTGCTGGCCAACAGGCTTTGTGACCTTTCAGCAACTCCCTCTCCAAGGCCCCATTTTTCTTGAAGGTACAAACAATGCAGAGACCCGAGAACCCTTCCAAAGTCCTTGTCTCACAGGAAGAATCTAGTTGCAATCTTTTCTTCCTCCCTCCACTTTCTGCCTTTACCTAAGCTTCTCTTTCTCTATCCTCTCTCCATTATAGTCTGTTTGTACCTCCTTTATTCTATCTCCAGCACCAGCTGTATTAATAATAAAGTGATGCCGCCGGACGCAGTGGCTCACGCCTGTAATCCCAGCACTTTGGGAGGCTGAGGCGGACAGATCACAAGGTCAGGAGATCAAGGCTATCCTGGCTAACACAGTGAAACCCCGTCTCTACTAAAAATACAAAAATTAGCTGGGCGTGGTGGCGGGCGCCTGTAGTCCCAGCTACTCAGGAGGCTGAGGCAGGAGAATAGCATGAACCCGGGACGCAGAGCTTGCAGTGAGCCAAGATCGTGCCACTGCACTCCATCCAGCCTTGGCGACAGAGCGAGACTCCGTCTCAAAAAAATAAAAAGAAATTAAAAAAAAATAAAGTAATGCCTTGGGCTCCATCTGCCTAATTCTTGTCAATCTCTTCACTTGTTTTGAACACGGTCGGAGAAGAGGTATGCTATTTACTCAAACCCTAAAAGGCCAGCACTAATCCTACAACTGGCTTGCAGAGAAGTTGCCTCCGGAAACGACGTGAAGAACCACAGGTGGTAACGAAGGTGAAGAGGTGCCCACAGCAGGTCCACCACAGGGACCCTACTCCAGACGGAGCTGGCCAGGCTCAGTATTTCAGAAGAAGAAAAAAAAAAACAGGCAACTTCATGTACCAAAAATAATTTTGAGAAAAGTCAGGCTACTGCATAGCATAAAGCAATTAATGACAGTCTTCTTCCTGTCTTGTGCACTGAAAAGTGAATTTGCCATCAGATTTTACACAACCTCCACATGAACAGATGAGGTTTGGAGGATTTAAGTAATTCACCCAAGGTCACATAGCTACTAAAAGGCAGAGCCCAAATTCCAATCCAGATCTGTGGAAGTGGGAAACATGAGCCCTGTGTCAAGTTCAGGCACTGTACGACCTATCCAAGGAACCGATGCAGTCTGGCCTGCTGATGACGGCTTGGGAAGCAGAGCACTCGAGGCCTATGGCCATCACCTTCCAGCCCTGAGAGTATCAGTCACTTAACCTCTCTCAAGTCCTAACCTTATTCTCTGTAAAATGGAAACGATCTACCCCATAGTTATCATGAGAATAAAATGAAATAATAGGATGAGATAAAATGATGTGCCAGATATGAAGCAAAGGCTTCATTAAGGTCAATAAATATTCGCTCATATTACTAAGAGGATGACCCTCATCTAATAAGAAAAGCAAAGAGAACAGATGGAGAAGCTGATTGAGCTTAAAGTCAATATCGACCTCTGGAATTAAAAGCCCCAAACGGGATGGTAATAATTAGCTCTGAATATTATAGAATAAATGAAATATAAACTTTGGCTGTCTCATATTCTGATAGAGGTTTTTAAATTCCACAATTAGAAAGTTTTACATACCCAATAAAAATCAGACATTTAGGGCCAAACCTAGAGTAATATGGCAGAAATAGCCAGAGTGTCTCTAACTTCAAAGAAAACTCTATTTTGATCCCAAATAGAGAAATAAAACCATGCCAATTTTTTTTTCTCTAAGAGTCATAAAATAAGTTATTTTTCTCATTGGCTGATTTCAGCTTAATTGACTTTACAGCTTGAAAAATACTACATTAAGTTATAAGGAGTTTTAACGTCAGTATATAAATTTAAAAGCGCTTGCAGGTAAAACTATTTCAGACATAGGTAATGATCTGGAGAGTACTTACACATGCATATGTTTCAAATATTTGTTTGTTTGTTTTTTTGAGACAGAGTTTCACTCTTGTTGCCCACGTTGGAGCGCAATAGCATGAACTCGGCTCACTGCAACCTCCACCTCCCGGGTTCAAGCGATTCCCCTGCCTCAGCCCCACGAGTAGCTGGGTTTACAGGCATGCGCCATTAGGTCTGGCTAATTTTGTATTTTTAACAGAGATGGGGTTTCTCCATGTTGGTCAGGCTGGTCTCAAACTCCTGACCTCAGGTGATCTGCCCGCCTCGGCCTCCCAGAGTGCTGGGATTACAGGCATGAGCCACTGCGCCTGGCTCAAATATTTGTTAAAAAACTGGGGGAGTGTGGGAGAGAACAAACTGCTAAAATTTAGTCAGCTACAGACATGAACAATTATCCTCAAATATCAGTGCCAAGAAATTATATCCTGTTTGAAATGCCAAAGTTCGCTTCAAAGAAATAACTTAAATCTCAAGAACTATAGCAATAAAAGATAAAATTTCCTCCTTTTCCCCCCTTTCTTGCGAAAGTCAGCATTTCACATTTCACCCTTCTCATATTTCACCCTTAATAATAATGATTCATGTATGTCAAAGACCACCTGGCCTCTTTTACTCTTAGGAGTCCCCACAACCTGGCATCAAATAATTACATGCATCTTGTAGAAATCAATGATAAATTTATGCCACATATTTCTAATTTTCACCCCTTCTCCATCTGTAAGATAATTGTAAAAAAAAAAAAAAAGCTCCTAGTTAAAAGAGAAAAATGGACCGGGTGCAGTGGCTCACACCTGTAATCCCCGCACTTTAAGAGGACAAGGTGGGAGGATTGCTCAAGCCTAGGAGTTCGAGACCAGCCTGGGCAATACGGTGAGACCTCATCTCTATTACTATATATATAACATATATATTATCCGAGCTCAGTGGCACACGCTGGTAGTCCCAACTACTGAGGAGGCTGAGGTGGAAGATCCCTTGAGCCCAGGAGTTCAAAGCTGCAGGGAGCAATGACCGCACCACTGCACTCCAGCCTGGGCAACACATAAAAGGGGCCATTTTGCTTCTATAACAGGAGAAAGGCACGAGGATAAGAAATAAAGGCAAGAGCCATCTGCAGTGTCTGAGCTCTTGTTGATACAGATCCTGTTCCACACACTCTTAGTCCTTATTTTGAAGACCTTCTGCAAAGAGCTGAGCTTTCTCAGCAGCAGGACCTGTAGACAAGGATTTCCACATGTCTTATTTTGAAAAAACATTGATCTTTGCCTAAGATTTTACCTGGCCTTTTTTCTTTTATCTTTTAAAAGAAAAAAATCTTTTTAAAAACTTTGGCCACATTTTTTTCTACAGACATACAACAAAGAAACAGTTTGGGCCTGGCACGGTGGCTCATGCCTGTAATCCCAGCACTTTGGGAGGCCGAGGTGGGTGGATCATGAGGTCAGGAGATCGAGACCATCTTGACTAACACGGTGAAACCCCATCTCTATTAAAAATACAAAAAATTAGTCAGGCATGGTGGCGGGCGCCTGTAGTCCCAGCTACTCAGGAGGCTGAGGCAGGAGAATGGCGTGAACCCGGGAGGCGGAGCTTTCAGTGAGTCGGGATCGCGCCACTGCACTCCAGCCTGGGCGACAGAGCGAGACTCCATCTCAAAAAAAAAAAAAAAGTTTGAAAAAGTGGCTGATACAAGAGAAATTTCACTGGAAATGAGAAGGTGCTGGGTCAGGTCCTAGTGTGACGTGAACGCCAATGTGACACAGGGATTCAGTTTCTTCTTCAACAAAATGAGCAAGCTGCATTGGATGACTCCAAGATCCTTCAAAAGCATGTAGATGCCCAGATTTCTTATGCCTAGGAAAATTAAATCTGTCTGCTGATATCAGACACACTTTAAAAAATGAGTCCAGTAACTTAGACATGGAAATGAGTTGGCTGTAACCAACTGTTCCAGCTGTTCACAAATGTTATCCAACCAAAACACGTCATTTCAAAGACAAAGCTTCATCTCCCCAGAGTGAGAGGCAGGGCCAGAGACTGCTGACCCCACCTCAAAGCTCTTGGCAATTTAATAAGGCTCAGCTGCACGGAGGCAGGTGGTCAGCTCCAGGAAGATGCTCCCCTCAGGCTTACCACCCAGGAGGCTGGACTGCCTCATATGCCCACGATCAAAACCCAGAGATCAGGAGAGTCCAAAAACAGAAGAGCGAAAACCCACCGGAGAAACTCAGCAAAGCCTTTGGAGAATGGGGCTATCTGAGTGGGCCTCAATGAGCAGCTACCACGGAGGGACACTGAACAAAGGCTGCTTCCAGTAAGGCCAATGGCAGGAGTGAAGATAGCATGGACCACCTTGGAGAACTGAGCACAGAAAGTGCACTCACAAGCTGGCCTGCTGGCTCCAGGGGTGGAGTGAGGAGAGTGAGGCAGGGAAGCCAGTGTGAGGGGTAAGGGAAGAGGGCCAGCCCAAGGCAGAGGGCAGCCTGGGCCCCATAGCAGCTACCCAGGAAGGCTTTGCTGGCCCATGAGGAGGATAGCGAGGGAAACTCAGCAGACACTTCCCCAGGTGACGTGCTGTGGATGTGTGCTGGCCTTATTCCTAAGGGTTTACTCAGCTCTTGGAGAACACCACAGTGTTTCAGAAGAGGGCCTGTCCTTTCGAACAAGTGAAAAATAGCTTCACCTCCTAACAGGGATCTGAGACACAACAGTGAGCACCTACATCGAGGACTGAACTGTCTGGGTTTCCATATTCCTCAGCGAACTGGGTTTCATCCATCTCTTGATGCCCCCACATCTAGCTAGCTGTCTTTGAGATGCAAACTCTTCCAACACCTGAAAGGACAGTGGGTGTTTCAAAAACAAAAACCTTGTGGCCACAGCAACAATGGCTTTAGCCGCTGGATGTTGGCAAAAGGTTGCATGGACAAGAGGAAAGGTTTCCCATCCATTTCACAAACCCCCTCTGCCTCAAGAAAGGTAACTAAGTAGACCACGGTAACCAGAATAATGTTATTGTATCAAGACTCTGAAGTGCTCAAGGAATGACATGTTATGCTAACGAGACACTTACTGGGCTGTTCTCATTATTCAAAGAAATGAGAGATCCCACAGCTGGAAATGCTGGAAGAGACCTGGAGACTCCATAATGGCAGAAATCCCTGCATTAATCTCCTTGGTCCCTTTCTTCTAAACAGTGTGTCTGATGGGATACTTAGTCAACCACCATCTTCCTCTGAGCAGGAGACAGGTATTTCTAAGACCCAGCTGCTACCTCCTGGGACCTTAGAGGAATTCAGTATTTTTCCATTATGCAACTGGACTTCAAATCGATCCCTGCACAGATATAAAAAGTCCCAGCCTGGGGGGTGTCTATACCGATGCATGCCAACAATCAGACTGGTTACTCCAGGCGGCGGCCTTCCCCAGGCTCTCACTGCCTGGAAACGCCTATGAACTGAGGCAAGGCACTGACCTTTAGGGCCTTCCTTGAAAAACAAATGGCCTAAGCTGCACAATTTATTAAATGAGTTACACAACTACATAGTTATAAAATTCTACATCATGATCTTAGTACAAGTCGTTTTTTCTGTTTTTATTTTTAATTTAAAAAATACTTCTCCCCAGAAGTTTACTGATAGGAAAAAACATAAAAGACACAGGCATTGCTACTTAAGCTGGAACTGCCATTCTTACCAGTCAATTAACTACTTGAAAAGAACCATTTAACAATAGAGGCAGAAACCAGTATTTTTCTCCATTAAAATCCTACCAATAAGAAAAAGTTTTTTGGTAGGACATGATTTTCCTAGTTTCTTTCACTGTAGAAAGCTTCAGGCTTCAAGGTCAAAGCAATTATTAAACCAAAAGAGAGGAATCAAAAAGTCCTTGGAGCGATACCAAGAGTGGTCTGTTGGAGGCGCTCTCGCTAATAACAGCACCTGGGGATGTACAGCAGCCCAGCGTGTTGATGGCTGGCCTTCCTAAGACAGCGACAAAAGTCATCCACACTAATCTGTCCCTCATATTGCTGATGACCTATGCATCCACACTATCCAAGGAGGAGACATTGCGTCTGTCAGACTAACCCCACAGTTGCTCTTTCTGGATGCATCCCAGGCTCACAGCCCCCTGTCCTGCCCTCTCCAGGATTTCCATCTCCCTCCCAGCTCTGTCTCCTCCACTTACTTACATGAAAAGAATCATGCCCTGCTCACTTAAGATCCTTCTTCACCTTCCCTAGCCGCTTCAAGTCCTCTTCTTCCCTTTGAAGCCAAACCATAGGTGATGTAACAATGACAGCAAGTAAATTTATTAAGTACTTGTAGTATACCAGATGTTGTGCCAAGCACTTTATTATATATAATCCTAAGAACCCTATGTGGATACCAATAATCATCCATTGCACTTTCGCACACAAAGATGCTCTGGGGATTTAAACAACTTGCCGAAGCGCACCTGGCTGTGGGGTGGCTGAATGGGAATGTGATCGTGCATTCACAGCCCCTTCACTACACTGCCTCCACCTGACTGCTCTCTGGCCCCAGCCCTCTCTGCAACGTGGCCCTTGCTGAGGTCATAAATGATCACAGCCTGCGAAATCAAGTACCGAGCTGACTTGGCCTCTCCACTGGCTACCCTCTCTTGAATGGCTCTCCCTTGGTTTCCAGGAAACCTCCCCACTACCTCCTACCTCTGTGGCTGCTCCTTCTCCCTTTCTAACTCCTCTTCCTCTGCCTATCTCTTCCATGCTGTCATTTCCAAAGCTCTTCCTCTACTCTTTTCTCACTCTAGCCTATTGTACCTATCCAGTGGGTTTGCCTATCACCCACAGATTAATGCTTCCTTCACTGACATTTGTGATCACTGTAGCTGTTCAGCATCTTCCTTTACTGCATTGGTACATTTCCCATGGTCATCCCTCCTGGATTCGGAAAGGGCCAGATACTAGTTTTACCTAGCCCCACTAACAGCTGGGGTGCTAGCCCATGACCCAGACTTCTCCAGATTTACCCGCCTGAGGCAGGGCCTCCTCAAGCTGATGCCACAAGGAAGCAAAGAAGTTGAAGAATCTGTCCTGGGGGACCACAGCAGTACTGTAGCAGGGTAAGTGATGGGGTGGGGTTCTCAGCAGTCTATTTCCATGGAATATTTTTGGCTGTGGCTCTAGCTGCTAATCCCTCTTTTTGCCGGCTTGGTTTCTGGGCCTGGTTCTTTGGTCTTCCTAGAGATTCTGTCAGCTGCCCAACATCTTTTCAGCTCAAATCAGCCAAAGTTTGGTTTCTGTGGTTTGACTGATTCATTTCCCAAGCCTGTGTATCTGTGGCCTAGACTCTGCTGAGCTCCTGACTCGTGTTTCCATCTGTACCAGGCCTCATCCCGTGGATGGCCCACAGGCACCTCCCAATGGAATAAAAGATGCAGTTCACCATCTTGCTTGCAACGCCCCTCAGCTGGCTGTACTATATTCCCACGCCAGTGAGTGCCTTGGCCTACCTGCCCAGCTGAAAGCTTTGTTGATACCCTGACTCTTGTGTCTTCCATAACTCCATGTGCAACCAAAGAAATCTGTCCCTCACCCCCACATTCCATGAGGACCAAAAGGCATTTTCTCTCCAATTCAAAGAATTTTAAAATACATTATTATATTTACATATTTACTCTTACCACATTCCACATACTATAAAGATCTACTTTAGCCAACTAGTTAAAGGACTTTGCAAAACCCTATTAAAGAATAGGCCAGCAATTAAGCTCACATTTCCCCAACTCCCATCCCAACTTTCTCCTTACTCCAACTCCCATTCCAACTTTCTCCTTACTTTCATGGCTTCTCCTCTGTGGTTTAAAGATTTGACATCTTTCCTAGACGCTAGGGTAGGTCACTCTACTATATGTTAAAATAATGAAATGTGATTATAACATCTGCAAAATACAAAATACATTTTGCATTACCTTTCAGCTCTAGGACAAGTTAGCACGAACATTCAGTATTAGATACCTCCAGCATTAACAGAGTTTGCCAGACACTATACATAAAAAAAAGAAGCCAAAGCAGAAATTCACACGAACCCTAAGCAGATAAGGGAGTCTAGGGATGAAGGACTTTTTCCTCTTTGATCATGGGTGGACAATGCAAGCTCATGCATTACCGTGCATGTTATTTTTAGAAAACCAACCGTGAGTTCTCAAAGTGTCCATAAAAATTTAAGTTATTAGTTTCCTAAAGGTGCACTAGCCACGTTTTAAAGCTCATCTATAACACTTTAAGCAACTTGGTAGCTGAACTTATTCATACTGTAAAGGCAGACATGCCAAATCCCACCAACATTCATTTCTTCTATCTACCCAAGGCAGTTAGATTCAGAAATCCCCAAAGGCAAATAAAAACAGGCTGCCTAACTTTCACAGGCTCACAGTGTTATGTATGTATCACACACCTCCTACAATACATAACACATATGATACAAGGGAGAGCACAGTCCACAGTACTTTAAGTATCCACAAGAGGAAGAGATCACCTGGCGTGGAATAGGTTAGGAAATGCCTTTTGGAAGAGGTGGCATTTGAGTAGGATCTAGAAGGCTGAACGTGCTGTCTTCAGGTAAGGCTGGAGGAAGAGTTTTAACGAAGTGAAAAAACACAAGTTAAGGCATACAGATCACAGAAAGGCTGATAAGATAAAAAGTGAAGTACAAAAGATAATTAATTTCTAGAGTTTCTCAGTAGGACCGAAGAACAATCCTATGTAACTTTATGACCCGGAATAATATTTTACTAAAACACACTGAACTGACAGATGTTTTTTGTTTTGGGGTTTTTTTTTTTGTTTTTTTGTTTTTATTTTTGAGACAAAGTTTCACTCTTGTTGCCCAGGCTGGAGGGCAGTGGCGCGATCTCAGCTCACTGCAACCTCCGCCTCCCGGGTTCAAGCAATTCTCCTGCCTCAGCCTTCCCCAGTAGCTGGGATTACAGGCACCCGCCACCATGCCCGGCTAATTTTGTATTTTTAGTAGAGACGGGGTTTCTCCACGTTGGTCAGGCTGGTCTGGAACTCTCAACCTCAGGGGATCCGCCTGCCTCGGCCTCCCATAGTGCTGGAATTACAGGCGTAAGCCACCGTGCCCGGCCCTGACAGGTGTTTTTTTTTTAAAGTCCCAATATGAGCAAATATCTCAAAATGATCTTCAGACAAATACAAAGAATGTTAACAAGATTGCCAGAAAAATCTAATGAAAAATTTCTAACTATTCTTTGAAGGACCAGCCTCATGAGTAAAGGAGCCGGCAGGAGCAAGGGAGCCTCCTGCTTCACAGCAGCTGTTACAGTCGAGCACAATACTAACATGTATATCAGTGTTTCACTCCACCAGGGCCCAGTCCCATCTCTCAGAATACCCAGACAATATGTCATTATTCAAAAAGTTAAGTCTTCTCTCCTCAAAAAAAAAAAAAAAAAAAAAAAAAATCTAGCCTCTGAACATAATGTTTTTAAAACGGAATGCAGCAGAAACCTTTTTAATTGAAGTTTCATGCTGTCCATTCAGCAGACTAGCATAGACCACACACTTGCCCATAAAGTATAATTTACTATCACCAAGCTCACTTATATAATATAACCCCACTGTCAGAGGAGGACTTTAAAAACGATTTTTCTTATATGAAACCCAACAAACACTGGCACTGGAGAAACCAGTCTAGAGTGTGCCCAGAAAAACAAGGACTCCTTAACACAAGTCAGAGGACTGCTGGGTGTTTGTTTTGTTGGGTTTTTTTCCGCCTCCCCCCCTTTTGGGGGAGGTATGTGACTTAAACATATGTTGTATGAAAAGCAATTTTTCCTTGAGAAATAATGGTAAAGATCTCACTGTTTCTTTCCCAAGGTTCTGTGACAGAGGTTGCTCTTTGGCCCCTAATATCCCCCCTTCTCGTCTTCTTTCACATAATGGAATTTTTAAGTGGGCATATTTCCAAGGCTTCTCTGCATCTGGGTACGGCCACGGGACTAAGTTCCAGCAAATGGGGTGAAAGCCGAAGTATCGCGCCGGCAGTTTCCAAACTGCTGCCAGGAAAACAAACGTCTCCACCTTGTCCCACGAGTAGGAGATCCCAGTACCCTGGGGAAGGCGACGTGGGGTCCCTAAAGACTTCCTGGAGCCAGCGGCTGCATATCTGCAGACTCTCTCAGGAGAGAGAAAACACTCTCTTAAGATGTAAGCTTTAATTCTAACTGGAACAGCTTCCCATTCTTTTCCAACACCAGAAATTGCCAGCAGCAGCTGCTCAGCGGAACTAATACTACATGGCCTCATCACTCCAGCCCCTGCTTGCCCTGAGGGAGGCGGGTTTTTCAGCAGTGCCAGCCTTTCAGGGCGGCCAGAAGCAGAGCATCCCAATAAACCAGAAAGCTAAGTGGCTGAAGCAATAAAAGTCACTCAAACATAACCCAAATCTGATGGTAAAACAAAGAAAATCCTAAGTATGGAAAGGATGGTTCCTGCTGTCTTTCACTGGGAAAACCCATTGGTTCTGGTGGGGGCCTAGGGTGGCTTTGGCCCTGCACTGATGTAAACTGGGAAGTGCCTGCATGTGACTGGTTTAGAGCCTATCCTTCTGCTTCGTAACTAGACCTGCAGGGACGTACAAGGACCTCCATGAGATGCTTCAGGGAACCAAAGGTGGGAGGGTATTCCAGACTGATGTGGCCACACCAGAAAGAAAAGAGGTGCTAGAAGGAGCACACAGGTGACATCCCCACCTGGAAGGAACAAAGTCCTGGAAGGAGCATAGTCAATAAGAACCACTGCCATTTACATTTCAGGGAAGGCAAGGGGTAAGAATTATCCTACTCTTTGAAGATTGCTTAAAACATCCTCAAATACCGATACACATTACCTCCTTCCTGTGGGGTGGCTGGCAGGAACCTTACAAGGGAAAATACTTGTGTTCCCGCTCTACTTAAAGTTGTTCAGTGTTGTGTGAAACTGCAGAGTTCTTGCAAAATCAGAAGAGAAAAAATCAGGGAAAGTTGCATCTTGCTTCCCAGTTAGTCTAGGGAGAAAGGAGTCCATCAGATATAACACAGCAGTGGAAGAAACAATGAGGCTAAATTCCTACAGGTTTGTCAGAGGCTTTTGAACCAGAGCAACTCCATCTTAAATAGGAGCTGGGTAAAACGAGGCTGAAACCTACTGGGCTGCATTCCCAGACAGTTAAGGCATTCTAAGTCTTGGATGAGATAAGAGGTCAGCACAAGATACAGGTCATAAAGGCCTTGCTGATGAAACAGGTTGCAGTAAAGAAGCCGGCCGAAACCCACCAAAACCAAGATGGCCACAAGAGCGACCTCTGGTTGTCCTCACTGCTACACTCCACCAGCGCCATGACAGTTTACAAATGCCATGGCAACATCAGTATGTTACCCTATACGGTCAAAAAAGGGGAGGCATAAATAATCCACCCCTTATTTAGCATATCATCAAGAAATAACCATGAAAATGGGCAACCAGCAGCCCTCAGGGCTGTTCTGACTATGGAGTAGCCATTCTTTCATTCGTTTACTTTCTTAATAAACCTGCTTTTGCTTTGCACTATGGACTTGCCTTGAATTCTTTCTTGTGTGAGATTCAAGAACTCTCTCTTGGGGTCTAGATCAGAACCTCTTTCCTGTAACAGGTTCACTGGGTCCCAATCAGGAACAATCTACAAAGGTGGAGTTAACCATAAAGATGAGTACAAGAGATCATCTAATGCTCTTGTGATCAGAAGTTCAGTTTCCACTATTATAAAATTAAGGTAAGACCCTGTGATGGTTAATACTGAGTATCAACTTGATTGAAGGATGCAGAGTATTGATCCTGGGTGTGTCCGTGAGGGTGTTGCCAAAGGAGATTAACATTTGAGTCAGTGGGCTGGGAAAGGCAGACCCACCCTTAATCTGGGTGGGCACCATCTAATCAGCTGCCAGCGCAGCCAGGATATAAAGCAGGCAGAAAAGCATGAAAAGGCTAGACTGGCTTAGCCTCCCAGCCAACATCTTTTTCCTATGCTTTCTCCCGTGCTGGATGCTTCCTGCCCTGGAACATCAGACTCCCAAGTTCTTCAGCTTTGGGACTCGGACTGGTTTCCTTGCTCCTCAGCTTGCAGACAACCTATTGGACCTTGTGATCGGGTGAGTTTAATACTTTGTAATAAACTCCCCTTTATATATATACATAGAAGGGAGGGAGGGAGGGAGGGAGATAGATAGACAGACAGACAGACAAGACAGATAGCTAGATAGATCGATCGATTCTGTCAGTTCTGTCCCTCTAGAGAATCTGACTGACACAGACCCCCTAAATCCATTGTGAGGATTAAATGAAATGTGTTTGTAAAGAGTTTTGCCAAGCACCCAGCAAAGTGTTTCAGGATTTCTTTTATTAGAGGTTGTGGGGAGGTGGGCAGAATGCCTCCAACAGAACTCCAGTGCCCTGACAGCTAGAGGCTGCACTGCAGGCACTGCAGCAACTGAAGCAGGAGCCTCCCTTTCAATTCAGCTCAGGGAACTTAATTGTTCTTAATTATACAGATGCCACTCATATGCAAATCATACATGAAGAGTTTTCCTTTTAAATTGTAATTCTTCTTTCAAACCCTTGAGGCACTGAAGTGTTATTGCTGAAGATGTCTGCAAAAGAAAGAATGGCCCTGCGTGGTCCCTCAAGCCCAGGAGTCCCTCTCCACAGGCCCTCACTCCCTCTGCCCCATCAGCAGCTTGTTAACCCCCCCAGTGGCCAGGTCTGCCCCAGTCTTGCTCCTGGATTTTCAGCCCAGATCCTAACAACTTCCCCTGTCTTTCCAGCATTCTCCATCCCCAGACAAAGCACGGTATGAATCCTATGCAGATGTGCAGGAAGGCAGGGAAAAGCAAAGATCAGCTGGTAGCAACGTGGTTTTGTCCATTCAATCCTTCTCTCAATAAATACCCATTCCAAAAGAAGCAGAGCGCTCCAATAAAAATTGTGTTTTGAAGATTGTAAACAGCAACATGAAAAAAGTGCTGCCGTTGCCGTGACAAGTAAACAAAAGGAAACAAAGCTGCTGTGTGCAACAAGATTACAACTAAAAAAAATATACAAAGGAAAATGAGAAGGCAAATACCAAAATATTAACAGCAACGTTAGGATGAGTAGAATATCAGACACTTTCCTTTTGCCTGACTCTCCAAAATGGTTCTGAACCTGTGAGAATATTAAAGATGTTCAGAACGATGTGCTTTTTGAAAACTCAAGAGCAATAGGAAGGTACACTCTTCCTAAATACAGCTTATAGTTATTTCTTTTTTTGATTCAAACAGCATATTTCCACATTAATAAATTATTTAAAAGCTAACAAAAGTTAGCTTTTAAATAATTGGTTTTGTTATGTTGCTTCACTTCCCCTAACTCGCTGGCCACCTCTCAGTCTCCTCTACCACCCTTCTGAATGCAGAGACACCCCAGGCTCCAGACCCTGGTCCTCTTTTCTAAGCAATCTAAAATGACTCAATGCTTATCTGATCCAACGTGAAGGCTGTAAACACCACCCCAAATTTACATCTCTAGCCCAGCACCCTTCCCAACTGCCCATCCACATGTGCTCTGGAATGTCGAAAAGACATCCCAAAACTCAACAGGTGTGAAACTGAGCTCCTGATCTTACCCCCACACCCAACTGCCCACAGCCATCTCCGCTCAGTTGTTCAAGCCAATAACCCTGGAGTCATCCCTAACTGTTCTCTTTCTCACACCCCGCATCCCATCCATCGGAAATCCCATGAGCTCCGCTTTCACCAGGCCCACTGCCACACCTGATCCAAGCACCCATCATGTCTCTCCATCTCTTGCTTCCTGGCTGTAAGGGCCTCACTGGTTTCCCTGCCACCCAGGCTCAGCACTGCCAGCATGGCCTCTTTAAACCTAATTCAAATGGCATCACTGCTCTGCTCAAAATCCCCACAAGAACTCCGCATTTCCAAGGCCTCACGCTGTGCTCTCCCTGTGACCTCACCAACTCCACACCCCTCTCCAGGTCTGTACCCACGGTGCTCTCACCACAAGGGTCTTCTGGCTTCACTGGGAATATCCCAAGTATATGGTCCTCCTACCTTAAAGTCCTTTGCAGTGGCTGTTCTCTCTATCTGGAACATTCTTCACCCAGACAGCCTCATGGCAAACTCCCTCATCTCCATCAAATCCTCCAACTCCTGGCCAGGCGCCGTGGCTCACGCCTGTAATCCTAGCACATTGGGAGGCCGAGGCGGGCGTATCACGAGGTCAGGAGATAGAGACCATCCTGGCTAACATGGTGAAATCCCGTCTCTACTAAAAATACAAAAAATTAGCCGGGCGTGGTAGCACACGCCTGTAGTCCCAGCTACTAGGGAGGCTGAGGCAGGAGAATCGCTTGAACCCGGGAGGCAAAGGTTGCAGTGAGCTGAGATTGCGCCACTGTACTCCAGCCTGGGCGACAGAGCAAGACTCTGTCTCAAAAAAAATAAAAAATAAAAATAAATCCTCCACCTCCTTCAAATCCTTGTAAAATCTCACCCTCTTAATAAGCTTCAACCTCCTGTTTATAGCTGCAGCCCACACCACAATCCTCATCCTCTTTTCCCTTGACCGGTTGTTTCCACTTTTTCTATACCACATATCACCTTATAACATCCATAAAATTTAGTTTCGCAGTTTTCTCTTTCTCACATCCTATTAGACTGCAAGGTCCACTAGATTTTGGTCTATTTGGTTTGCTGTTTTGTATTTACAGAACACTCACTCGGTAACATTTGTTGAGTGAAAGAAAACCTTCCCAAACCGGTGTCATTGATTTATAAAATCACAATTCAGGCCTCATAATATTTCTTTTTAATTACTCAGTATAAAGCTGGCTTCATCCTAGCATGTCAGAAACTGCAGAATCATAAAAAACGTTTCCCAAACTTCAACCAAAACCTTCACCAAATCTAATTTACCAAAACAATAAAAGTATGTATAGAATACTTTTAAAAACCAATGTCAGGTTGGTTATATTTCTTTTTCAGCTTAAAAAATATATCGGGTCTATTCATGCCAATCACAAATACAACATTTAGTGATTTGCTAAATTACGAATGCTGTAAATGTTAGAGGGCAAGACAACTAAGAAACTTAAAAATGCAAAAAACATAGGATCCTACTAAGGAAAATAAGGTACTGAACCAGGCAATGAAAAGTTTAGAAAGAGATTAAGCTAGAAATTGCCTGATCAGGTGGATCATGCTCAAACAGGACTGTAAGAGGAGGTCCAAGTTGGTAACCCTTGGCTTGGGGAGAATCTTTTAGAAAGTAGCACCCACAGCCTGGGCCTGGTTCAAATGCTTTGACTAACCATCTGAATCAGCAACATTGGTTATTGCAGCATGCCTGAGATGGTTCTTTTAGTTCCACTGCTTGAATGAATAGATCTGTAATCCCAGAATGAAGAAATAAATCAAAACCTAGAGTAATTTATAAGCCAGTGACACAAAATACAGGCAAACTGAGGTGAGGCTCAGCACCTGATTGGCAGCCTCCCCTCCGCCACTGCTGCTGCAGATGTGCGCCCCACTCCCACACGCAGTCCCCCTACTTATAATGGGGTGAACGTGGCCAATGTGGAAATAAAAGAATTAAGAAGGAGGCTGGGTGCGGTAGCTTACGCCTGTAATCCCAGCACTTTGGGAGGCCAAGGCGGGTGGATAAAGTGAGGTCGGGAGTTCGAGACCAGCCTGACCAACATGGAGAAACCCCGTCTCTACAAAAATACAAAATTAGCCGGGTGTGGTAGTGCATGCCTGTAATCCCAGCTACTTGGGAAGCTGAGGCAGGAAAATTGCTTGAACCCGGGAGACAGAGGTTGTGGTGAGCCAAGATCGCCAACACTGCACTCCAGCCTGGGCAACAAGAACGAAACTCTGTCTCAAAAAAAAAAAAAAAAAAGAATTGAGAAAGAGAGAGAATCCCTAAATCCACCTGTGCCTGAAGCTAATACCCCTGCTTCTTCCAGGTTACCAGGGCCAATGAGTTCCTTTAATGCGTCAGCTAGCTGAGTGAAATCTGTCACTTGAAGCTGAAAAGATTCCAACTAGTAGGTACATGAACCCAGCAACTAAAACATAATTCATGAGATTGTGTCCAAAAGTCAGCAGGTAACCTTTGGAACGTTAAGAAACATTTTATGACTATTTATAAAAACAAATGCTTTCCGAGAAACAGTATAATTTTGCAAAAGGCTGAAGATGATCTGAAATTCCCACTTAAAAAAAAAAGAAAAAGTGTCCGTCGAAAAGTACAAACTACATTTTCTTTATAAAAGAACCAACAGGTTATTTTAGGAGGGATAAAAGTGTTCTAAAATTAGAGTGTGCTGCTGGTTGCAAAACCCCACAAATACACTAAAAAATATTGAGTTGCACTCTTTAAGTGGGCAAATTGTATGCCATGTGAATTGTATCTCAATAAAGCTTTTTTTTTTTTTAAAAAAAAAGCACTAATAGCAAGTAAGCACACACGCCAGACTCCTAATTCAATCATTCTGTCAGGATTCCATGTAGGAAAGAGGAGGCCATTTCTACAGATGCATCTTCTCACACATGTACCCATACAAGCTCTACACAAGCTCATTCCCTTTCTGTGCACACATACGCCTCCTGTACATAATGAAAATGCCATATGCAGATGCATTTGATTAGCACCATCCACATTTCCCATAATTATGCAGTGCTTTGTAAGCTGCAGTTAATTCCTGACTATTATCCAAGTGCAAAATCATTCTGCCTAATTTCAAGCAGCCTGGCAGCTGCAGAGGAAGAACAGCTTTGGCCTTCAGTGGAGATCCATTTGACATATAACCCCTGCTGCTACAAGGACTCCAATCATCTAGAGCTAATCAATTTCAATCAAGCAGGCTCTACTAGACTGGAGAACAATGGTGATTTCCTTCTTCATCTGTTAGCATGCACCTTAAAAGGGCCAGAAGATGAAGAGAAGGGCAGAAATCAGGACTGGGGTTTGGTGGGGAGGTGGTGGAGAGGTGGGGAAATAGAATAAGAGAAGAACAAGTGCTTACACCAGACATGTGATCCTTAAAACACCTGGCTTCCAGAGCTCAGCAAACTCTAACAGTACAAAATTATCCTAAATTCGCCAGTTCTCCAAATAATCCCTTGACCTCTCTTCTTAGGAGGCATTTCCGGATTTTAAATAACTTCCATTGTCTTTTTCCTTTAACTATAAACAGAGATAAGAAAATATACTAACAGCACTTTATACAATAAAATAGCGTATTATACTGTAAAATGCCACGTTTATATAATAAAATACTGTATAATAAGGTAGTCACATGAATTTTTAACTCTCATTACAGACAACTCAATTTTTATTCTGGATTCAGTAACATTTTTGAAATATATTCCTTTCCTCCAGTAATAACAAAAGAGGGAAATCCTGTAGAGTTCACATTCTGACAGTATTTACAGGATTAATCCCTTTATATCCAAGAAAAGGTATATCCTCTGTAGTGGAATCTTTAAAAATGTGTAGCTCCTAAACACTTCCTCCCTTTTAAAAAGAATTCTCATGGGCACTGGCTCCTAGAGTCAAGAAATAATTTAGTCCAGTAATAGCCAATGTGGCCATCTCTCAGAGATAATATGGATTCAAGGGTTCCAGCACTTCCCCCGTATCAGAATTTCTAGGGATAGAGCCTAGGAATCTGTGTTTGAGGAATAGCTCTCTCAGACAATTCCAGTGTACATGCATCCACTAGGGGAGCAGAAGGAACCTGAGTACATGCATTTGGGAACCACTGATCCATTTATCCATCTATCTGCTGCTCATTCCAGGATACTTGCAGTGACACTTCTGTTTCCAATGCAGCTCATTCCCATTATAAAATTCTTCAGCCTCAGCCAGAGTCAGGCTGCAGGAAATGAGCTAGCTATTTTAAGCAGAAAGGGATTTAATATAGAGAATTAGGTGCTTATAAAATCACTGAAGAGTTCAAGGGAGCAGGCTCTATGCCGGGCCTCCAGGAAAGACTCCCAGAACCACATGGAACTGGCCCACAAGGGGTGCTGGTGCCTCTGCCACATCAGGAAAGTGGGGGGGCCTCAGGAAGCTATCTTGGAACTACTGAGTCAGCCACATCCTCTCAGCTGCGATCCTAAGACCTAAGAGCTACCTCTGTCACTGCTGCTGGTCCAATGTCAGATATCAACTCAGTCAAACAGTGGGACGAAATCACTCACTTTTTGCTATGCTCCAGAGGTCGAACTTGCATGAGTGAAATGTGCTTGTGAAAATACCCAATGAATACCTTTTAAAGGTACTTGCCAGCACCAAGTACAGCAAGCCAGCCTACCCTGGACAGAAGACCCTCAACTTCAAACTACGCCTATGCAGCATTCTCTTTTCAAGCAGTCTCTAACAACCCTCAAGTCTCTCTCACCTACAGTACTTCCTTTGGGCGTTTTTCTATTTCCCCTTCCTGTGGGGAAACTGCTCGTTCATGTCCCAGTACTGTACCATACCTAATAATATCTTTTGAATTTATTCTTTGATTTAGCTCATAATGCAGCCTGTCTAGATCAGGGTCCTGATTTATCATCCAATAAACCGGCTCTTTTCCCCAAAATGCCACCATCCACCAAATTAATGACACTTAAACTATCAGTTTAAGTATACTAATGCCACTTCCCCTGGAATATCCTGATAATCACGTTACCAAGATCTGCCAAAATTCAACCAGCAATTTTTACACAGTATTTCCCGGACCTTATATCCAACACAGCATTAGGTGTAGTGAATGGATAAAAGTATAAAACACAGACCCTGACTACAAGGAGTTTGTATTCTCCAGGAAGCAGCACAGACCTAAAAAAAAAAAAAAAGGACAACAGAGATGGCAAGAATTTTAGAGGCTGCAAATGGAATATTTGACACAAATATGAACTATAAACTACTTAGATTTGAAATAATGATGGTCCTTAAAGCATGTGTGAGGTCTCGTGAAATGAACATATGGTAACATCTTGTGTAACAGCCTGTTTTAACAGAGACCATTTTTGCAATCAGATCTTACTTAATACACTGTGTGACTTCAAAACATGGGCATAAGCCAAATACAGAAAATCTCCCACAGGTTATGTGAAGGGGGTAGGGGAGAAAAAGGGAGGTGTTTGAAGCAAATGAAATCATTCCTATCACAAGGATTCAGACCAGAGAGTATACCACAGCGTGACATAAAACGTACACATACCCTTAAATTTTAAAATTTATTTTCCCTTGTGCTCAAACTACTTTTCCTCCTAGATTTAATTTGGTGTTATATTTGTGCTTGCATTAAGATTTTCCCCCCAAGGATTCAGTTTTCTCTTCTCTTTAGTTTTTCAACTCTTTCAATCCACTCCCTTCCAAAGTAGCAGTATCTATTTCTAAATAAAGAGTCCACTATAGGTTTAGTTACTTTACATACTCACTTTCAGTAAGTGGAAACATATACACTGACTAAAGTTCCTCTTCAAGTCATGCTGAAGATGAAACAGGTACACCCACAAAAGCTTGCCAATTTTAGTGGAAATTTTACTTTCATTTCTTTTGTAAAAAGGATTCCATCCCATCTACATTTTAGAAGTATGCTGTGTACCATTTCCTTAAATAGAATATTCAAAGTAATCAATCATTTCTTTTACCAGTGCAAGTACAACTGACTCTCTATGGAACAGAACATTTCCATTTTCTACAGATGAAAGTCAAGGTTCAAAGACATGAGGTTAAGTGTCATTTCTCATAAGCACCGAGATAAAATTAATCACAAAACCTCCCAGAAATCACCAGTGATCACAGAACAGGCAACTGATGGGCAGTCTCTGGGACCCTCTGGACAGTGGGGATAAAAGCAATGGAAGGTTCTTCCTCAGCTCACTGGATCCCACCTCTTTAATCCGGAGGCCACAACTCTCGGAGGCCAGACCCACAGAAACTTACCCTACCGAAAGGGTGCCAAAATTCAAAGACTGGTGTGACCCACCATACACTGTGCATGGTCAGATAAGAAACCATTGCAGATGTTTCTCTTGAGTTTCAAAGTCTACCCTATCTGTGGCCCACACTCTCCGAGGGAGGGGTTGGCTCCCCCACCCCCAACCAAATCCCTCTCTCCCCAAGACTATTTCTATTAGGCTTGGAAGCTCTGAAACAGAGGCATACGCTGTACCTGCTTTGCTTGTGGAACAGCAACTTTAATATGAACACATTACGAGACAGCCTAGGCAGAGAACCTATAAGAGACCAGGTTCTGTTATTTTAGGGAAAGTAGGAAAAACATTAAAAAGAATGCAAGTGAGAAAGCAATTTCCTCCTTAAATTTAAAAGTATTTTCCTCCTTTACCTGCTTTTGAACTTACACTTTTTCTTACCTTATTGTGATTTGTTTTGTTGTTTTTAAAGCCCCTAAATTTCCAAAGGGGAATGGTTTATCTGCATTACTGCCACCAGACTTCACACTCTATATTAAAACTGGTACGCTTTTTTCAATATTGTGAAACATGTCACAGTTTTCCCACTTCACTGGAAAAGGATACATCAAATACAAAACTTATGTTTTATCACCCACACAAATCTACCAATGCCAACTGCTGGGAGCTCAAACGCAGTCTTGCGCTCTGTTCTGTTTTCGTAGGCTGGGTTTTCCCTATCAATAAGTTTCCATTTTTACGACTAAATAATCCACCTGAAGAGGCAAGCTGTAACCTGTTTTATATTATGCCAAAACCTGGAAGTAAACTGAGGCTTTCAAAATGTATAACGTCTATTTTCCTCTTTATTTCAGAGATGAGAGAACTCAACAAGGCGTGGCAGGCAATGCCTTTCCGCAGGACAAGGAAATTCAGACCAGACGGTGAGGAAAAGAACCTGCTCAGTTAATGGTATGGCTGCACAACACACAAACTGAACTAAAATTACAGAAGCTTCTCGAAGTTGTACGCATATAGTACCAAAAAAGAGGAAACTGAAGAGAGACAAATGCAAGGTGGTCCTGAGGCAGGTCGCAGTAAAAGGACGAGGTTAGACCCAAATGTTGCAGAAACAGCCTTCACCTCAGAGTCAGGGGCCCAAGATGACACTCCAGGCTCAGCCACACGCTGCCAGGTAAAACGTGTTGGGTTCCCTTCCTGGGCTGCGTTTCCTCAAACACGAAAGACCCCCAAATTCTGATCCTTTCACTGGCAACAAGTTATAAAACTATGAAGAAAAGGAAGTAAACATTAAATCAGGGCAGGGGTGGGGTCACATACACTTGCCTGATTTGGATCAATGCACTATAAAAAAGACGAGAAGAAACTCAGGATTTGGGCCAGTGGCTCATGCCTGTAATCCTAGCACACTGAGAGGCCAAGGCAAGCGGATCACTTGAGCCCAGGAGTTCAAAAGACCAGCCTGAGCAACATGGTGAAACCCTGTCTCTACCAAAGAATACAAAAACTTAGCCGGGCATGGTGGTGCACACCTGAAATCTCAGCTACTCGGGAGGATGAGGTGGGAGAATTGCTTGAACCCAGGAGGCGGAGGCTGCAGTGAGCTGAGATCGTACCACTGCACTACAGCCTGGGCAACAGAATGAGACCTCATCACCGCCCCCCCACAAAGAAAAAAAACTGAAGATTTGGCAACAAGTCACCAAATGATAATTACGATGAAAATTACTTTCACCTCCCCCTTGCAAGATTCATTTACTATTGTCAGTCACAAGTACCTGCTAGAATAACCCCAAATCCTAAAACATCAATGGACTGTAGCCAACATGAGCTTTGTGTCAGAAGTGCAACTGAAAAAAGATGGTCATCTGATTCCTAAAAAGGGATCTTCAGTCTTTCATGGAGGGTTAAATAACCTCATGCATTCAACATTTAATTGCCATGTCTCAGGTATTGTCCCAGACAAAAGGGACACAAAGATACATATAAACAATAAATGCAGGCCCTCTCTCAAGGCCCCAAAACCTACACGCCCGCTCAACAGAATAGACATGATGTGAACCCTTAATTACCAGAACAATTTACCCCTCCTCTGTGTTTCTGCAGCATTTTACACCTATCTCTGTTATAGCACATTTCACAACACGACAGGAGCTATTTACAAGTGCTACTGGCCTCATATAAGACAGCAAGCTTCCTTTTTTTTTTTTTGAGACAGAGTCTTGCTCTGTCACCCAGGCTGGAGTGCAGTGGCGTGATCTCGCTCACTGCAAGCTCCGCCTCCCGGGTTCACGCCATTCTCCTGCCTCAGCCTCCTGAGTAGCTGGGACTACAGGTGCCCGCCACCACGCCCGGCTAATTTTTTTTTGTATTTTTTAGTAGAGACGGGGTTTCACCGTGTTAGCCGGGATGGTCTCAATCTCCTGACCTCGTGATCCACCTGCCTCGGACTCCCAAAGTGCTAGGATTACAGGTGTGAGCCACCGTGCCCGGCCAAGACAGCAAGCTTCCTGAGGGCAGGGAGTGCGTCCTTCATCCCTGCATCCTCTATCCAATACAGTATCTGCAGGAGGGAGTGCTCAAAAAACATGTGTTGGAAACTTGAAGTTAGGGATAAATGATTCTCAGATGAACAATACAGGTAGTGGACAGGAGAAGAGAGGCCTGTGGATGAGAGGACAGGTGGACCAAGTGTGGCCTACACAAACTTTATGCCCTTGCTACTCAAACTATGATCCACAGACCAGCAGCATCGCATCGCCTGGGAGTCTGTTAGAAAAGTGGAGTAGCAGGCTGGGTGTGGTGGCTCACGCCTGTAATCCCAGTACTTTGGGAGACCGAGGTGGGCGGATCATGAGATCAAGAGATCAAGACCATCCTGGCCAACATGGTGAAACCCCATCTCTACTAAAAATACAAAAAAATCAGCTGGGTGCAGTAGTGCGTGCCTGTAGTCCCAACTACTTGGGAGGCTGAGGCAGGAGAATCACTTGAACCCGGGAGGCAGAGGCTGCAGTGAGCCGAGATCGTGCCAACTCACTCTAGCCTGGCGACAGAGCGAGACTCCATCTCAAAAAAAAAATAAAAATAAAAAATAAAGGAATGTGGAATCGCAGGCCCCACCACAGACCTACTTAATCAGCATCTCCAAGCTAACAAGATCCCTCGATGATTCCTGTGCGCCTTAATATTTGAAAAACACTGATACAGAGAAGATTTAAGTGGGAAACCCACTAACAAATGAGAAGAATCAGTTAGACTTAGGCAGCAAGAGTAATAAAAAGAAATTAAGAAACTGAAAGAAAAAGGGCTGGGCACGGTGGCTCACGCCTGTAATCCCAGCACTTTGGGAGGCCCAGGCAGGCTGATCACTTGAGGTCAGGAGCTCGAGACCAGCCTGGTCAATGTGGTGAAACCCTGTCTCTATTAAAAATACAAAAATTAGCCAGGTGTGGTGGCGTGCACCTGTAACCCCAGCTACCTGGGAGGCTGAGGCACGAAAATCGCCTGAACCTTGGAGGCAGAGGTTGCAGTGAGCCGAGATAGCGCCACTGCACTCCAGCCTGGGTGACAGAGTGAGATCCAGTCTCAAAAAAAAAGAAACTGAAAGGAAAAGGATTTACTTATGAGGCTGTTAAACCTGTGATGAAAGAACAGGCACTGGCTCTAGAGGTACTATCACAATCACTATTTCAAGTTTTTAAAAACGGAAAAATCCTTTTAAAAAATCCTAAAACTTTCCAATATATGCCTGATTTGTGTGCACCACTCAAACACATTGGAAAGAAGGAGAATAATCATTATGTATCAAGTCGCATCAACCCATAAACCAGAGAGAAATGCCTGTCAAATACCTGGACAGTGTGCTATTACACTCAGCATCATTACGTATGCTTCACTAGCCAAACAGCAGTGTGGTCCTAAAACACGAGCCATCCAATGAAACTACTTACAGAGATAGCCCCTGCTTTACCTCCATGGAACATTCCTAGAACCCACAACATGAAGCCAATATCATACCTTCCCATGGGAACTACACTGTAATTGAAGGGTTACATCCTGGCCAAAGGCACCAAATAAATCACAGCAATGGCGACACTGCACAAAATCTATGACACAGCTACAAATCCTCTAAATAACATAAAGTGATAAAATCAGGCTTCAACCCATAACATGGGAGTTTTATGTTGGAAGTAACCTTAATAGACCACAGGGTCTAAATTTCTCCTCCTCCAGGCCACGAAATGGAAACCCAGAGGGGTGCTTGCCCAAAGTCAAGGATCTGGTTAAACAGCTGAGCTAAGAAACAAACCTAGGCCTCCTACCAAGCAATCCCATGCACTATTAGACAAGCTTATCTTCTTTACAAAGTCCCTTAAAATAAAAAGCATGCATCATTATTGTATAAACTGTCTTCAAAATAAGACACACATAAAGCTCATAAAAATATAACTCTCCCTTTGACATATTTACCTGCAAACAATGTCAGTCATTAAAACATATATCTGTGTCCTTGATATTAGCAACTATTTTTCTTTTTGGCCTTTTTAAAATTTACAAAGTGTTGTGGGAGAAGACCTGGACTGCCAGCAGGGAGTAGCCCTCGCTTATGGCCTCAACCGACACACACAACTTAGCTGCTGCCCCTCCTTCTGCTGAGAGACCTAGGGCAGGTCCATCAGAGTCCTTGGGCTACATGCCCTGGAAGGGAACTCCTGAGAATGCAAAGCTCTGAGAATGGCAATCCAGAGCAGCCAGGGGCCAAATTCCCCACTAGACTTTGCAGCTAAGACAGGAAAAAAAAAAAAAAAAAAAACAGAAGTGAAACATGGGAAAGACAGAAAACCTAAAGTGAGACGTGCTGGTAAATCAGTTCTCAGCCAGGAGATTGGGTGATGACGACTTTTATTCTCTTTGTTCTTTTCTGAGTTACTTAATCTTCCTACAATAAACATGAATTTTCTAATGAGAAAACTATGTCATGAAGTAAGGGCAGGGCTGATAATCAAACAGAACATGCTCCCTTTATGGAAGGCTGAGGCCTCCTCTGATTAGGTAAAACCTTGGGTATCACCCTGAGTATGGGGTACAAAACAAAATACAACTTGCTATGTAATCTATCAGCCTGACTGCAGGAGTAAAGGTGAGATCTTTTCTGGGTGTGGCCTTGATTTGGAAATATTTTAATTTTCTTTTAACACTAACCGCAGACTTTTCTCCATAATCCCATCAATAATAATATGATAACGATCCATGAAAATTCAACTATAAAACTTGAGGCCAATTAGAAGCACACAACCTCCTGAGTGCTTCCCATTAGCACCCTCTTCAAAACAACTAGCCGACCAGCTCTGCAAATGTCAGCCTTTGCATTTTCTAAAGCCTCAATTCTTCTTCCTCAAAGACTTCCCCTTCTTTTTACCAAGTCTTACCTTCAGACTTATGCCACAGATTTAGTTTCCTCCTAAACAATGTAGTGCTATTTCCCTTCTGAATTTTAAGTTTTGGCTTATTATGCTTCTCTCTGGCCTCCATTCATTCCTAAAATGAATAGCTAGTCCCCTCTGCTAGCTTAAGGCAAACTGCCTAATCTCACGTCTTATAGAAGGAATTCCATTCAACACACAGCAGCCTAGAGGGATACTAGGAAATTCATACGTTTCACAAATACTTCCACTTAAAAGGCAACATACTTCTGGCAGTTTTAAATAACATGGCTTGCCAATGCCTGACATAACATTTGGGAATTATAGTCACAAGAAACTATATTTCAGATTTTATTCTAACATAAAATTCTAAGGGCACAAAAGTTAAAAATACAGGTAATCCTATGGCCTTAAACTATTTTTTTTAAGAACTAAGAAACACAGTACGTTGATGATTAGGTGAGCAAACCAAGCCACAAAAACCTACTCATCCTTAAGTCCTATAAAGTCTAACTACCATGTATCAGAGTGGACTAAGGGAAAACCCAAGCTCTGTAGCCCAGGCAAAGGCAATGGGGATTTCCTCTGCCTGGTCTAGATCACCCAGTGTAACTCAAGGCAGGGCTTCAAGCAACCCATTGCTCAAAGTAGTCTGTGGGCAGTGATAGTGGGAGGATGGGGAGGCCCTCCAGGAAGGGGACTTCACAAAGGATGGGGATGGGGAGGTGAGGTGAGAAATGAAATGGGCTGTGGCACACGATGAGATATGGGAATGACCACCTTCTGGGCAGGCTCTCATTCTTTCATTCCAAGAAGCATTTATTAAAGACTGGCTAGGGCGAGGGAACCCAGCTAGGTGCTGGGGATAAAAAATAAGAAATAACTGAAGGACCTTGCTCTTAAGGAACTCCATCTTACTGGGTGGAGCCAAACGAGAAGAGAGAGCTCGGTAGGGCACCAAAGCGTTCTGGCAGAAATAGCATGAGGCAGGGGGAAGGGTCACGCTTCCTGGAAGAGCCACACAGACCGAGTCCCAGGGAGCCCAGAGGGCGGTCCCTCTGCCCGCAGCACTGCCTTCACGTTTACTTCCATCCCGGTCTCCTCCTTCCCCTAGTGCTTGGCATGCAACATCCCTGCTTCTCACCCACCTTTTATTTAAGTCTCCTATTATCTGCACACAATGGAAGTTAGGACACCTATTTCCTACCAACTTATGAACTTAGAAAGTTGACATTAAAAGGGCACAAAACAGGAACTCAAAACCCACAAGCTCAAGCTTCAAAGGTGAGAACGTCCCATTTCACAAATGGCGGTTGAGGGTTCCCACTTCACCACTCCACGTTTCTCCTCCGGCTCCTTCACCACAGCCTCACAGACCCACACTTGATTTCTCACTCTCTTGAAAATTTACATTCAACAGTTCCTCTCACACCCAAGAAAACCAGAGGTCCCAGGGCAGCACGTGTAAGATTTCACTCTAAACGATTCTGCTTTAAGTTGCAGGCTCAGTAGAAGCACATACACCAAAATAACAAAAGTTATGTTGGGTAGGGGAATAATGTAATCTTTTTATTCTTCTGTATACTGTTGAAAAACTGTAAAATAAACATGCACTTCTTGTGTAATAACAACATGATGTTAACAAAAAAAAAAAAAAAACACAGAAAACACATGCAACAACATGGATAAATCTTGAAGACATTACGCTAAATGAAAGAAGCCAATCCTAAAAAGACAAGTAACGTATGATTCTCCCTCCTATGAAGCACGCAGAGTAGTCAAATCCACAGAGACGGAAGTAAAAGGGTGGGTGCTACGGGCTTGAGCGGGAGGGAGGAATGAGGAGTTATTGTTCAATGGGCACAGTTTCAGTTCTACAAGATGAAAAGATTTCTGGAGACGGATGGTGGCGATAGTTGCTCTGTAACATGGGTATACTTAACGCCACTCAACTGTACACTTAAAAATGGTCAAAATGGTAAATTTAATGTTACGTCTATTGTACCCCAATTTAAAAAATAACTAAGTAAAAAGAACAGTTTTCAGGAATGTATTTGGTGCAAAATAAGGTCTATCTGTATTTAACAGCACGTGTCCTTTCCTATAGCAATGTACAATGGTTCTAGTGATTATAATGTAGACTCACTTCCTAGCTAGAACATCAAGAGGAGACACGCATTTGAAACGGTCCTGCCTGGAAGGCCACGGCCCAGACTTTTCCCTGGAGCAATAACCACCCCGCCCCTTCTCAATGATATCAGCACCATTATCCCTGACAGCCGCCACAGCCACCACCCTGATGGTGCTGAATCCCTAATGGTTATTCACATTACCTCCATCCTCACAAGCCTAGAAGAGTCAGTATCATCCCCATTCTACACATGCAGAAACAAGGCCCCAGATCACAGAGCCGGAAAGTGGCTCAAGTTAATGTGTGGGCAGTGCTACTCCCCAGTGGATACTCCCTACAACCACTTCCCCTCCCCAAAATCACACACACAAAGAACTGGCTTCCCAGGGAGGACTGCAAGTCACTTCACCTACTCATTCCTTTAATGCAGACACACTGAACAGCTGCTCTATAAATTCCAGGAAGTAAAGGATCCAAAGACGTTGATTGAAAAAGCAGAAGCTACAATTACCCCTGGGAAAGGGTCCCCAGTCCTTCCCATTAACTAATTCTAAACACGACGTACTTTAAGTCGTGCTCCAATTCTTCACAGTTAATTATTAATCACTTCCAATCATGAATCTCTAGCACACCCATTTATGTCACAGAAATAACTGCTCCTCACTAAACCCGCTCAGTTATTAAGGAAAGAAGAAGAGACAGGGCACAGAGATAGCCCTTGCTAATCTCTCATCAGCGCTTTTCAAACTTTGCCCCCAAATTACTGACAGAGGAGAACGATCTGCACTGGAGACCTAGGGCCTTCCCAGTTTCCTGCCCAAAGTGTGAAAAATATTGAGGACTAGTCATCTATTTTTAAGATGTATGCAAACTGAGCACTCTCTTCCAGCTTTTGAGTTTTTATTTATGTATTTATCTATCAGAGACAGGATCTCACTCTGTTGCCCAGGCTGGAGAGCAATGGTGTGATCATGTCTCACTGCAGCCTTGACCTCCAGTGATCAGCTATCCTCCTGCCTCAGCCTCCAAGTAGCTGGAACCACGGACGAGTGCCACTACACCCAGCTAATTTTTTTAATCTTTTTTTTTCTTTTTTAACGCAGAGGTGGGGTCTCCCTATGTTGCCTAGGCTGGTCTCAAACTCCTGGGCTCAAGCAATCCTCTCACCTCAGCCTCCCAAAGTGCTGCGATAACAACAGGCGTGAGCCACCGTGCCTGGCAGAGTTTATTTTAATATAAAAATCTTCCTTCCAAATCTTAAGTAAAACTGGCACCAAGAAAGATGGACCGTGTTTGTTCAAAGCCTTAAGAGATCCCCTGACCCCCAAAGTCAGTGCAGATATGGAAGCAAGTCTACACAGACCTTCCCCAGGCAAATTTCTGGTTCTTCCACTGAGCAACTGGCTATTGTGTATATCATTCACTTGGCATTTAGGATGTACTGGGCTTTACCCTGGCAGTTTTGTTTTCATGTGTATTAATGTGTGAACTCCCTGTGGTCAAGGACTAGTAAACTTCCCTATTCATCCACAGTATCTAATCCCGTTTCTTGCACATAACTGACACTTGATATAGCAGGTTCTTCAGAGTCCTCCTGTGTAAAAGCCACAAGCCATCTTCCTAGAAATGCAGAGTGAATTTCTGTCTTACAGCCTAGCTTGACCCTCAAGCCTGTGGGGCTCATTTTTCCTTCATTTCTGTCTCTGAAATTGGTCCAATTATCTATGTACTAAATGCATGTCTCTGCTTTACAATTAGATTTGCCTGTTGTTTCCTTCCTATGTAAACCCAATTATTAAAGTTTAAGATTGCTTGGTCATTCTCCACATTCTATATGTGATGGCAAATAGAGTCAGACAGGTAAGAATGTGCAAACTACTGTAGCAGCTCAAAGCATCTCCATCCCTTTATCCCAGCTCTTCCCCTAACACACTTATGGTGTTAATGTCACCTAAAGTTTGAGTAACACTTCTTCACAAAATCTGTAGCAAGAAAGTGAAAGATTCGTCCATCTGGATTTGGGTATAAAGTCTTCAACTTCAAAAACAACTACTATGCCACTAAATAATTTTCAGCAGTTTCCATGAAAAGCTTGGCCCCAAGCTGCAACACAGAAAGATAATATTTACACATGACATCAGAACAACTGCTGAAATTCCAGAGAACTTTCCCTACCAAATCTCTAAGTAAAGAACAGAAAGTACCCCACACAGCCTACACCCCCTAGCTCACCAGCAGGTCTACAATGCTCATAAGACTTCTCATGTCCCCTAAGGCTGTTTGGTCTTATCACCAATTTGACAAATCCTTTACATGTGGAATTTTCCCCCCAGGAAGGTGGGGAGAAAAAGTATTACACATAAAGACTACAAACTGATCACAGCAAATGTAAGAATGGTGGTCAAAAGTTTAAGATACAGCAAGGAAACCCCAGGTTAAGGTCTCTTGATGTCTTCACCACCCCACCGACTAGAATTCTTATCAATGCCTGCACTGACATGGAGTAAACAGAAAAGGGCAGGCACCGTTAGGATAGAACCAGGAAATCAGCACGTGTCCCCCGGAGTCACAAGTGCAATGAAAGGGCTGAAAGTCAGTTTCGATATCACCGAAGGAGAAAACAGAGCCTGAGCACCAAGTCGGGCTATTGATTTTTACAGTAAACTCGTACCAACATATACGAGAGCCTATCATTATTTCTGAAACTGTCACACATGATTTCAGTCAATAGGAAATTTCTCAGTAATTGGCCTGATGTTCCCATCGCTTCTATGATGCTTAAGAGTATCACTATTCTATATCCCTTCCCTGTAGCACCAAACACATCACACTTGTTACGTACATTTTTCTCTCCAGTGATTTTGTGCTGAGACCAAAAAATTGAATGTATTCACTATGTTTTCAAGCTTTTCTATTCCATTAACAGTTTCTCAAGTATGATGTCTGCATCTTATTTTCATAGGCCTCAATACTAGGTTCAGCCTCTTCTGATTCTTTTTTCTCTCTGGACCTGCTCTCGTGTGTTCCCTTCTACCCCTGGTGGACACAGCTTTCTATTATAGCAAAAACACTGTCTTTCGAAATGCGCAGCAGCATCCCACAAGAAGTGCTCGGGAAATGAGGAGGAGTTTTTAATGTGCAAGTGTTCAGTCCTACAATCACAGTGCACAGCATGCTTGGTTCCAAGGACTGTGTGAGAACGCAAGCACCTGCTGACTGACCTCGGCCTCAATTCTAAACAGGAACCTGGCTGGAATCAAGCCCGGCATGTTCACTCCCATTGTCAGGTCTCAGCTCTCACTAAAAGCAAGTTGGAAATTTTCTGTCTGTTCAACAAAAAGGTTACTGTTTTTTTTTTCACCCCATTATAAAACACACACTCATCGTAAGTTCAAGGAATAAAGAAAACTAGTAAATATATCACCCACCACTCAAATTGGGCAAATTTTCAAGCCAAAAAAACAGGGTCCAAAAGATTCTTACTCAGTCTAAAGGCTTTAAACAAGGTGAACCAAAGAGTTAGGAGAGAGGCTATTTGGGTGCCTACTACCACCATTGGGTTATCCAGAAAATCAAGTGTGTACTAAAATAGGTATTTCATCTTGTTAATAAGGTTTGGGAACACATGACTGCATATACACAGACACTGCACACAAGATTAATCATAACCATTTTCCAAGAGTCTTTCTTTCACTGCTACCATAGTTTTCAGGAGCCCACTCACTGGTAACCAAGCTTCCTTGAACAAAAGGCTCCTGACCTAAACATTAAGAGCGCTAAGGAGCAATATACTCAGTGGGTTCCATTCAATTCAGCATTACATTCGACACCTAATGTCCCAGGCAGGGCAGATCCAGGTTTTATGGAGCTCTGAAACTTATGTGAGAGGGCAAAGTGGAGTATTTTAAAGGAAAAAAAAATACACACTATATATTACTTCTGAAGACTTAATAAAAAACACAGTCATGTAAAAACATTCCTAGGAACCCGCCCAGGGCCTTGTAAAGGACCCGTGCAAGGGAGGATGAGAGAACATGTCTGTGCCTGTGCAGTTGAGGGAAGAGGTGGGAAATGCTTCCTAGATTAAGGGATGTCCCAGCAGAGGTCTGGAGGCGGCACAGGAAGTGATCTCCAGGCATAGCAAATAAGTCCAATGGTGGAAACAAAGGAAACTTCAACCAACTTCATCTTCATAAGTACATGCAAACTAAAAGAAGTATATAATACCAATTTGGACCTCTTAGATTAAAATTTAAAAGATGAGCTGGCCAGGCGTGGTGGCTCACGCCTGTAATCCCAGCACTCCGGGAGGCCGAGGTGGGTGGATCATGAGGTCAGGAGTTTGAGACCAGCCTGGCCAACACGGTGAAACCCCATCTCTACTAAAAATACAAAAATTAGCCAGGCATGGTGGCGCGCACCTGTAATCCCAGCTACTCAGGAGCCTGAGGCAGGAGAATCGTTGGAACCCGGGATGCGGAGGTTGCAGTGAGCCAAGATCGCCCCCACTGCACTCCAGCCTAAGTGACGGAGCAAGACTCCGTCTCAAAAGAATAATAATAATAAATAAATAAAATTTAAAAGATGAACAAAAAGTACTGGTACCTAGTGCTGGGAGGCTCGTAAGAAACTGACAATCTCAAGACATTAGCATAAGGGTATAACTGAAACAACCTTTCTGGAGGGCAAGTACAGAATATTTTTCAAAGGCCTTGAAGCATGCCCACTTTTTGACCCAGCAATTCCAGTTCTAGTAATGTATCCTAAAGAAATGATTGCACAAGCATTCAAATGTAGATATAGCCTGGTGGGGTTTTCTTTCCTTTTAAATAAACTTCACGTATAAAGAATTCGATTTTAGGGCTAGGCACAGTGGCTCACATCTGTAATCCCAGCACTTTGGGAGGCTGAGGCAGGTGAATTGTTTGAGCCCAGGATTTCAAGACGAGCCTGGGTAATATGGCGAAACCCTGTCTCTAAAAAATATATAACAATTAGCCCGGCACAGTGGTGCATGCCTCTAGTTTCAGCTACTTGGGAGGCTGAGGTGGGAGGATCGCTTGAGCCTGGGAGGTGGAAGCTGCAGTGAGCCAAGATCTTGCCACTGCAATCCAGCCTGGGTGAAAAAACAAAGAATTAGATTTTAAAATTATAGAACATTCATATAATGAACTATAAGGCAGTCAGTAAAACTGATGTACTTAGATATAGACATGGGAAGATTATTAAGTTTAAAAAGCAACTTACAAAATTGTCATTTAATCTCATTTAAAAATATATAAAAATAACATACCATTTATAGTACATGACTCAAAAATAAAAATACAATTAATCTAACGTAAAAATGGGCAAAGGATTTGAGCTGAGACCAGTGGCTCACGTCTATAATCCCAACGCTGTGTGAGGTCAAGATGGGAGGATCACTTGAGATCAGCCTGGGCAACACAGTGAGACCCTATCTTTAAAAAAAAAAAAAAATGGGCAGAGGATTTGAACAGACATTTCTCCAAAGAATATATACAAATGGTCAATGAGCACATAGAAAAGAGGCTCAACATGATTAGAAAAATGCAAATCAAAACAATGATACCACATCGCACCCTCTAGAAGGGCTATAATAAACTCATCTATTAACTGTTGGTTGGTGAGAATGTAGAAAAATTGCAACTATCATACTTTACCTGTAGAAAAGTCATGTATGAAAAGTAAGGTATGGTACAACTACTTTGGAAAACAATTTGGCAGTTCCTCAAAATGGAACACATAAAGTTACCATATAAACCAGCAATACCACTCGTAGATATATAACCAATAGAATTGAAAACATACGTCCACACAAACACTTGCACACAAATGTTCACAGCATTATTCATAATAGCCAATAATTGGAAACAATCCAAATGTACAAATGATGAATAAAATGTGATCTATCTATACAATGGAATATTGTTTGGCAGCAGAAAGGAATAAAGTATTGTTACATGCCATGTGGTAAACCCCGAAAACATTAAGCTAAATAGAAGTCAGTCAAAAAAGGCCACATGCTACATGATTCTATTTATATGAAATATTCAGAACAGGCAAATTTATAGAGACAGAAAGTAGATTAGAGGTTGTCAGGGGAATGGAGTGGTGGCCAGGGGCAGGAAGTGACTGCTTGATGGGAGTGGTGTTTTCTAATAAGTTGATGAAAATTTCTGAAATTCGATAGCAGTGATAGTTGCAAAACTATGAATATATTAAAAACCACTGAATTGTATGCTTTAAAAGGGTGAAGTAGGCTGAGCACGGTGGCTAATGCCTGCAATCCCAGCACTTCGGGAGGCCGAGGCAGGTGGATCACCTGAGGTCGGGAGTTCGAGACCAGCCTGGCCAACATGGGGAGACCCCTGTCTCTACTAAAAATACAAAATAAGCCGAGTGTGGTGGCAGGCGCCTATAATCCCAGCTATCCGGGAGGCCGAGGCAGAGAATTGCTTGAACCCAGGAGGCGGAAGTTGCAGTGAGCCACGATTGCGTCACCACACTCCAGCCTGGGGGACAGAGCGAGACTCCATCTCAAAAAAAAAAGAAAAGAAAAAAACAGGGTGAAGTAATGTGAATGTGGGATTCTATGAAGTGTAAATTCTATCTCAATAAAGCTGTTATTTTTTATTTTTCTTCTTTATATTTTATAGTATTTTCTTTACAAAAAAATTTTTAACAGGCATTACACTTACCAGCTAGACAAGCTTGAATGAGTACTAACTTTGGTTTCCTATTATAAAATGGGGCTACTAATGATACCTATCTTAATGGTACCTAGTTCATAGTTTTATTGGAATGATTAAATGAGATGCCATTTGTAGAGGGCTTTAAAGAGAATCTAGGACAAAGTAAGCCCTCAATAATCAGCTATTGTAACTTTTATAATAGAAGTGGCTATTTCCACTTTGAAAACCAAAACATGCCCTCCTATTTACATCACCATGCATTGTTGACTCATTTCTCATCATTTAAAAAGCAATTCTCTACTCAGCCGAGACAAATGCCAAGTGAAAAGCAATTGAGATCCAAGAGAAACATGGGCAATAATTCACGATAGCCTCTGGTCCTGCTACAGAGCATGTGCATTGTGTAGACCTCACACAATGATCTTTATGTGAACTGCACCACTAAGCCTTCTCAACAATCCTCTAGAAAAGGTACCATTAGTCTTGTTTTACAGAGGAGAAAATCAAAGCTGCAAAGATTAATTGGCTACGGTCACCCAGGGCAAGAGGGTGAGCCAGAATTCAAACCAAGGTTTATGATTCCAAAGCTGTGCTATGCAGTATCTGAGGGAAACTGGTACCTCAAAAGAAAGCTACTCAAAGGAATCCACTTAAAATCCACAATTATGAGACAGAGAAAAAAAATGAGACTTATCTGAGATTTTCCTAAAAAATGTTATGAAAATAAGTGTTTCATATTTAATCAATTTTGTTATAATCCCAACCATGACCTAAGTCTCAGCATGACAAAGAATGAGTCAAGAGTCAAGAATTTTTAGTGTAATTCTTGACAAAATTGTAGCATGATAATGACATAGAGAGGGTCATAAAGAGGTGATTTTTGCTAAAACATCTGAGAACCACATTAATTTACACAAGGCCATCTTTTAATGTTTTGACATTTAAACCATCCTCTTTTGAAGCATCAAACACATTATCCTTGTCAATTGCCAACACAAAGACACTGGCTACAGACCAGATGGGAAATGGGAGCAACAAAAGCCAGTTTTAAGCAGGAAGACATGTTCGAATGGAGAGCAATTTTATTAGTATTACATTTATTATTAAATATTTTCATGCTATGACAGCTTCTGCAGCTCTGTGCAACCTCAGAACTGGAACTCAAAGAGTAAGTAAGAAAACAAGAACACCTATGCTGCCTGATACCTAAAGTGCTCAAAAATTTGAAAAGAAAACTGAACCCCTTCTGCCCCAGTTCAGTCTTCAGTTTACTCATTTGATAAATGTCTTTTGGTTCTATCTCTTCAAAACTGTCCAAAATAAATCAGAATAGAGCTCCTATCCTACTGAGTAGAGAACCTGAGCCAACACAAATAAGCTTCTTACATAGTCAAGCCTCACAGTTTTCTCTGGTAAGTATATATTAATAAATGTGCTCTGGCGAAGGCAACAAAAAAGGCAAACGCCAAACTTTATTTTTCCATTAGGCCAGCATGACAGTAAATTCAAACAGCCTGCTAGAACAGAACCAGATTAGACCACAGAATACCCTGACCCCCTACCTCCAGAGCTCTACTGACTGCCTTATGCCTCCCCAACCTCTCTAGACGCCTTGATAACTAAAACCAGCAGATGAAAAAAGAAAATTAATAAAAGATGAAGGGTATAGTACCTGGGCATGACAGACTGGTGATTTAAAACTTCATTAATGGCTACTGATCATGCAGATAGCCTGCACATGTAAAATAACACCTTAAAAAATAAAGGGCTGGGCACGGTGGCTCATGCCTGTAATCCCAGTACTTTGGGAGGCTGAGGTCGGCGGATCACGAGGTCAAGAGATCGAGACCATCTTGGCCAACATGGTGAAACCCCATCTCTACTAAAACACAAAAAATTAGCTGAGCTTGGTGGCTCGAGCCTGTAGTCCCAGCTACTCAGGAGACTGAGGCAGGAGAATCACTTGAATCCAGGAGGCGGAGGTTTCAGTGAGCTGAGATTGAGCCACTGCATTCCAGCCTGGCGACAGAGCAAGACTCTGTCTCAAAAGATAAAGGATGAAAGCAGAAGACATCTAGATGTCAGGAATGGCATGAAGAAAGGCTCAGGGATGAGGAGAGGGCCTGTAAAAGTGATCTTAGAAAGAGTGTATTTTGGATGTCATATTAAAGTTTGGCAAGTATTCTTTTCTGTTAAAATGTTGCTATGACTTAAAAATATCCAATCAGTTCATCTTTCCAGGAATTTTAAGTAGGGGAAAAAATAAATAAATGCTTACTGTCCTCCTCATTACTTCTGCCCCCATGATAGCCTTTGCCCACAGTTCTTCACATCTTTGTTTGCATAACCCCAGAAAGAGACCTGGAGAAACTATAGACTCTTTCACACATTTTTAAGGTTAATATTCAAATTTTCACACTGTAATTTTAAACGGTTGCAAAGAATATAATTTCTGGCATGTTATAAATACTGAGTTTTAAATAAAACCATTACATCTCTTAAACGTATCCATTCTGACCTAAATGCCATAGCCATCCCCACAACCGATATCCATTTTAAAAAAATAAATGAACAAACTCTTTCAAAAGAGTTGGAAACAGTACATCATTTCCCTTTCTCCTCGATCTCAACTTTCCATTCCACCTCCTCCACAGTATTCCATCTTGTTAAAGTTTGAAAGTCTATTCTACGCTGCAACAAAAATTCTGCAAATAAAATTTGTGTATTTAACCATAAAAATCAGTATTAAATGTTTATTTTAAATGGAGTTAAATACAATTTTAAAGGCAAAATTGCTCAAAAGAAACTATAAAGTTATTCAATATAAATAACATTTTATTGGAAACGAGTATCTTAATGAGACAGATGGAACTTTTTCTCCAATCAGGTCAGTCTCTGTAGAAGACTATTACTTATTACTGGAATGAGACAAGATTCAGCACAAAATCTATTATTTTGTTTAGTTCTTATAGATGTAGGCACTGAGAAAATGTGTTCATATACATATATAGATGGAAAAAGGTTTTGTATTTTTTCAGTAGGGAAAGGAAGAACTTTTCAGTTCAGGTATACATGTGCAGGTTTGTTATATAGGGAGACTCGTGTCATGGGGGTTCGATATACAGATTATTTCATCACCCAGCTACTAAGCTTAGTACTCAGTTATTTTTCCTGATACTCTCCCTCCTCGCACCCTCCACCTTCAGTTAGGCCCCATTCCTGTTGTTCTACCCTATGTTTCCACGTGTTATTATTCAGCTCCCACTTACAAGTGAGAACATGTGGTATTTGGTTTTCTGTTCTGTTAGTTTGCTAAGGATAATGGCCTCCAGCTCCATTCACGTTCCCGCAAAGGACATGATCTCATTCTTTTTGATGGCTGTGTAGTATTCCACGGTGTATATGTACCACATTTTCTTTAGGCAGTCTACCATTGATGAGCATTTAGGTTGATTCCATGTCTCTGCTACTGTGAATAGTGCTACAATGAACATACAAGTGCATGTGTCTTTATGATAGAACAACTTATATTTCTTTGAGTATATACCCAGTAATGGGATTGCTGAGTCGAATGGTAGTTCTGGTTTTAGTTCTTCGAGAAATCACCACACTGCTTTCCACAGTGGTTGAACTAAGTTACACTCCTACCAACCGTGTATAAGCATTCCTTGGAAAAAGGTCTTTTTGAACAAAAGTAATATGTATCCATGGGCTTACTATTTAATAATCTATCAGCTGACCACTTGATTAAGTCATCTTTCCGGTTTTTTTCTTTTCTTGTTTTTTTTTTTGAGACAGGGTCTCACTACATTGTCCAGGCTGGAGTACACTGGCATGATCATGGCTCACTGCAGCCTCAAACTCCCTAAGCTCAGGCAATCCTCCCACACTTCAGTGCCCTCCAAGTAGCTGGAACTACAGGCACGTGCCACCGCGTCCAGCTAATTTTGTTTTGTTTTGTTTGTAAAAATGAGGATTTGACATGTTGCCCAGGCTGGTCTTGAACTCCTGGGCTCAACTGATCTGCCTGCCCCAGCCTTCCAAAGCGCTTGGATTACAGGCATGAGCCACCCTGCCCAATTTTACTGAATGCAAAAATGGGAAACATTTGCAAAAGGTTCCTTTGCCCAGTCATTAGAGTCACTCACTTTCCCAGCAGCCCCAGCAGTATTTTAATTATCCCCCTACTTGGCACTCTGATAAGGGGTAGGTGAAAGGTATGTCTTCCCTTTAAAGAATGGTAATCATGAAAGAGAAGGTGTGAAAGGAAAACCAGCAGGTCACCTGGGCCATAGGCATTTTCTCAGGACGGTCAGTGTTAGAACTGATTAACACTCAAGATCTAAGAATCGGCAATTAATTTCCTTTAAATATTCAATGCCTGCATGTCCCTTGAAACATCTTCAAGTGCCTCCAAGTGTGCATCCTCTGGTTTAAATCCCACTACTCTAAGTCACCAGCATGGACAGACCTTGAGTTCTGGGGCAGATGGAGATGATAGGGAAGCATACCAAAAAAAAAATCATTTTTTAAACTATCCAAAGGCTGATACTAATTTGGGCTATTTCATACACAGATTCTTTCATAAATGAGAGTCAGGTATCAAAATTTTAATACAAAACAAGTGCTTCTATACACTTTCACTCGATCAGATGGGCTTTTAAAATGAAAAGGTAGCATTCTACAAAATGAACTTTGTAGTTCCTTTCCTGACAGATCATATTTCATGTAGCAAAATCAACACAAGGGCACCATAAAAGCAGCTGCCATCCTACTACAAAAGCAATCCCGACGCAGCGATTTCCAACTCTGTCCATATCCTGATCCAGTTACTTTAGGGTGGGGCCAATATAATCAGTAGCTTTTTTAAAGAACTCCCCAGGGATTCTAAAGTGTGGGTCAGGGTTAAGAATCACGGAATTAATATGAAAGTATTAAAATGAGGTGTTTGGGAGTTTTTGGAGACAGAGTCTCGCTCTGTCGCCCAGGCTGGAGTGCAGTGGTACGATCTCAGCTCACTGTCTCCCAGGTTCAAGCAATTCTCGTTCCTCCTCCTCAGGAGTAGCTGGGACTACAGGCATGTGCCATCATACCTGGCTGATTTTGGTATTTTTAGTAGAGAAGGGTTTCACCATGTTGGCCAGTCTGGTCTCAAACTCCTGGTCTAAAGTGATCTGCCCACTTCGGCCTCCTAAAGTGCTGGGATTACAGGCTTGAGCCACCACACCCAGCCAAAATGATAGTTTTTATTGTAGAAGGGTAATGGATGTTTCTAATTTGTAGATTTTTCTTTTTCTTTCTTTTTTTTTTTTGAGACAGGGTCTAGCTCTTGTCACCCAGGTTAGAGTGCGGTGGCAGGATCATGGCTCACTGCAACCTCCACCTCCCAGGCTCAAGTGATCCTCCCACCTCAGCCTCCCAGAGTAGCTGGGACTACAGGTGCATGCCACCACCATGCCCAGTTAATTTTTGTTTTTTTTGTTGTTGTTGTTTTTAGTAGAGACAGGGTTTCACCATGTTGCCCAGGCTGGTCTTGAGCTCCTGGCCTCAAGTGATCCCCCTGCCTCAATCTCCCAAAGTGCTGGGATAACAGGTATGAGCCACCACACCCGGCCCTCTTTTTAAGATGTGTTATTTACAATTAAAAAGCATCATAGGTTATATAGTTCTATGCAAATAAAAATGTACCATTTGTTTAACTTACTTAAGTTAAGCCATTTAAAGAAAAACACTAGGCTGGGCGTGGTGGCTCATGCCTGTAATCCTAGAATTTTGGGAGGCCAAGGCGGGAAGATCACTTGAGCTCAGGAGTTTGAGACCAACCTGGGCAAGATAGTGAGACCCCTTCTCTATGAAAAATAAAAAATTAGCAGGGCGTGGTGATATGTGCCTGTAGTCCCAGCTCCTTGGGGAGCTAAGTTGGGAGGATCGCTTGATCCCAGGAGGTTGAGGCCACTACACTCCAGCCTGGGTGTCCGAGCTAAAAAAAAAAAAAAAAATTAAAAAAAAACATTAAATCACATCTCTCAATTCAAGGAATTCGATGAGATACATCATTCATCAATTTTTACTGGGAGTCTATTTAGTGGAAAACATTATCAACGATACAGATGTGAGAATAAAGGGTTAAATGAGAAACTACTTAAGGAACCTAGCACATTGCCTGGCACCCAGCAGGTGCTCAGTAATTGTGTTTTTAAAGTTCTGAACTTAGGATTCAGATGGAATATCGACATAATTTTCTTACTCAACAATTCCAGTCTTCATGGTTTCCGTTCATTTTACTTACTGTGACTTCTCAGGTTAGAAAAAGTAACATCTCATATGGACACCACAATATTTTTGGTCATCCTGGCTCAAACTTTAGAGCAATCTTTTTTAAGACTATAAAAATATTATACGCATGCAGTAAACACAACATAGAGTTGGGTATAAATTAAAAAGTCTATCTGCCTTCCTATTATTCACATACACCCAAATATCCAATACCCATTCCTATGTTACACCCAAATCCATTCCCCAGAGGTAATGCTAAATGACTTTTTCCCTGATTCAGTTCCTTAGTCCTAACATCATTAAATATGATTCATTCCCTCTTTTACATTCTCCTCAAATCAATTCCTATTTTACTAAACCCATCCTAATTCAGGCCTTCACATTCTAATCAGTCTCCTTGCCTCCAGTCTTTCCTCCACACAACTCACCCACGAAATGTGTCAGCGTTCTTAGCTGCCAACTACAGAATCCATTCTATGTGTTTCAAAGTCATTTACTGCAGCAGAGGATGGTGATACCCAGCCCTAGGATCTGGGCTGAATCCCACTGTAGAACCGGTCTGGTAAGGGAGCAGCTGCCAACATGGCCACTAGATGCACCCCAGCTGTATTACGATGAGGAAGCTGCCTCTGAAATCACCCACACCACATAAGCGTTCCCTGGTTTTTTGTTTGTTTGTTTTTTTGTTTTGCATCTCACTCCTGAATCCAAGTCTTGCTACAAGATCTCACTCAAATGGGAGAAACTTAAGTCAAAAGTCTGCATCCTAACAGCAAGAGAATCTGGGTAATACGGTTTGATAGGTTCTTACGTTTTTGTTTTGTTTTGTATTCTCTTTTGGGACATGAGGACTCACAATGTGGAGAATAATACAAATGTGAACACGATGTTCCAGACTCTTGGAAGCCATAAGGTAACAGAAGTCCACAGCAATGAGAAGAAACTCATCTTCCTAACTTACCACTGTAAACACAGTCTTCTACTAGAGAAAAAGCAAGCATGGGGGACGTGGAGATGTGCCACGCAGATCCCACTTCAAGGACCCCACTGCCTTAGTTGGAGACAGCCTCTAGCAGTTAGTCCTTCAGGGTTTGCCTCGGCTACTAACAGCCACCCGCCCAAAACACACCCTCCAAAGGACAGTTCACATCCAGAGACTGATGAAGACAGGCAGATAAAAACAAGCCTGGCCATTTCAACCCAACACTGGATAGCTCTGATGGGCCATAAACACTCCAAAGCTTCCCGTGGTGTTGTTCAAGGCTCTGCAGGCCTATACTGCAGTTTGACTTCTCGCTCTGCCCAACTCTGCTTCTGCCCCCTCCCTTCCACAGGTGTTAATCCTTAAAAAATGTGCATTCCTGTACACCAAACTGTCTCAGTATCCACTTCTAAAGAACCCAAACTGTGCCAGCAAACCACCTTCAAGAGTTTTCAGCTATGGTTACAGGGGAGGTTTTTATTCCCCACTCTGGTCTCCTCTTCTGTGTTAGTCTCAGATCTGTAAATAAAGTAGTAAATACTCTTTTTTTCTTTCTTCTTTTTTTTTTTTTTTTTTGGATACAGAGTCTCACTCTGTCACCCAGGCTGGAGTGCAATGGCGCAATCTCGGCTCACTGCAACCTCTGCCTCCTGGATTCAAGCGATTCTCCTGCCTCAGCCTCCTGAGTAGCTGGGATTACAAGCATGTGCCACCAGGCCTGGCTAATTTTTTGTATTTTTAGTAGAGATGAGGTTTCACCATGTTGGCCAGACTGATCTTGAACTCCTGACCTCAGATGAGTCCCCCCCTTGGCCTCTCAAAGCGCTGGGATTACAGGCATGAGCCACCGCACCCGGCGTAAATACTTAGTATCAGTCATTTTGCTGAAATTTACTCATTTTTTGGTTGAATGAAGCAGTTCACCCTCTAACAGTAAGGGCTTAAAGTACAGAATTCCCTGAGTCACTGTGTAAACTGTTTCTCTATTCTTGATACCTGAAGGACAGCCTGGCTGGGATAAAATCCTTGGCTGTCACTCCCTAAAATCTTTTCAAAATGCTGCTCCATTGTTACCTTGCTTTGTACATCATTTTGAGAAATGTGATGACAGTCAAATTATTTTGTCCCCGTAAACCATACGATCTTTTTTTGCAAGGAATCCTTGAGAAATTTTTTCTCTTTATCTTTGAAATCTAATAGAATGTATCTCAGAGTTTATAATTCTGGGTTACTTTTCCCAGGTATCACCTGGTGGGCTCTTCCAATATGTAGATTCAGGTCATCTTTTGTTTTAGAGCCTTTTCTTGGATTTTAAATATTAGTTCGACTCTACTATTGTTTTTCACCTTCACAGCGCAATTATACCTAAGTTAGTTCTACTTCAAATACTTCCCTCTGATCTTTTTTACTACATGAAAAAGTTGTAATTTCAAAGACAAGAATTCAAGCTATCAAGATCTGGTACGAAATATCTGAGACACATGCTGGACACACAAAACAAGCCCCCTGCTCTGGCCAGGCAGCCTCCTCACCACACCCTGGGCACACTCTTACTCATTCCAACTTGATGTCTCCAGTTCCTCTCAAGCCTTTTCCTGCTATTTCACAAGTCCCTCTCTCACCATTCTGGCCCCAAATTAGCTCTCTTTTTCTGAATTTGTATGATTTCGCTGCTCAACTCATTTAGGGGTATAAGATATTTTAGCTGGGAAATAAAATTATAGTACTGTCTCATACCAGTAATGTGTCATGAGCTTTGAACTTACCTCTAAACACAATGACAACCTGAATACCAGGAACCATGACCTACATTTTGCTTTTCCCCTTCAGGACATGTTATGGGCTGAATTATGTTTCTTACAAAATTCCTATCTGCAAGTCCTCATCCCATTTATCAGAATGTGACTATATTTGGAGATAAGATCTTCAAAGAGGTAAAGAAATTAAAATGAGGTCATCAAAGTGGACTCCAATCCAGTATGACTGGCATCCCTGTAAGAAATGGCAAGTTGAGGGCTGGGCAAGGTGGCTCACACCTGCAATCCCAGCACTTTGGGAGGTTGAAGCGGGTGGATCACGAGGTCAGGAGTTTGAGACCAGCCTGGCCAATATGGTGAAACCCCATCTCCATTAAAAAATACAAAAATTACCGGGGTGTGGTGGTGCGTGCCTGTAGTCCCAGCTACTCGAGAGGCTGAGGCAGGAGAATCACTTGAACCCGGAAGGCAGAGGTTGCAGTGAGCCGAGATTGTGCTGTTGCACTCCAGCCTGGGCAACAGAGCGAGACTCCATCTCAAAAAAAAAAAAAAAGAAAGAAAGAAAGAAATGGAAAGTTGGACCAAGAGATAGTACAAAGGGAAAACTATGTGAAGACATAGGGAGAAGATAGTCATCTAAAGGCCAAGGAGCCTAGTTCCCTGACATTTGCTCTGCACCCCACAGTTCGCTCCTAGCCAACCCATCCTCTGCTCACACATGCCCCCCTGGAAACCTAACCTCTGTTACAACTCAGCAAGGCTGGTCACTCTGAAAAAACAAGCTGAGATTCAAGTGAATGCATCCATCCTTGACAATGGCATGTTGTCTGTGGCAAATGAGATGAAGAAGCAAAATGTCAAGGATTCTGCTTCTCATGTATCCTAAGTTTCATTCGTTTATGGGAAAAGTCTTTCTGTGAAAGCAAATCTCATAACCTAGTTAAGAGACTTATAAAATTTTGCTAATTCTACAGGGTAAGTGAAAAAAATCATTATTTATAAGAAAATTTATATTACAACTCAGACTGATCAATCAGCAAAATAATATTTCTCTTGCTTAGCATAAAGAACAAGTGGCCAGACACGGTGGCTCACGCCTGTAATCCCAGCACTTTGGGAGGCTAAGGCAGGTGGATCACCAGGTCACACAAAGTCAGGAGTTAGAGACCAGCCTGACCAACATGGTGAAACCCCGTCTCTACTAAAAATACAAAAATTAGCCGGGCGTGGTAGTGCGCACCTATAATCCCAGCTACTCAGGAGGCTAAGGCAGGACAACCACTTGAACCCAGAAGGTGGAGGTTGCAGTGAGCCGAGATCACACCACTGCACTGCAGCCTGGGCAACAGGCGAGACTCTGTCTCCAAAAAAAAAAAAAAAAAAAAAAAAAAAAAAAGGCCGACCGCGGTGGCTCACGCCCGTAATCCCAGCACTTTGGGAGGCCGAGGCGGTGGATCACAAGGTCAGGAGATCGAGAACATCCTGGCCAACACAGTGAAACCCCGTCTCTACTAAAAATACAAAAAAAATTAGCCGGGCGTGGTGGCGGGCGCCTGTAGTCCCAGCTACTCGGGAGGCTGAGGCAGGAGAATGGCGTGAACCCAGGAGGTGGAGCTTGCAGTGAGCCGAGATAGCACCACTGCACTCCAGCCTGGGCGACAGAGCAAGACTCCATCTCCAAAAAACAAAAAAACCACACAAGTGCATTTAACATTCACTATACAGTATATTTAAAAGCAAAGGCTTCAATATACGTTGAAAAATCAGAGAAGTGAGGTTTTCTAATTGTCTTTCCTTATTAAAGAATTGTTTCTAGACTCAGCTGTGAGTTTTGTAAAACATAACCTTACATTTTCATGACCCTTCATCACTTTTAGAGTACTTTTATAACCCGTGTCTTATTACATTCTTGCAATGAGGCTAGCAAGACAGACATTAGCCTCATTCTGCTTCTGGTAAAACCCCGTCTAACTCAGAAGTTAAGTGACTTGCCCCAAATCATATCACTAGTAAGTTGTAGGACCCACATCATGACTCTTTGTCCTGAGTCCGGCCATGAAATGAAGGCATTAATTTAATATGCACCAATTTTTTTTAACTATTAGTATTTCTGTTTACCCAATAGTATATCCTAACAGGTTTTTTCAAAATATCTTAGTTACTTTAAATAGAATTTTGTATAAATAATGAGTAAATCTGAAAATAACAGTAGCTCATAGACAGAAGCTACTCATTTTGCCTTATTTTAAAAAGCTGTCCCTTTTATGCCAAGTCACTTGAACCTTATCCTACTCTATCCTACCTAAAAGGTTAATCCTGTCCTATCTTTGTACAATTTTACAAGTGATGTTATGCTCCCAGAGAAAGGAGGAATAACCAAATCCCTGAAATGTTCCCCCGTATTCTAAAAATGAATAAAGGAAAAAGTGAATTAAATGAGAAAGTTATAGCAATGGAAAACATCACATGTGCATTTGCTAAGTGTTAAGGTTTTTGAGAAAGTTTCTAAGTGAGAAAACACTCTCCAAGTTAAGTGTGAGAAACTGAAATTATATCTTTGTTTTAATGTAGTTTATAGAGTTTAAGATTAGCCTTTAGGCATCTCTGAGTTCTTCTAACTAAAAATAAATCTCAAGTATTTGGGTCAATAGGAATAAACATGGTCAGGAAGAGTAGAGGAAAAAAAAAAGATGACCCTGCAAAATGAGACTTTGCAGTAATTGGCTTTCTAGAAATGTTACATCTAGGAAAAGGGTCATTGACCCCTAGTTATCTTCATAATAGAAGGTAATAATGTGAAAAACCTAAGACATAGATTTCTCAGGAGTGACAATCAAGAGTTATAGCACTTCCAGGGCAGAGAGATCAAGTAACAAGAAATTATAAACACCAAATGCTCTAAGCATCTTCTCATACTCAAAGCAATCTGCATGAATTATCTCCATCCCAAATAATGTATGACTAATACCAGTGTCATAAGATAGTTTCAATAATTTGCAATTTTCTTCTATACGCAGAAGTTTTTCAAAGTAATGTTAAACTGAACTTTTTCAGCAGAAGCCATTTCAATGCACATTCAGCCATTTGAAAAGCTTCTATGGTTTAATGATTAGTTTACACATAATTCATTTTTCAACCAACGCACAAGTTAATATATCAATGATCCTTCGTGTTAACTCCCAAAGAGTCAGAATAAATGATACCTTACAGAAGCCTAGGATTGAGTATACTAATAAGGTTCACTGTGACAAAGAGAATGCTAGCTGCCAAACCCAGTAGCTGTTTTCCTGTCCTCCTTAAGAAGACATTTTGAAACAGGCACATGGCTGCAGAAAAGACTCCTCTTCCCAGTCTACCACTTGCAGCTGAGATGCAACCATATGACTAAGTTCTGGAAATGAGATGTATATACAAGTTTGGGACAGCCGCGGTGGTTCACACCTGTAATCCCAGCACTTTGGGAGGACAAGGTGGGAGGACTGCTTGAGCCCAGGTGTTGGAGACCGGCCCGGGAAGCACGGTGAAAACTCATCTCTACAAAAAATTAGCCAGGCATGGTGGCGGGCACCTGTGGTCCCAGCTACTTGTGAGTCTGAGGTGGAAGGATCACTTGAGCCCTGAATGTTAAGGTTGCAGTGAGCCGTGATCATGCCACTGCACTCCAGCCTGGGTAACAGCAAGACTCTGTCTCCATTTAAAAAAAAAAAAAAAAAAAAAAACCCTTTGGGGGATACTTCCAGGAAGTGACCTGGAAAAGGTAGAGGGGAAATCCTACTCTAGCTCCTTCCTCCATCCTGGAGGGGAAATGAAGATGATCCTGCGGGTTGGGCAGTCACCTTGGATTAGGAGACAGAGGAGGCATGGCCTTGATGATTATGAAGCTGTCACCTCAGTCCTGGCCTGCCCTCTGCTCTCTCAGATAAGCAGTATAGAGGAAAGCTTCTATCTCATTTATGTTACTGGGTTTTCTGTCTCATGAAACTGGTCCTAATCCTAACTGATATGCTTCTTCACCACCATAGCAGTGACAGTGATGATGGTAAGAAAAGTGATGGCAAGAAGTAATACAACACCTGCACACATACCCTGAGACTCCTTACCATGTGCCAGAAAATACAGTAGAGGCTTTACTCACATTATTTACATTAATACTTGCAAAACTCAGCTGGGCACAGTGGCCCATACCTGTAATCCCAGCACTTTGGGAGGCCGAGGCAGGCGGATCATGAGGTCAAGCGATCGAGACCATCCTGGCTAACACGGTGAAACCCTGTCTCTCCTAAAAATACAAAAAATTAGCCGGGTGTGGTGGCACGCGCCTGTAGTCCCAGCTACTCAGGAGGCTGAGGCAGAATTGCTTGAACCCGAGGCAGAGGTTGCAGTGAGCCAAGATCGCGCCACTGCACTCCAGCCTGGGTGACAGAGCGAGACTCCGTCTCAAAAAAAAAAAAAAAAAAAAACTTGCAAAACCCCTGTGAGGTGGGCATTATAAGTCCCACTTCTTTAGTTAAGCATCCAGTATGGTCATTATTCTTGCTATTCTAAAATTTCACAATATGCTTGGTGGGATTCTCTAAATCCACTGTGCAGGGTACTTGGCGTACCCTGTTAATCTTCCACTTTCATCAGTTACCATATTCTATCAGTTATCCACTTTCTATCTTCCAGAATTTTTTTTTAACTCTATTATCAACTGATAGCATTTCTTCACTATAGGTTTTTATTAACCTTTTAAATTTCTATCTGATCATTAAACGGCGTCTCTGGAGAAAGAGGAGACTAAGCCATGTAGTCATTCCATCGATTTTCACAACTAGGAAAAAAGTGCACATGCCTGTGTGTGTGTGCATGCACGCGTGTGTGAGCGTGTGTGTTTCTTTGGTCTCAATAGGCTAAGATAGTTCTAAATCATCCAGATAAAGCTTAACAAGGCCAAATGTAAATATTTGTATTTTAAAGAAGGCAATTCATTACTTAAGTGTATATTGAGAAAGAGAAGTTAGCAGTTCCCATTAAAATAAAAAGAAGATGACGGACCCAAAGGTTTTTGTTTGTGTTTGATCTTGTTTGGCCATAAAATAACACGATCCAAGTAGAAAGACACTGCTACTAGAAGTGCTAATGAAATCTTGGGCTTCATTAAAATAAGTAGAGTCCAGACCAAAAAAGAAATGGATTCACTACATAGGGCACCATTCAGATCTCAACAGAATCACTCTATCCACTATTGGCAAAATTTAAACTAAAAAAGTTCTGGGATGGGTGTGGTGGCTCACGCCTGTAATCCCAGCACTTTGGGAGGCTGAGGCTGGAGGATTACTCGAGCCCAAGGAGTTCAAGATCAGCCTGGGCAACATAAAGAAACCCTGTCTCTACAAAGGAATATATAAAAATTAGCTGGGGGTGGGGAGGCATAAGCCTGTGGTCCTAGCTATATGGGAGGCTGAGGCAGGATGACTGCTTGAGCCCAGGAGTTTGAGGCTGCAGTGAGCCATGATTGTACCATTGCACTCCAGCCTGGGTAAGAGAGTGAGACCCTATCTACTCTTGCAAAAAGAAAGAAGGGAGGGAGGGATGGGACAGAGGGAAGGGAACGGAAGGGAACGGAAGGGAGGAAGGGAGGAAGGAAGGTTGGTTCTGACCAAGTTAACATTAGGACTGACTGAAAAACATGAGGAATAATTTAGCCTGGGCGAGTTAAAAAAAAAAATTTAGGTAAAACCAACCTAGAGAAGAGATGTGATAACTGTCTCAAGTCTGTGAGACTGGGATCTGACGGTGGAAGACTAAAGAGAGCAAATGTGAAGTCAAAATCAGAGAACATCTTTACAATGAGAGAGGCTCAAAAATGGAAAGTCAGTTTCAAAGGTGAACTTCCCATCACGTGAAGTGCTCAAGCTGAAGCTGAATAACCAATCAGGGTAAGAATGTCATAAGGGGCTGGGCACGGCGGTTCACGCCTGTAATCCTAGCATTTTGGGAGGCCAAGGTGGACAGATCACGAGGTCAAGAGATTGAGACCATCCTGGCCAACATGGTGAAATCCCCTCTCTACTAAAAATACAAAAATTAGCCGGGCATGGTGGCGCGTGCCTGTAGTCCCAGCTACTTGGGAGGCTGAGGCAGGAGAATCACTTGAACCCAGGAGGCAGAGGTTGTAGTGAGCTGAGATTGTGCCACTGCACTCCAGCCTGGCAACAGAGCGAGACGCATCTCAAAAAAAAAAAAAAAAATCATAAAGATCTATTTCATCACTGGCAGAAAGTGGAAGACTCCTGTCAAGACTGATAAATCCATGGAAGATGTGCACATGGAGCCATATCACACAATGCGGCAGGTCAGCAACAATGGGCAGACAAGCGCTGGGCATCCTCCAAACCTCCCGAGGCCATGTCTGAGCTACAGCGACTGGAGGCTGGGCACCACTAACCGCAGGGAGGCGACTGCCCAGAACCAGTGCTCACAAGTTACAAGGCGCAGCCTCGGAGCCCTGAAACGGTTAGTTCAGGCCTGGCCCATCCCTAAACACTAACAGAAGAAAGGAGAGACATGAGTTGTGCCTAGGATGAGCCACAGAGGTTTTGGAAAATGACAGGCTGTCCAAGTTCTCTACGTAAGACTACATTCAAGGAAAAGGACAACAAAAACAAACGTTAATACTAAGGGGCAACTTCCAGCTTCCCACAGTTCCAGGCTTACATACCCCAAATGCAGAATTGGCTACATTGTGCAGTGTTGTGAAGTTTCACTTAATTCCAGTGGGTTTTTTTCCAAGAAAGGTTGGCAAAAGCTCTAAGTTGATATAACTGCAAAGTCTGGAACAGACTCTCCTCTGCATTTGTTGCATAAACTCCTAAATGGCAGCTTCTCAATTTCCAGCTCCTAACTACTAGTTTCCAGAGTGACTGAAGGAGAAAAAGATGAGAGCAAATGGGAAGCCAGCCTTGCTCAGTAGGGCCGAATGAGAAGACCCTGGGGACCAAAGGGCCACAGGATCTCAACTCCTCATTGTTCACACTCTCTATAAACCCTAAGGGGAAAAACATTTGCATCTTGTGAAGAGAGAGCTTGAAAGAACTCTGCTCACCCCCCACTTCCCTACCCACCTCCAAAAATACACACACACCCACACGCTCTCTCACATAGTGCGATTAGCCATGTATCTAAAGAATGTGCAGCCTCTATTCCAGAATCCTGCAAAAAACATTTTTATGAACCAATTCACTGAAACACATGTTCCAGGATGTCAAATTAAATAGCGAGCTGGGAATGAGTGGGAGAGCAAAGGAAGCTGGCCTCAGCCCTCCTTGGCTCTGCTGCTGTAAACCCTGCCTCTCTGTCCGTAAGTGGGCTTTTAGGAAAAGTTCCCAGCAGAGGAGGGCTCCTCCCAGGCCCCTCAGCCTCAGAGGGTGCAAGAGCAGATCAAGGGCACCATGCTCAGGACTCCCCCAAACCCCTGGCTCTGTCCAGAGCCTACCAAGCATCATTTGTGAATAAAGCAAGCTGCTCATTTTCCATCCTCCTACATCTTCTCCCACCCACCTCCTCAAACTTACATAAACTCAGAGAATAGCAGGCAGGCTGAACAGGAGCTGTGCCTTAAATCCGACACAATAAAAAAAGAACGGAACACAACGTTTTTCTTTAGCCAAAAACTTCAAAATGCTTACACACGGATCTCTGCCATCAGAACCCTTAAGGATGTCTGTAGAAGCTAGGAGATGTGTATCTGGGTGTTCACCGTACAAGTCTCTCAACTTTTCTTTTTTTTTTTTTTTTTTTTTGGAAATTTTTCATAACAAAAAGAAAAAAAAGATTTCTGCATTGTGAGATACATGTTACACAAACACAGATGAAATAATAGAGTAGAAAAGAGTATAGTCTATGATAAAAAGAGCCAAGCATTAACGCTTGTCATCACTTTCTAATCTCATGTCTGTGCGTTCGGCAGGCAAATAACTTTCTTTTCCAGAACAGGGTAAAGCAGCAGCAATAGATACGTGAACCTCGTGGGATTTGACCTCCAACATGGAAAACGCTTTACCTGAAATGCAGACTACAAATATATGTCTCTGAATATATAACATAAAATGTAAGACCTAATTTAATCAATATAACTCTCCTGGTACACAATTCTATGGAGAGCAAAACGTTTCAAACTGGGTTAGAGAGCCACAGGTTCCTGAGAGGCTTATCTCAGAGGCCAGGGGAGGGTGCTTAAAACCGAGGTGTAACAGGATGTTTTCAGCTTCAAGCAGCATGAGGCCTAACTCAGAAAAAGGTAGAGGAGAATATTTTTCTCACATGACTCATATGACCCAAAGTCCTGGAAGCCAGTTCTAGGGAAGGTTGATTCAGTAGCTCAATGATGTCATGATGCTTGCAGAATGCTCCCACCTTGCCATTCTGCCATCCTCTCAGCAGCACACACTCACGGGCATCCTTCAGAGGGGAGACAAACTTTCCCCAAAGTCCTCAAAAACATTCCCTTCGAAAATCTTGGCCAGGTGTGCTGGCTCATGCCAGTAATCCCAACACCTCAGGAAGCTGAGGCAGGTGGATCACCTGAGCCTAGGAGTTCAAGACCAGTCTGGGCAACATGGCAAAACCCCATTTCTACAAAAAAACACAAAAACTAGCTGGGCATGAGGGCACGCACCTGTAGTCCCAGCTACTAGGGAGGCTGAGGTGGGAGGATCGCTTGAGCCTGGGAGTTCAAGGCTGAAGTGAACCATGATCGTGCCACTGTACTCCAGCCTAGGCCACATAATGAGACCCTGTCTCAAAAACAAAAAAAAAAAAGTCTTCATAGGCCAAGTACAGTGGCTCACACCTGTAATCCCAGCACTTTGGGAGGCCAAAGCGAGTGGATCACTTGAGCCTAGGAGTTTGAGACCAGCCTGGGCAACATAGTGAGACCCCCATGTCTACAAAAAAAATAAACAAAATTAGCCAGACTGGTGGCTCACACCTGTTATTCAGGAGGCTGAGGTGGGAAGATCACCTGAGCCTGAGAGGTGGGGCCACAGTGAGCCAGGATCATGCCACCACACTCCAACCTGGCCAACAGAATGAGACCCTGTCTCAAACAAAAACAAAACAAGTCTTCATAAACACTGAATCCTAAATCTTTCACTAACAAAACCAAAGAGAATGACAATGACACTGTCACAGTGACCTATGCAGAGGGGACTTAGATTACTGAAATCCCTGTGGGGCTGGGGGAACGGGTTGTGTTCCCTGCTGAATAATACTGACATGAGGGGGGTGGTCCTGGAAAAGCAACTATCCCTGTGCCTCAGTGGGCCTCCCCGTTTTCGATGCAATGGAGCAGCCCCGTATTTAATTTTTGTACCAGGCTTCTACAGAAAATTCTGTTTAAATAAAGTGTTCCATGGATTTAAAATGTTTTGATTTGTTTTGCAAAACTAGGTTAGGACCAGCCTGTGAAGTAATGCTTAGGCAAGGATAATTTGATACCTTTCTAAAGAATTCCTATCCGTTAAACCCATAGCCTAATCTATTTTGATGCCCCAACTCTGAATGGGATTATTTTAAAGAAACTGCCTTTCTGATTTCAGGTCTCGCCGCCCTCGAGAGGGGCTAGCTTGGCATTCGGAGGCCTTGTTGGCACTCTAGGAATCCATCTTCAGACTTCTTTTCTGGCCAGGGCTGACATCCGCCCCTTTAAGCTCAGCACAGCCACATCCTCATTACTCCACTGAAACAGTTCCACACTTGTTTTGTGAAAGCAAACTAAATCTCGGTACCCAAAAATCACTAAGCCAAGGGAAAGGTCAAGCTGGGAATCATGCCAGGCAAACCTGCCTCCCGTTTTATTCCTAAATAAGATAGCTACAAAGATTTTAAAAGTTACATACCTCCCTCACAATTTACCCACAAGGAAATTCCTTGTAGGCCTCAAGATCTTTACCCCAGAACGTTCTGTTGGATTTCACCCTGGCAATGTAAACTGATAGCTCATCTTCACAGGTGGAGACAGAAAGTCATCCCTCTGCTCACCTGAAAAAAATGCATATTTGATTGCTTCCTCTGACCTATTGTTTATGTAAAAATGCATTCACTGAGGCAGACTAAATTGTGTATTCACTCAAAGACTAATCAAGGACTCAAAAGAATGCAACCTTTTCTCTCTTACCCACCTATGACCTGGAAGCCCCTGCCCTCCCCTTATACCTACTCATTGATGTCTCATGTCTCCCTAAAATATATAAAAGCAAGCTGTATCCCGACCACCCTGGGCACAGGACCTCCTGAGGCTGTGTTCCGGGCATATCCTTAACCTTGGCAAAATTAACTTACTTGTTTTTTTTTTTTGTTTTCAGACGGATTCTCACTCTGTCGCCCAGGCTGGAGTGCAATGGCACAATCTCGGGTCACTGCAACCTAGGATGCCTCCCAGGTTCAAGCAATTCTCCTACCTCAGAGCCTCCTGAGTAGCTGGGACTACTGGTGCATACCACCACGCCCGGCTAATTTTTGTATTTTTAGTAGAGATGGGGTTTCAGCATGTTGGCAAGGCTGATCTCAAACTACTGACCTCAGATGATCCACCGCCTCGGCCTCCCAATGTGCTGGGATTACAGGCGTGAGCCACCATGCCTGGCCATAAAACCAACTTTCTAATTTGGTACAGATCTGTCTCAGATATTTTGGGTTCAGAGTTTGGTGAATAGCTACTGCCCCTCCCCAGACCCCTCTCACACTTCCCCGGATCACGCAGGTAAAGGGTGAACACCCGGCAGAGCAGGAGCCCCGGCAGGTCACCCAATGCACTGGTCTCAGAGCAAATGTCTAAAATATCCCCCTAACCAAGCCCACTGGTGCTGAGGCCCTCTTAGCGCTCCCGACGGAGAGCTGTTAGCTAAAGAACTTTCCAGCTTTTCCATTTTCCATAGCCTCATAATCACTCCTCATTTGCAAGAAGACAACTTCCTATTGTTTAGGTGAGACAGCCATAGGCAAGGTCTGCAACAGGATGAAAACTTTGGCAGAAGGGGCTTTCCTCGGTTCACGGTGCTCAGGACAATAAGACTGTTGTATCAGATATTAAAGATAGTTATGTCTAAACGTCTGTTTCCCCTTATTGTGAGTTTCCCCAAGTCAAGATGTCTTACTTTTTAATGTACCTTATGGCATAATAAAAAAATACAATCTCATTAGCAAATGAAAACACTGAATATTTTAGAAGATTCTTCCAGACTCCACAGAAAATTTTTCTGTAAAGAAGTATCATAAACACCTTTCTCTGTCAAATATTGTACTACATTATCCATATGGATGTACTATTGGACATTAAGTTGCTCCTAATTTTTCCCCAATATAAACAGATGGATATAATTGTAAATACAGCTTGTAAATTTATCCTACTTCCTTAAGAAATTCTTAAGAATGGAATTTCGCTAAAGCACGCACACACCTTGATATGCGATGCCAACTACAAATTCCACTATTAACAGTTTCTTTCACATAGACTAACCCCTGGGATCCTTACCTTACGAGATAGGTACTACTGGCCCACTTTTACAGATGAGAAAACTGAGGCTCAAGATCACATAGCTGGAAAGCCACAGAGATAGGATTCAAACCCAGAGCCCAGGTCCTTACCCACAACAATTCTAGCTTCTCAGACACAACTCATTAAAAAAAGGATTCTGTCACCCGGAAGCCAGGGAACGGTGTCAGCCAGATCAGGAAACCTTATCACTGTTACACAGCAGCCACCACTAAGAAAATGACCTTTTCAACTTCATAGCAGGTAACATTAGAGCATTTACATGCAAGGCTTTTAAATGCCTTACACAGATTTATGTAATCTTCAAAACAAACTCTGTGGTAGGTACTATTAACAATACCCCTATTTGAGAGAGGGGCAAACTAAGGCATGGAGAGGTTTGGCAACTCACCAAAAGTCACCAGCTAAGCAGTATGACATCAGATTCAAACCCAGACGGTCTGGCTCCAAGCGTTTTTTTTCTTTTTTTGAGACAGTCTAGTGCTATCGCCCAGACTGGAGAGCAGTGGTGCGATCTCGGCTCACTGCAACCTCCACCTCCTGGGTTCAAGTGATTCTCCTGCCTCAGCCTCCCAAGTAGCTGGGATTACCAGTGCGCACCGCCATGCCCGGCTAATTTTTTGTATTTTTAGTAGAGACAGGGTTTTACCACACTGGCCAGGCTGGTCTCGAACTCCTGACCTTGTGATCCACCCGCCTTGGCCTCCCAAAGTGCTGGGATTACAGGTGTGAGCCACTGCGCCCAGCCCCAAACATATCTTTTTTTTTTTTTTTTTTTTTTGAGACAGAGTCTCACTCTGTCACCCAGGCTGGAATGCAGTGGCACTATCTCCGCTCACTGCAAGCTCCGCCTCCTGGGTTCATTCCATTCTCCTCCCTCAGCCTCCTGAGTAGCTGGGACTACAGGCGCCTGCCACCACGCCCGGCTAATTTTTTGTATTTTTAGTAGAGATGGGGTTTCACCATGTTAGCCAGGATGGTCTCGATCTCCTGACCTTGTGACCCACCTGCCTCGGCCTCCCAAAGTGCTGGGATTACAGGCGTGAGCCACCGCACCCAGTCCCAAGCATATCTTTTAGCCACTGAGCTACTACCCTACCTTGAGGTTAGACAAAAATCTCCTGCCTCAGGTCATCATTACCACATCCACCTGTATCTCACCATCTGATCTCCCAGCCTTGGCTCATTCCTGACCTTCCTTTCCCCTACTCCTTATCAAGTTCTCCTCCTGAGCTCAGCCTGCTGCTCTTATCCACTCAACTCCTCCATCTTGGTCCCCACTTTCCAGTCTATTCTTTCCACCCTGCCCCCAGCCCTGAGCCAAATTATACAAAGCCAGAAAAGATATATAAGTTAAAAAAAACACCTAAATTTAAAACTCTGCTCATAAACACACCTTACACTTTAAGTGTAGCCCAAGTCACATGTTCCTTCTCTTAAAACTATATACATTCCTTCAGAGCACAGACTGTGTTTATAACCTACTAGTTTAACCAATATGCTTCAGGGGCTGTCTAGCAGGCATGCCATGCCAGTTTCATATTACTATTATATTTTCTTCTAATCACTTATTACATCAGAATATTTGTTTTCCCAAGTCCAAAGTGGTAGACTTATTTTACACACAACCTTGAGATTCCGCCTATGATTTAAACAAAGTTTTGTGCATATTAATAAGGATTCAGAATATTTGAAAATCTCCCTGAAGCCTCATCAATTTGGAAAATGTAATAATTTGGATAAGGTTTAGCTAAAATTCTAATTTTCTTCAAACTCTATTTTTAATTTAAAGTGAACTAAAAAGAAAAAATTGGGCTATGTGCAGTGGCTCATGCCGGTAATCCCAGGACTGTGGGAGGCCAAAATGGGAGAACTGTTGAGCGCAGGAGTTTGAGGCCAGCCTGGGCAACATAGTGAGACCTCCATCTTTTAAAAACCTTCTTTTTTTTTTTTTATAATTAGCTAAGCATGGTGGCATGGACCAATAGTCCCCACTACTTGGAAGGCTGAGGCAGGGGGATCGCTTGAGCCCAGGATTTCAAGGTTGCAGCGAGCTATGATCATGCTACCTACACTCCAGCTCGGGTGATGGAGCAAGGCCCCATCTCAAAACAAGAAGGAAAAAACTGCCAGGTGTGGTGGCTCCTGCCTACAATCCCAACACTTTGGGGAGTGGGTGGATCACTTGAGCTTAGGAGTTCAAGACCAGCCTGGGAAACATGAAACCTTGTCTCTACAAAAAATATTTTAAAATTAGCCAGACACGGTGGCAAGTGCCTGTAGTCCCAGCTACTCAGGAGGGTGAGGTGGAAGGATGGCTTGAGCCCGGGAGTCTGAGGTTGTAGTGAGCCAAGACTGGGCTACCGAACTCCAGCCTGGGTGACAGAACCAGACACTGTCTCAAAAACAGAAAAGAAAAGAAAAAACCCACACTCTAAAAAAGTACTACTAAAAAATAATCCAAATATCCAGAGACTAATTATATTAAATGTGTATATAAGGCTTTCACTATACTAAATAAATGCATAAGACGTACAACTTGGAATAAAACGACTAATTTGACAAAATAGTTTAAATTGTCCCTAAACAAATTTACATGACTAAAAGTTAAGTCTTACCATATGAATGATTACAGAGCAACAAAAAAAACTGATAAGGACCACTGAGAAAACAGTAATACGAAAGACTAGTGATTTACTTTCATATGACTGACACCTCTAATTACCGTCTACCTAATAAAAATCCCCAAAGCAAGTGTGTGGACAAAAAATGCCTCCAATCCATCTCAAAACACGGTTTTTCTCTTCTCTGTTTACCAGTTTCCTATTGCACTTACTTCCTACCTACTCTCTTCCCTTCTATTAGTCAATATTACAGGTGTTCAGCTCTCTAGGAACATGTCTTTCCTTCACCAGTTTCCCCTTTTATCCCCAATTCAAAAGTGGAAATAAAAAGAAAACGTAAGCAGTGTGCATTTACGTGACAGGCCTTAAACTCAGCAAGAGATCAGGTTACTTGATATCTGTGTGTCCATAAAGCCTATTCCACATGCCACAAATGTATTTCTGACTTCGACACGGACAATACCTATATGACACATCTCTGAACGGGGTCTTGTTTTTGTGGTGCTTTTCTTTGGGTTTTAGGCTTTCTTTTTTTTTTTTTTTTTTTTTGAGACAGAGTCTCACTCTATCGCCCAGGCTGGAGTGCAGTGGCGTGATCTCGGCTCACTGCAACCTCCACCTCCCGGGTTCACGCCATTCTCCTGCCTCAGCCTCCCAAGTAGCTGGGACTACAGGCCCATGTCACCAGACCTGGCTAATATTTTTATTTTTAGTAGAGATGGGGTTTCACCATGTTAGCCAAGATGGTCTCGATCTAATGATCTCATGATCCACCCGCCTCGGCCTCCCAAAGTGCTGGGATTACAGGCATGAGCCCCCACGCCCGGCCGCTCATTTTTTAAATCTAGAAGCTTTTGTTTCCAACAAGGAGCAACATAACTTTCATGAGCCCTTCCAGTACTCACAATAACTTTATGTTTACCCAAATAAACAACTAGGAATAACCTCCCTCTCCTAACTATATTACCTGAAAGTGGTGAATTAATGAAACCCCTTCCCAGCTCCCTAAACATACTTTCAAATTAAAATAAGGCCTGAATTTACAACCCAGGTTAAATGGATTAAAAGATTAAGGACTAGAGAGCAAGTGCCTTCTCCATCTCACTCTCACATTTCAACCTCAAATTACCCCAGCCCTCTAATGACTAGAGTAGTCACTGTAAAGGCGCCTAATTACCCACGAATTACACCAACTGTAACCAATTTCAGGATCACAGATCAGATTTTCCCAAAACATGAATCTGCTAATTAAGTTACCTGAAAGTCAAACTAACACGCAATTTGGATGTGACATTTATCCACCTGAAAGTAGACCTGTTAAGTATTTCAATTCACAGTAACAGCAGCTATTCCTTATGGACAGCACTATTACACACTTGGAAAACTGCAGCTGAAATACACGGACGCAGGAAGAGACTCATCTATGATTCAAGCATTTCCAGGAAATAACAAAAGGATTCTCCTGGCAAACCAACAGAATGGCCCACCAAGACCTGCTTCAGCCTGGGAATCAACTCGTATTCATTTGCTAAATTAAACTGATAATGAAACAAGTTTAAGATACTCACATACAGAGACACACCACAGCACACACAGCCTGGCACCAGTTACATTAGTCGCTTTTTTCTGAATTCTGACACAAGGAACGAGGTTTGATTTCATGGTTTTGCCTATTTGCTCATTATTAAATCTGCCCACTTATTTTCCGCAAGAAAAAAAAAAAATTGGGCCAGGCGCAGTGGCTCACACCTGTAATTTCAGCACTTTGGGAGGCCAAGGTGGGTGGACCATGAGGTCAGGAGTTTGAGACCAGCCTGACCAACATGGTGAAACCCCGTCTCTACTAAAAATACAAAAATTAGCCGGGCATGGTGGTACATGCCTGTAACCCCAGCTACTCAGGGGGCCGAGGCAGGAGAATCGCTTGAACCTGGAAGGCAGAGGTTGCAGTGAACTGAGATCGTACCACCGCACTCCAGCCTGAGTGAGAGAGTGAGACTCTGTCTCAAGAAAAAAATACTTCTCCCCAGTGCTCACAATCTTGTGAAAATAAAGAATTTTCCTTGGACGTGCTCCTACAGATACACAAAGAAATAATTCAGAAATAAAATCCATTCAACCAAAAGGCCAGGTTCAATGAGCTGGGAAGAAACTGCGTGGGTTTTGCAGCTGCGGCTGGAGCCCAGGAGTCCAAAGCTGCCGTAGACTGGTCTGTGCAGCTCTCAGGAAGGAAGCTTCACAGTGGATCGCTTCACACATCACCAGCCCAATACCAAAAAGGCGTTTCTCAGGAGCCCTGGTGTTGGGGGAGGGCAAGGAAAACAAGTGAGGGACATTCACAAGGGCTCACAGACGAGTCTCGCTGGGGACTATGTGTTATGGGTTAAACTGTGTCTCCACCAACCCCAACATGATATGTCAAAGTCCTAACCCCAGTACCTCAGAATGTGACCTGACTTGGAAACAGGGTTGGTGCAGATGCAATTAGTCCAGATGAGGCTGGACTGGAGTAGGGTGGGCCCCTGCTTCAATATAACTGGTGTCCTTATACGACAGCCACGTGAAAGCACGGAGACACCCAGGGAGAGCGCTGTGCGACAAGAGACTGGAGTGCCGCAGCTGCAAGCCAAGAAACCCCACAGGCTGCCGGCGAGCCCGCAGAAGCTAGGAAAAGGCGAGGGCGGACTCCCCGAGGGTTTCAGAGGCAGCGTGGCCCTGCCGGCTTGACAGAGGACTTCCAGCCACCGGACTGTGAGGAGAGAATACAATTCTGTTGTTCTAAAGCCGCGCAGTTTGTGGCACTTCGTTAGACAGCCCTGGGAAATTAATACACCACACTTGAACTTGAGTTGCTTCCTGTTGCCCTACTCCATCCAGCCCCCTCAGCTGGCAAATGCTCCCACTCCACCACAACAGAGCCGCAGGGAATCCCCGGGTTGCTGTGTGGCTGGGGAGGCCCTTCTCCCCTGTAAGTGGCACACAACAGGCTGGGCTATCCCAGGCCCAGGCCCTTGTCCCAATTTTGTTCCTTCTCTCCAAGTTCCCGGCTGCCTCCTCTGGGCCCTGCCCTCACCAGGGCCCGGTCCCCACTCCTCCCACAGGCAGCCCTGGCCCTCCAGCTGCAGGACGGGGTGTGGAAGTCCCCTTGGGGTGGGCAGTGCCCCGTGCTGCTTCCGCCCACCCCAGTTTCTCACAGAATTTTTAGAACACTTCTTTCAGTTTTGCCTTAAGTAATATCCTTCCTCATGCCCCAACAACCCCACTCACACTGGTGCACTCACGCACCCTCATTCTCTCTTACACACAACTCAGCCACAGGCCCACAGGGTCTCTCTCTCTCACACAAAACTCAGCCACAAACCCACAACGGTCTCGGTCTCTCTCTCACACACACACACGCACACAAAACTCAGCCACAGGCTCACCAGGGTCTCTCTCAACATGCACACATACACACACACACCCCTCAGTCATAGGCTCACAAGAGTCTCTCTTGTCTCTCATACATACACAAACACACACAACCAGCCACAGGCCCACAAAGGTCTCTCTCTTTGTCCCTGTCTGCTCTCTCGCACTCACAAACACACATCTCAGCCACAGGCCCACCAGAGTCTGTCTGTCTCTTTGTCTCTCTCACTCTCTCTCACACACATACACCTCAGCCACAGGCCCACAAGGGTCTCTCTCCTTGTCCCTGGCTCCTCTCTCTCGCACACTCCCACACACACACATACAGCTCAGCCACAGGCCCACGAGGGTGTCTCTCTCTCTCTCTCTCTCACACACACACACACACACACACACACGCCTGTGCAGCTCCACAGGGGCCTGGGCCAGGAGACAGATCTGAATACACATACCACCCTGTGCTGTGAGTGGCCACTCCCATCCAACAACTGAGACTTTCTGTTACTGGGCCAAGGTTTTCTGCCAAACTTACTTCCCTTATAATGAATGAATTCTCCCTCAGAAGGTTCCTCAGTCCTCCCCTGGAAGCTGACCTGCAATGGCCTAACCCACCTATTTACCAGGCATGCCAGGACATATGAGACCCTGATAGGTGGACACCAAAGCTCAGCCTGGAACCCCACCCCCATGTGCATCATTGCAGCAGAACTTCTTCGGACACACTCGATCCACCAGCTAACACTCCATACCCTATGAAGAGAATACGTACGGATTCTAGGTTTGATAAAATCCTGGGCCAGTGGTGGTAAGTCAGGCTGAAAAGCAACCATCTCCCAATTTCCACCCACTGTTTTACCTACAAGACTATTTCTACCTCTCATTATTTAATCCTCCACAAAAAGTATATTTTGTAACATGGTCCCTGAGCTGCCTCACCCTGGGCCAATGGTTTTCAAACTTGAGCGTGCATCAGAGCCACCTGGAGGGCTTGTTAAAACAGATCTCTGGGCTCCTCCCCTAGAGCTTCTGATTCACACCAGGTCTGGGGTGGGGTCTGAGAACCGGCCAGTCTAGCGAGTTCCCAAGCGATGCTGATTTAGGTCCCTGGACCAGGCTTCGAGAAACACTGCCCTAGACCGCTCATTTCTCGCTGAGCTCAGGTGGCCCAGCATAGCACTCAGCATAGCACACACTGCTGTCGGCCTTCCCACTGCCCATTCCCTTCCTCCCACTTAGGCAAAGCCGGGTTGTGCTCCCTATGACTAAACCCTGCAGGACAGAGCTGATCACGTGGTTCCACCACTCCACAGGCGTGGGTGGGTGAGTGGTTCAAGGTGAGTGCAGACCCACCTGTAAGATGTGAAGGGGAAGTCTGCTGGGGAGTACTTCTGAGAAAGTAGCCAGGGGTTCTTTTAACCTGCCTTTGGATGTTCAGGTGGGAGGCTGGGAGGCTGTGAAGCACACAGACCTCCTGCAAACGTGAGGGGAGCTGCACGGCACACAGAGTCCAACAGAACAGACAGGTCCGAAGAACCAGGCTCCCAGGTGCTGACACTAACCTGCTGAGTAAACCAACCCAGAACCACCCTGCCTCCAGGCTTCTTGTTAAGTGACATCATGCATTCTTTATTGTTTGAGCTGGTTGAGTCAGGGTTTTGTTACTTGCTGCTGAAAATAATCCCAAAGCAAAGCAAGCTGACAGGACAGCTCCTCTAAAGGCAACCTCTCAGCACACATTACAATGGCATGTGTTCCACAAACTAATCCCAATATTTCAGATTTAAATTTTCCACATTTCAAAAGCTATGTAGCTGAATATCTGTGGATAATCCACACTTAGAATTAGCATAAAACTAAAGAAGTTATCTAGCATACAGTAAAATATTACTGAAGGACCAACCCTGGGTCTATCTTACACGAGTCATGCTCTTTTTTTTTCAGGGATTTGCTAGGAACCATATAATACTAGGGCCTAAGAAAGTATTCAGTTGCTTCCATCCGTTAATCTCGGACTTAGTCTCCTTCGACAGACAGCTGTACATCTAATTGGGAAAGTGGCTTTCCACTCCAAAGCAGACAAGTATGCACTTACAGAGAGAGGACACCTAGGATCACGCACATGTTCTGTCACTTCATAGCTCTATAACCTTCAACAAATTGTTTTACCTTGATGAACCTGTCTCCTCATCTATAAAATGGGAATACTACCACATATCCACCTGGTTATGTAAGGAAGATACATGTGAAAGCACTTTGTAAACCATAAGGTTTACACAAGGGCAATTACTTAAATCCAATTTTTATGGATTAAGTGGATTAACATGACCTGATTTGAAGAAACAGGATTAATTACAATCCTAGAAGAATTACTCCACCAAAAATGCATACTACATACACCTGTCATAACTACCAATCGAACACTGTTTGGATTGTAATTCAAACAGAACCTTTACTGTAAATAATTTAGTGGCAGCAACATCCACAAGGTAGTTACAACCCTCAAAGTCAATGTTGTACAAGGCACAATATCAATATGAATTATTTACTATATACATTTTACATGGTTCACTTGGCAGGCCACACACTATGACTATGCTTTTACTGAGGCTATTCTCTGGGATCCACCTTCAAATGCAACAGTGGGTATCTGGGCACTTCACAGGGGGGCAAATCATCTTTCCTACAGAAGAAGTTCAGTTTTAATCCAACATGCATGTATCATTCGGAGCCATGTTTTCCAAATAAAATACCTGAACAAACTGGGTAAGAACAATAGGGACTGGACAATGTTTCTCAAACTGGGATGTGTACATGTATGTTAGAGAAGGCAACGCAATGAATTAAATATGGCCACCTTCCTGAAACATAAATTGTACTAGAAGATTTTTGGAACATAATAAAAACGAATCAACAGTGAGTAGTATTTAAATTCTCAACAAATGCTGATTTTTTTTTTTTTTTTTTTTTTTTAATGAGACAGAGTCTCGCTCTTTCGCCCAGGTCAGAGTACAGTGGTGTGATCTCGGCTCACTGCAAGCTCCACTTCCCGGGTTCATGCCATTCTCCTGCCTCAGCCTCCCAAGTAGCTGGGACTACAGGCGCCCGCCACCACGCCCAGCTAATTTTTTGTATTTTTAGTAGAGACGGGGTTTCACCATGTTAGCCAGGATGGTCTCGATCTCCTGACCTCGTGATCCGCCCGCCTCGGCCTCCCAAAGTGCTGGGATTACAGGCGTGAGCCACTGCACCTGGCCTGAATTTTTTTTTTTTTAATTTCCAAAGAATTTTCATGCTTACAGGAGACTTTAAAAACTACATCCCTATGGCCGGGCACGGTGGCTCACGCCTGTAATCTCAGCACTTTGGGAGGCCGAGGCGGGCGGATCACAAGGTCAGGAGATTGAGACCATCCTGAGTAACATGGTGAAACCCCGTCTCTACTGAAAATACAAAAAATTAGCTGGGCGTGGTGGCGGGCGCCTGTATTCCCAGCTACTCGGGAGGCTGAGGCAGGAGAATGGCATGAACCCGGGAGGCAGAGCTTGCAGTGAGCCAAGATCGTGCCACTGCACTCCAGCCTGGGTGGCAGAGCGAGACTCTGTCTCAAAAAAAAAATAAAAATAAAATAAAAATAATAAAAATAAAAACTACATCCCTACTACTTTGGGAGAAAACTTTGGGAGAAAACATTGAGAAAGACTACAATAAGCAAACAAGACTTTTTCTCATATCATTTATAAATTGGTTGCAAAGACAATGCTAAAACAATGGTTCCAAAAACATTAATTGGGCACCACACATCTGTAAAATACTGCCTAGACTACCACAGCAATTATTTGTAACATGATAACATTCTTTTGTTTAATTGATTGGGGGGAAAATTACTATTTACTTCAGGGTCATATTTCATATGTGGAAGACTCTAACAACAAACTAATACTCTGGTGACAATTCACTTAAAACAAGTAACAAGCTCCCAGGAGACCCCATTATCTTAATATTGGTGTTCCTAGACAGAGAAGACTGCCTTGGGAAATTTCTCCTTTGAGCCTGGAAACTCCAAGCTCTGCTACCTTCTTAAGCAATAAGAAGCTTAATATCATAACATATCCAGAACACCCTCACAGAATTAATACTGCTGCCGATGTTGGGATCCATCCAAAAAGTACTTTCATTTCTCACTGACCCACCGTGACAAGTGAAAGCAATCTGAAGCACAATGTCCACTGCATAAGAGAAGCCGAAATGTCAGCTTATACCTGACTCTCTAGCTAGAAGCCTTCCTAAAGAAATGTAAGTTTGGTTCTCAACGGCAAAACACCCAAGTCTCTTCTCTTTCTTACACAGCAATACCTTCATTCTTGCCTAAAACAAGCTTCTCATAGCCTTTTTTTATTTTTAGAGATAGGGCCTCTCTGTCACCCAGGCTGGAGTACAGTGGCAAAATCACAGCTCACGGCAACCTCAACCTCCTGGGCTCAAGTGAGCCTCAGCCTGCCGAGTAGCTGGGCCTATAGGTGCACATCACCACGCCCCACTTTTTTTTTGTTTTGTTTTTGTAGAGACAGGGTCTCACTTTGTGACCCACGCTGCTATCGAACTCCTGAGCTCAAGCCGATCCTCCCACCTCAGCCTCTCAAAGTGCTAGAGGCATGAGCCACCACACCCAGCCTCCTAAGTCTCTTCTTGGGTTGTTGGATTTGTCTAGCTCTTTCTTCAGAACGCACATCTTACTGAATGATTCCATTAAGTTATTTTACTGTTAAATATTATGACATGTAGCAATAAATAGTCAAGCCACTGAGTGGCATATGGAATGAAGCAAAGCTGATTCAGAATTTAATGCTGAGTTAAACCACTTCTCCCAAAGGCAATCTCTAGTCTAAAAAGTAAGGAACAACGAATTTCTGGAACTGCATCACTACATTTACGTATAATATCCAGCTTCCCCAGACCTTAATTCTACTTTTTTTGTTTCAGGAAAGTTGACATTAACGAAGTGTTTTGCCTATTTTTATTCTAGACTAACCCTTCAAAATTATTTTTTTTTCAAAATTCTTAAAGAATTAAGTAATTCTTTAATATGGAATTATTAAAGGTTCAAATAACCTTTCAATATAAAGATAAAAATGAATACGAACCTAATCACCCTGGTGCTTGTAAAAACATGTTATCTAGGAGGAACCAAAAGTGTTTTTAGGGACTGGACACGATGGCTCACGCCTGTAATGCCAACATTTTAGAAGGCTGAGACAAGAGGACTGCTTGAGTTAGAGAACAGTGTGGGCAACATAGGAAGACCTCATCTCTACAAAAACAAAATAAAAAAAATATTAGCCGGGCATGGTGACGTGTACCTGTAGCCCCAGCTACTGGAGAGGCTGAGGCGGAAGGACTGCTTAAGCCCATGAAGTCCAGGCTGCAGTTCACTATGACAGCACAATTGAACTCCAGCCTGGGCAACAGAGCAAAACCCTATCTCAAAAAATAAATAAAATAAAAGTTTTTAGGAACTAAAAATTTCAATGAAAACCAAAATTAGTATTCTGATCTTACTGTACTATTTTTCTGATTTATTTCAACTGAAGGCTAAATAACTATATAAATAGGTGTCAAAAGCTTTGCTAAAAATTTCACAATTTTTTCACCTAAAAAAAAGGTTTCTGTGGCTTGAATACAATTTTAATATATACCAAGAACCCTGTTTAAAAATCTGTATTGTATTAAGGAGAACACCTAAATTATGAGCTCTACAACAGTCAAAAAAATTACTTTACATTGTTATGGCTGCACAGACCATGGTTGAATGCATTCATTCTGCAAAGCTCCCAGAGCCCACAGGACCCTGTAGAAGGTACCATGAGGCTATACATGGATAGAGTGAATAACCCATCCTCTTTAAGAAAAAAACAACCAACTACAGAAACTCAGTATAAAAATACAGCCTCTGCCAGGCACGGTGGTGTACACCTGTAATCCCAGCACTTTGGGAGGCCGAGGCAGGCAGATGACGAGGTCAAGAGATCAAGACCATTTATCCAACATGGTGAAACCCTATCTCTACTAAAAATACAAAAATTAGCTGGGCGTGCTGGTGCCTGCCTGTAGTCCCAGCTACTCAGGAGGCTGAGGCAGGAGAAACCCTTGAACCTGGGAGATGGAGGCTGCAGTGAGCCGAGATCGCGTCACTGCACTCCAGCCTGCTGACAGAGTGAGACTCCGTCTCAAAAATAATAATAATAATACAGTCTCTGGGCCAGGCGCAGTGGCTCACGCCTGTAATCCCAGCACTTTGTGAGGCTAAGGCGGGTGGATCACTTGAGCCCAGGAGTTCGAGACAAGACTGCGCAACAACGTGAAACCCCAACTCTACAAAAAAAATACAAAAATCAGCCAGCCGTGGTGGCAGGTGACTGTGGTCCCAGCTACTCAAGAGGCTGAGGTTGGAGGATCCCTTAAGCCCAGGAGGCGGAGGTTGCAGTGAGCTAAGATGATGCCACTGCACTAAAGCCTAGGTGACAGACTGAGACCCTGTCTCAAAAAATAAAACTAAAAATAAAAGAATACAGCCTCTAACACAAATACTAGTCCTGTTATTTCAATGGCAAATATGGTTTGCAGGCTTGAACGTGGAGGACGTGCAAAACATAACAAGTAATCAATGTAAAAGCTTTAAATGTAAAAGCATGAGCTTGCATTCCTTCTGCAGCTCTTCACCCAGTTGTCAGCCCTTCACCCATTCCTTCAGCTCTTCACCCAGGTGTCAGGTATGAGGTTAGGTGCTAGGGAGACAGGTGCATGAGACTCAGAAACTTGGGTACCCTGAGAAAGGTAATTTCCAAACAGAGGAGTAACGGCCTTCTGCTAAGATAAGTGCCAGGGTGCTATGGAAAGCAGGATGGAGGGAGATGGCTGGGGAAGAGAAAAGTGTTTTGGCAAAAAAAGAGAGCCCAGGTGAATGATCAGAAAGTGAGACTGGAGGAAGAGGTTGAAGAGGCCTCAATCCCCAAAGGGCTTCTACATCACTGATGCCATGCTCAGGACCCTGCACTTCGTCCCCAAGGTACTGCAGTCCATAAAAGGCTGTTCTTCAAAGGGATGACAGGAAAGGATGTAGGACAAATGGACGTGAGGAGAACAGGATGGGGTGGCTACAGAATGGAGACAGAAGACCACATGAAGACTCAACCACACCTCGTGACGGCAGGCACAGGAACTGGGGACAGCGAGAGGCCCAGAAGCTCAGTTCAGGACACAGTAATTTTGTGGCACCTGCAAGCTAAAGGAGAACTCTGGGGAGAAGGTATGATCCATGTTCAACTTCCTTCTATATAGAGAGTATATAAAAAGCCAACAGAGCAACAAATATATACACTGCTGTGTAGCCATAAAAAAATTTTTCTTTTAATTTTTTTAAAGCCAACAGAACAGGCTGGGTCACCTAGGTAGATGACAGGGTGGGAAGATAGGAAGGTCCCCAGTGGAACCCTGGTGAGATACTTCAGGTTAAAAAATGTGAGATCCTATAAACAGGGAAGGAACTTCCATTTCCTTTTTTTTTTTTTTTTTTTTTTGAGATGGAGTCTTGCCGTCACCCAGGCTGGAGTGCAGTTGCGCGATCTCAGCTCACTGCAACCTCCACCTCCTGAGTTCAAGCACTTCTCCTGCCTCAGCCTCTGGAGTAGCTGGGACTACAGGCTCATGCTGCCACGCCCGGCTTATTTTTGGTTTTTGTTTTGTTTTGTTTTCTTTTGAGACGGAGTCTCGCTCTGTCGCCCAGGCTGGAGTGCAGTGGCGCGATCTCGGCTCGCTGCAAGCTCCGACTCCCGGGTTCATGCCATTCTCCTGCCTCAGCCTCCCAAGCAGCTGGGACTACAGGCGTCCGCCACCACGCCCAGCTAATTTTTTATATTTTTAGTAGAGACGGGGTTTCACCCTGTTAGCCAGGATGGTCTCGATCTCCTGACCTCCTGATCTGCCCGCCTCAGCCTCCCAAAGTGCTGGGATTACACGCGTGAGCCACCGCGCCCAGCCTATTTTTGTATTTTTAGTAGAGACGGTGTTTCACTATTTTGGCCAGGCTGGTCTCCTGACGTCAGGTGATCCGCCCGCCTTGGCCTCCCACAGTCCTGGGATTACAGGCATGAGCCACTGTGCCCAGCCCAGAACTTCCATTTCTGAATAACAAAGAAAAGTGAGAAGTAGTTCCACTCCCTGTGGGGGCTCTGAAATGTTTCACTGCCAAAAGCGAGTGTCCCCAAAGATTAAGTTGTTCTTGTCTGCAATTGTATCTTCCAGTATGTTGCTGACAGGACAATGAGATTCTCTTCATGTTCTGGCTCCCAAGATCCACCTTTCACTGGTGTTAAAACTATTTCAGGAGAACACATTTTGCTGCTGTTACTACTAATCAGATAAAAGTACATTTTAAAAACAAAAAACCACCAAAAAAAAAACTTTCATAGACATTGTACCTAGACAGTATTTATGATTTTTGTACGCATTTTAAAACCTGAATATACTACTCATACATTGTCAATGCTTAAACTTCTGCTATTCAAATATAACTCAAAAAAAGGCTTACCAGAGAGAGATATATACAGAGAGCCAGACATGCTTCCCAGGGCATTCAGTTCTAGTAAGAGCTGAAGTCAGTTCCCCTTTGCTCTCATCACTGAATTCCCAAAAACGATCTTTCTCAGCAAAGGAACATATTACTGTTGATATTTGAGAATACCCAGGGAAAAATGGGGATGAAGAGGAAAGAGGGAAGAACATTTCTCAAATATTGCTTTTTTGGCTTTCGACCAAATACAATTACATAGCATCCACAGAAGATGAAGGCAGAATAACATAAACAAAATCTTCAATGAGGCCAATTACCCTGAAAGCTTTCCCAGACTTTGAGGTAACAGGCAAGCTGCTCTAGGAAGCCTGCTGCCCAGAATTCACACTGGTCCCGTTCCAGCCCCACCTTGGGCAGTCTTGCCAGTAAAACAGAGACCTCCTCACTCTTTAGATTCTTTCTGTCCAGTGATAGACATCAGCGCTTCCTTTACATTTGGGGAACATGCTAAGACTGTCTTACAGGCAAATTATTTCTCAAGTCCAAAGTTAGTAGTGACTCCTCTGTATGGGTTCTTAAGAGACAATGCATTCATTTTGTGGAACTGATAAATGGTGCTCTTCTATTAACTTTAAGTCCACCTGACCTTCATTAAGCTGGTATCGTGGGGTAGTTATTAAAATTAAAATCATAATAAAATTTGAAAAATGTGTAAACAAATGTTAATAACTTCATAAATAAGATTAAGGATAAATGACATTAAAACAGCAGGGCAAACCTAATATTGGATTATAACCCAAAGTATAAATATCCATGAGCTCACAAGATATAAATAAATGAGAACCGACAAATCTCCCATACAGAATTTCATATAATTTGTGTCGGTGAAGCTCAACTTCACTTAATGACTTGCCTCCAAAAAGAACATTAGGGAAAAACTAGTGAAATGTGAATAAAGTGTGGAGTTTAGCTCACAGTAAGATACTAATGTTGGTTTCTCAGTGACAAATGTACCACAGTAATATAAGACATTAACATTAGGGTTCACTGGGTGAGGGGTATACAGGACGTCTCTGTACTATCTTTGTAATTTTTCTATAAATTTAAATCTACTCTAAAGCAAAAGTTTTCTTTTCAAAGTAGCAAGAAATAAGGTGGGTTTTGGGGAAGTTACAAAATTAAGAAGGTAGAAGGTAAATGAATAGTAAGTACGTAGGTGACTAATTTACCAATCACAGAACATTACACTTACAGAGCTAATTCTTGGAGACAGCTTCAGAATCTGCATTTTCAAAAAATGGACACAAAGGTTTTTAAAAGCAGCATCCCACCCACATCATGATCATTTCTTTACACATGAGGAACAGACCTCAACCCAAAAAAAGCCAAAAGAAACAAAGAGGTTTGCAAGTCAAGTTTTTAAAAAGTAGAGATAAAATAGCAAAATACTGGAATATTTAATATCAGGAAGATAAAACATATAAATTAAGGTTGATCAGACTGTGAACTATGATGTACTGAGTTTTAAAATGAATCCAGGCAGGGATAGGAGATTGGAGGTTGATGGCTAAAGGGTAAGGCACTTCTTTCGGGAAGACAAAATGTTCTTCTAAAATTTATTGTAGTAACAGTTATACAACTCTGAATATGCTGAAAACCAACTGTGCACTTTAAATGGGTGAATTATATGCTACGTGAACAACATCTCAATCAAGCTATTACCAAAAAATAAATAAAGCCAGTAGGTGATAAAAGAAAATGCAATAGAAAATAGAATACATTGCAGGCAACAAGAGTGAGTACTATTTTCTGAAACTTTAATTCATTTTTATAAATAAAAAAGCACATAGATTATACACATGTATATATTCATACATCCATGTATATGCTTGCAAGTACACAGGCATGATGTAAAATTTTTTTTTTATATAAGTCATCGTCAAAAAGGACACTGTTCTCCCTCATTCCCACATCTTTCATTCTGATAATCTGATGCTATGTGAAAAGACCAATAAGGACAAAATCTACGAATATCTTAAAGTTTGATTTTTGAAAAAACTGGCAAAAAGAAACTAGTGCTGAATAATAAGAATGAAGAGAACTGCATCTACAAAAGAAAACAAATACAAAGGCACGTGCAACACAGCTCTCTATGGGCTGCACACACCCACACCTGGGTCTGCAGCCCTGGCCTCCGAGCTCCAGAGTGGTATCAACTCTACCTGCCATCTCCCTGTAGACGTGTCATATCAAGTCTGAGATTCCCAGGAGGCAGCCGAACACAGTTCCTGATTCCCTCCCACTAAATCCTTTCCCAGCACAGTCATCACCATCTCTCCAGACATTTAAGCCAAAATCTAGATGCTCTCTCTCCATGATTTCTCTTTCCCTCACACTCCACAACAAATTCAACAAGTAAAGGATCTGTCCCGCCTCAAGAATGTATCTCAAAATGTTCCATTTCCCTCCATCCACTTTCAACCCCCTACCCTGATATCAACATTCCTCAATTTTTCTTGCTCCCACACACCCAAAAAGGATGTTTAAGTTGTGTCACATTTACAATTGTGGGCGTTTACCAGCTGTAAAAATGTAATCTCTGCCACACTGTACGTACTGGCATTTTTAATAAAACTCACAATCCCTTTTTAAAATAAATTCAATGGAATCTAAATACCACTGAAATGATATCTACCATTATCCATTTTTTTAAATACAAAAATAAACTTCATGGCTGGATATTTTATGTTGTTCCTTTTCCTCCATGAACTCATTTCTATTCCACGTCACCCAAGGAATTTTTGGTTTTGTTTTGTTTTTGTTTTTGTTTTTTTTGAGATGGAATCTGTCTCCCAGGCTGGAGTGCAGTGGTGCGATCTCAGCTCACTGCAAGCTCCGCCTCCCGGGTTCATGCCATTCTCCTGCCTCAGCCTCCCGAGTAGCTGGGACTACAGGCGCCCACCACCACACCTGGCTAATTTTTTGTGTATTTAGTAGAGAGGGGGTTTCACTGTGTTATCCAGGATGGTCTTGATCACCTGACCTCGTGATCCGCCTGCCTCAGCTTCCCAAAGTGCTGTGATTACAGGCGTCAGCCACTGCGCCTGGCCCTACCCAAGGAATTTTAACTGAATACATAGTTATGTTCAAAGCCTTCTGCTACAAGACTATAAATATAAATTGAAATTTCAGGTTTTTAAAACATTTTTCCTATGACCATAGGTCTAAATATTAATTTTTTTCCTTCTGAATTAAGTTATCAATTCAGGCCAGGCGTGGTGGCTCATGCCTGTAATACCAGCACTCTGAGAGGCTGAGGCCGGCGGATAACCTGAGGTTAGGAGTTCAAGACCAGCCTGGCCAACATGGTGAAACCTCATCTCTACTAAAAATACAAAAATTAGCCGGGCGTGATTGTGTGCACCTGCCATCCCAGCTACTCAGGAAGCTGAGGCAGGAGAATCACTTGAACCCAGGAGGGGGAGGTTGCAGTAGGCCGAGATCACACCACTGCACTCCAGCCTGGGCAACAGAGTGAGACACTGTTTCCAAAAACAAAAAAAGTTATCAATACAATTTGTATTAGTACAGTCGAATCCCTGAGAGATTGGTTCCAGGACGTCTCAAGAATATCAAATTCTGAAGATGCTCAAGTCCCTGATATAAAATGGTATATAGTATTTGCATATAACCTATGCACATCCTCCTGTATACTTTAAATCATCTCTAGGTTACTAATAATACCTAATACAATGTGAATGCTATGTAAATAGTTTTTATACTGTATTAAGGAATAATGACAAGAAAAAGTCTGTACATATTCAGTACAGATACTTTTTTTTTCTGTATTTTCGATCCACAGTTTGTTGAATCCACGAATGCAGAAGTCACAGATACAGAGGGCCGACTGCATACAATTGATCAAACCAACAAGTTTTACAAATTTTGATAGGTAATTAAACACAGAAAGTAAAATCTTATTGAAAATGCATCCTTTAATGAGATGAACAGAGCTATTTTCCCCCCAACTGGTTGATGTGAACATTACCCACTACTAGAATGAGACAGGTTTTTTATCAACTTAATCCTTTCCTTTTTAACTTTTTTAAATGTAAGTACTGAAAAAGCTTGTAAGTACTGAAACAGCTTTATTACAGCACTATCCGTATATTCTCTAAACTACCTCAGTGTTTCATCTAAAAATCACACAGTGAGCCATCATTAAAAGTAACTTGAATGATCTATCAGTTGTCAAATTCATTGGGTCCTCCTTCAATTTTACTAAAAGGAACGATCTGAAAACCACCAAAGTTACTAAAGAATTTGTCATCCAATCAGAGTGGATCACTTTTTCCTAACAAACACCAATATTTCAAATTGCCTCTTTGCCCAAGATGAAGCCAACAGCAGGATTGGGGCTGGGTGGAAGATACAGCTTTCTTTTGTAACGTGGAGAAAAGAGATTGTGAAAGCAGAGGTGGAAAATGGTAACTTACAACTCAGATCAGCTTTAGGAGATACCTACACCCTGGGGGTCTGGAAGCGTAGTCCTTGCAAGTTATCCTCCCACTTATACACCACTTAGAGTGTCTTCGTGTACCTCTAAGGGACCCAGTTTGACAAGTGACCAAGACTGCCCCATGGTATTCTCTTAAAAATGGAATTCACAGGACCGAGTGCGGTGGCTCATGTCTGTAATCCCAGCACTATGGGAGGCGAAGTCGGGCGGATCACTTGAGGTCAGGAGTTTGAGACCAGCCTGGCTAGCATGGAGAAACCCTGTCTCTACTAAAAATACAAAAATTAGCCAGGCATGTTGACACACGCCTGTAATCCCAGCTACTTGAGAGGCTGAGGCAGGAGAATTGCTTGAACCCAGGAGGCGGAGGTTGCAGTGAACCAGGATCATACCACTGTATTCCAGTCCCCTGGTTAAAATTCTTTAACAATTCACACCACACTTAAAAACAAAACTCAAATTCCTTACTGCGACTTCTAAAGGACTACATACCTTATCTCACCATCCTACAAACCACACTGGCCTTCTCCAAGTTCCTGGATTGCCGGCAGGGCTTCCAGCCTTAGGGCCTTTGCACCTCCATTCCCTCTGACCAAAGCACTGTTCCCGCTGCTGTGTGGCTGCTCCTGTTTCCTCCAGGCTTCAGCTGGAATGTCACCTCCCAAAAGGAGCCCATCCACCTCATTATTCTCTACTACAGGAAACTAATTCTTGATAGCTCTTGTCATAAGCATAATTATTTTACTTACAGTAAAGTCTTACTTGCCCACTACACGAAACAGAGGTCTTGTTTGTGTTTCATGTTCAGCACCCAGCACGGTGCCTGGCACTCAATAGATGTTTATAAACAAGAGGGAGGGCACAAGCACATCATGGAAAAAGTGAAATTGGTGAGTGGCGAAGGAGGGGCTATTTCTAACAGCTTTCTAAACAACCTTATTTTAAAACAAAATCGTATTAATGTATTAGAAGGTATAGATACGACAAATGCCAAAGAGAAAGGTGTATTACAGATACTACTAAATACATAAACATGGACATATACTGAGACTTCAGAGAGCACCCAAAGTGGGCAGGGACATTCAGCATGCAGGTTTCCACCCCCATTTTTTCCTTACCTCTGTTCTTGAGAAGGCTCCTCCAGACCCTCTTCAGAATCACCCTATTGAAAAAGAACATGTGTTAACCGTTGTTTCTGTTTGTTCGTTTGTTTTTGAGACAGAGTCTCGCTCTGTCACCCAGGCTGGAGTACAATGGCAGGGTCTCGGCTCACTGCAACCTCCGCCTCCTGGGTTCAAGCAATTCTCCTGCCTCAGCCTCCCAAGTAGCTGGGACTATAGGCACATGCCACCACACCTGGCTAATTTTTGTATTTTTAGTAGAAACAGGGTTTCACTGTGTTGGCCAGGCTGTTCTCAAACTCCTGACCTTGTGATCCACCCGCCTCGGCCTCCCAAAGTGCTGGGATTACAGGCGTGAGCCACTGTGCCCGGCCACCCCTGGGCAAATCTTATAGTCATCTTGCACTGCTCTCCTCCCTTCACCTCCTACCAGAAAGACCTACCCACTCACGGGAAACCCAGTTCCTACCTGTCCTTTCTTCCAACACAGCAGCCCACACCATCAGTAGCCCCGGCTGTATTAGAAGACAAACGCAGCTTTCTTCTCTGCCTGCAGACTGCTGCCTGCAACCATCCGGTGCACCATCGCACTCTGTGCAGCAAAGACCAGTCTCCTCATATCATTCACTCCTTATCACCCTTATCACACAGTAAGGACCCAGCACTCAATGTCATCACTTCAGTCCCTGCTCAAGAACCTACTATGGCTCCCTCCAACTGGTCAGATGCACACCAAGCTCTTCAACAGCATACAGCACTGTCCCACACAGGCCCTGACACACCCAGCCCTACCCCTACAACCACATTGCGGCAAGCACCTGGGCTCCAATTTAAAATGTCCGAGGGAAAATGCTGAACTTAACTGTCTACCAGGCGAGGCTCTGGGCTAGGCCCCAGGCACACACTTGCTGCTGCAGATCTCTAAGGCCTCCCTTGTCCCTAAGCCTTAGCTGACCTCTCCAAAGCAGGGTGCCTCTTCTCTCAGTTCCTATATTTCAGCACTTGACTGTGGTCCCAGGGTATTACCAGTCTGATCTTGCCAACCACAAAGGGCAGGGACAAAAGCATGTAATTCCCCCACTGCCTCTTGGGAAGTGCCTCAGGGCCTTTGCACTGGCTGTTCTCTCTCACCACTTTCAAAGATTGGCTCAAATATTGCCCTTTCAGAGTGGTACACTTTGACCTCTTAAAACCGCAACTCACATCACCACCCCACATTGCCACCACACAACATGTATGCCCTTCGAACAGACTAAATAAATTTATTCTCTGTCTTGTTTACTGTCTATCTCTCTGCTTCCATTTAGACTGCAAGCATCACAAGGGCAGGTGTTTTTTGTTTTTTTTTGTCTACTGTAATATCCCTGACACCTAAAGCACTGCTTGGCCTGCAGTATGTGCTCAATAAAACATCTGCAGAGCTGAGTACAAGCCAGCTGTTTCTTAACTACATGTGGATATGACTATTATGGGAACTTCACTAAGCAACTTTTTCTAAATCAAAATAGAACATGACATGCTTTCCCCTCAGACACAGAAACTTTACCACCATAATAGTGCTTTTCTGGTCAAACTGTACTGAAACTCACACAACATACGTAATGGCTAAAAACTTGGGCTCTATAGTTAAACACTTACTCTCCTAGGACTGTCACTTTCTTATTACCTTGAGCCAAGTAATTTCGCTGTTCTGTGCCTCAATTTCATCATCTGTAAACTTCATAGTGTTTAGTGTGTTAATGAGTTAATACTCATAAAGCATTTAAATGATGCCAGAAGTGCCCAACCCATGTTAGTTATTTTTTTTTAATGTTGATGGAAGTTGATTAAACCAAAAATAAATCTCTATGACAAAAAGATTACCAAATACTGGTCAATGATTCACTGGAGCAAGATGCTATTACATAACACAGTACCTGTGATAACAAAAACTCTGTGTATCATTTCCTGTTTCACTTTCTACCAATTTCCGTTATCTACACCCTCTGACTTAAGATGCGGGAAAATAAACTTGATATTTTTAAAGGCAGATTCTTTCTTATTCATCACTGTATCTCTGGAGACCTAACTGGGCCCGCCCCAAAGGTCCATCTTTGCTAAATGAACAAGTAACGGCAGTGGAGCACTGAGCCTGCCCAGCCCTGCCTAGCACCAACATGATTCTGTATCAGGTAACGGCTGCTCCTACTCAGCACCTGTCCCTGGTTCCCAAACCTGCTAACCAAGGGGCATCAGGAGTGAGCCTTCTCTTCTCAAAGAAGTCTGGATGGATTGAAAGAACAGATTCTAGACTGCCCTTCTTGCAGCTAGAACTGATTTTTAAAAATGTGATTGTCAAACAATACTAGGAAATAACCATTTAAGGCATTCCACCTGTTACCTGCAGACTTAGCCAACCTCATAAATAGGGGAACTCGGCAAGACACTGACAACTGCCTCTCCCGCACTAGGACGACTTCATGGGCAGTACTGAATGTCTACTGTATGCAGGACACTGTGGCCACAGCAGGGCACCAACCCTTAGCAGCCCAGCCCCTCAAAGGAGAACCCAGTTAAGGCAACAAGACATGCACAAGACAAAGGAGAAAAACGAAGACATGGGCCGGGCACGGTGACTCACACCTGTAATCTCAGCACTTTGGGAGGCTGAGGCAGGCAGATCACAAGGTCAGGAGTTCAAGATCAGCCTGACCAACATAGTGAAACCCAGTCTCTACTAAAAACACAAAAATTAGCCGGGCATGGTGGCGCATGCCTGTAATCCCAGCTACTCAGGAGGCTCAGGCAGGAGAAGCACTTGAACCCAGGAGGCGGAGGTTGCAGTGAGCCGAAATTACATCATTGCACTCCAGCCTAGGCGACAAGAGCAACACTCAGTCTCAAAAAAAAAAAAGAAAACAAACAAAAAAAACCGAAGGCACTACAAGAAACTCAAAGAGGGAGAAACGATGACAATGCCACTGCAGGGCAGGAGTCAGGAAGGACAGGCCCTGAATGACCAGCGGGGCTGTTGCATTCATTAATTCAACAGATACGTGTTGGACATGCTTGGCCAAGGGTGGGGCTGGAGTGGGCGTACCACAGGACTGACACGGAAGGCCCTGCAGGACAGAGCAGGTCAGGTGGACATCACCTATGCGTGGATCACATGGAATCGCAGTTTCTGACTTTGAAGGCAAAGTAAGAAGGTACACAAAGCCGTATCCTGCACACACCCAATTACTTCTTGAAAATAAGCTAATGAAACACCTGTTTGGTTTCCACACCATCACCACTTTGCATTCAGTGTGTTCAAGTACAGTCAGAGCAGAGGAAAATTTCTGTAAATGTAAGAATAAAATCATATATATTTTTCCTCCTTCCTCTCATGATCACCATGGATATACAGTTTGTATGTTCCTACACCAAATGATTTTATGACATGAGAGTATATAACAAAAAGATATGACTAGTACAACTTTACAATCATAGAGCACACAATAGTGCTGAGTTATCTGTACTATTCAGACCTTTCAAAACAAGAAAGCCGTTCATGCTCTCCAATGCCCAAGTCTACCAGTCAGCTCAGGGACCACTAAAATATTAGGTAAGCTACAGTAGGTGCTCACTAAGTTCCAGGCACTTAATCTTCTCAAAGTCTTCTGAAACCAGCACCATAATTCCCCAGACTTTGCAGATGAGAAAACAGGACAAACAGGTGAATTTATGGAGCTAAAAAGGGATAGGGCTGAGATTCAAACCCAGGAGACCTGGCCAGAGGTTCTGACAGTTTACAACAATTTAGTTGTCATATATGGTTTTACTAATAGTAAGTTAGTCTTGATCACTTAGAGACCTGTCATTAAAAAAAAAAAAAGACTTAATCAACAGGAGACATCTCCAAAATAAATAACTATACAAACAGTGTTGGCAAATATGTTACTGGTTTTTTTGTTTGTTTGTTTGTTTGTTTGTTTTTTGAGACAAAGTTTTGCTCTTGTTGCCCAGGCTGGAGTGCTTCAGCGCGATCTCAGCTCACTGTAACCTCCGCCTCCCAGGTTCAAGCAATTCTCCTGCCTCAGCCTCCCGAGCAGCTGGGATTACAGGCCTGCACCACCACGCCCGGCTAATTTTGCATTTTTAGTAGAGACAGAGTTTGTCCATGTTGGTCAGACTGGTCTCAAACTCCTGACCTCAGGTGATCCACCCCTCTCAGCCTTCCAAAGTGCTGGGATTACAGACGTGAGCCACCAGCCTGGCCAGTATTTTATTTAATGCCACATCCTCTAAAGTTCCTATTTCATCTACTACTGACAAATCTTAGCCTCTGAAGCCATCTTTCAGTCTTCCTGCATGAAAGAAACCCAATGTACTGGTTAATTAAGCAGAAAACCCTCAAATTTAAATTAACACCTATAAATATTCTCTTTTCAACAGACTCCGTTTGACACATATGAGGGAATTTTTGCTGAAAAAATTCAAAATACTTTGAAAATAATTCACTTAAAATAACTTTCTTCAAAACTCTCTGTAGCTTATGAGATATATATACACACACATACACACGTGTGTGTGTGTGTGTGTGTGTGTGTCTCCCTTACCCTTGGGCCCAGGTATAAGCAGGGCAAGATAGTTTCTAAAAGGTATACGTAGAGATATGGATGAAGTATTTAGAAAATTATTTTGAAAACCAGTTTCACTTTCATTATAGCTTTGATTAAAATAGCTTAGCTATAAATCCCTCTATACTGAATATCCCAGACAGCTTCTGAATTCTGACATCTATTATCAAAACAAATTGTATTATACAAATAAACCAGAAATTAAGAATTGTATAAAATAACTTTTGAGCCCATAAATCAAATAATCATTTAGGCCTTGACATTTCCATCTCTGAGCACACCTACTAAATCTTCAACTAACGCTCTAACAAATGAGAGTATATACTACTAGACTCAATCACCTATAATTTACTTTCCTTTTAGTCTGGGTTGGCTTCCAACACTAGCCAGTAAGAGATAGAAACTATAATTGAGCAAAAATGCAAATACATATACATAGATATACACCAGTGCTTCTCAACCAGGGCAGTTTTGCTCCCCAGGGACATCTAGCAATGTCTGGAAACATTTTTAGTTGTCAAAATCAGGAGGGGGTGGGGGAGAGGGGGAAGCAGCAGTGAGTGCCACTGGCATCTAGTGGGTAGAGGCAAGGGATGCTAACTGCTCAACATCTCACAGTGCACAGGACAGCCCCCACAACAAAGAACTCTGTAGCCCAAAATGTCACCAGTGCCACTGTTGAACAACTCTGATATACAAAAACATAATTTTTTTAAAATAAATACATCGCGTTAAATGTCGTTCTTGCAGTAGGAATACGACGGATTTCTATTTTGTTCTTTTTATATTTCTGTATCTTCCAAACCTTCAAAAACACATGTATATTATTTAAAATCGGGGAAAAAATCCATTTGGGAATAAATTTTTAGGAGAAGGAAAAACTATCTGCTCCTCATCCTGATGGGGCCCTTTCTCAAAAGACCTGTCTCATTCAGGCTGCTGGCCTTCAAGGAGGGTCCAGGAAAATTCTCCTCTAAAATCACCTCTCTGCCTTGAAGCTGTTATTCATTAGCCCTGATCAAAATGAATATTCTAAATATCTCAAAACCAGCACTCTGAATGTTTCACATAGGAGGGAGAAAACTGAAATGTAAAACTGGACAGCCTCTCCGGTAAAGTTATAGCTAGACATCCTGTTTTTCTAAACAGCCGCAAGACACAACACAGAATTAAGTGCTGCCACCACCGTGGGAAGTAATGAACATCTTAAAAAGTACTGCACACAAGCTAAATATTTCCTTATAATTCAAGCCACTCCCACCCAAAAAATGCATTTTGGATCACTACCGTTACTGGTGAAAGGCAGTCAACAACATTATATTTAAATGTGCACACTTCACAGTCAATGGGAATTTCTTGTAAAAGTTAAAAGCTTTGCAGTACTGTATCTGTTGCAGCAATAAACCCTCTATGATGCTACAGATTCCCAATAAAACGTCAGTAATTATTTTTCTACACGCAATCATCATATCATCATACAGAGAAAAAAACCAGAAATTCAAGTTCTTAAGTGGGTGTATTTTAACAGGAATTAAGGGCACTTGGAGAAAATCCAAGATGACAATCCTTGAGAGTCACATCTCCATCCCAAAGCTACTTAACGCTAATGGCAAATACCACTCTAACATTTATGAAATCAATACTCCTGTTGTCCTCAACCTCTTAGCCACTTGCCATCCACACAGCACCAGCTCACTTAGGGAACAGTGTGCACCCAGGACACCCACGGCCGAACAGACCGCTGGCCGCTTCCCTGCTGAGGTGGCCTGGGTTCCCACCTTCTGAACTTGGGGCCGGCCTGCCTCAGGCCCTGTCACATGGCGTGGGAGGAGCCGGGAAGGCCACCGTTGCCAGGTGTTCAGGCTCGGCCCCTAACGTTTATTTGCCTTGCAAAGTGGCCCGAACGCCTGTGCCGCTTGGACAGGGGGTGGGGAGGACCGGGGGCCTCCCCGCCTCTCCTCCCTCGTACACCCACAGCCGCCCTGTCACCTGGTCGTCCTCACCTGAGTGGGCAGCAGGAGTTCCCCTTCTTCTGCCTGCCACAGCTCCACCACGTTCGGCAACGGCTCAATCGCTGCAGGAACACCAAAAAATACACCACGTTTTTAATGCACGCTAAAGAAACGCTTCCTGTTTCCCCTACCGTCCCTCCGTGCCCCCCGCCTCACCAAAACACGTCTCTTTTTCCTCCTGGGAACAGAGGCCATCCCAGGGGCGAGCCAAGGATAAAAATACAATGGGTGGGGTGTGAGCCGGCGGCCCCTCGGACGCGAAGGCGACAGCGTGCAGGCAGGCTCGGGGTGCTCGTGCTGGGGGTGGGGGGACGAAGTGGGAGTGAAGACACCCCACGAGGCACTCCGGGCTCCGCAGCCCGAGCATCTGGAGTGTGGACCCTGGGCGGCCAGGCTCGGGGGAACAAAGCTGCAGGAAGCCGGGCCGCTGCGGGGCA